>NC_000016.10:58501894-58804924 GCF_000001405.40 Homo sapiens
CCCTGGGCTCTCGACGTCTGACCCCAGGAGGATAACTGTCCTTTATGCAGCAGGAGGCGCATTGCAGTTCTTTTGCAGCCCCACCCTCCAGAGCTGAGAGAACTCACAGGTGGCTGTGAAAGGGCTGCCTGGTCAGGAGCTCCCTCGGGTGGAACCTGATCTCCTGTGAACATGCAGCCTTCAGTGCACCGCCCTGGCCCCTGAGACTGGCACCTGGCAGGGCCTGCCCTCCCTACTCTGGGATTGACCTTGGGCAAGTCATTTCCCTTTCCTAGCCTCAATTTCCTCCTCTATGGCTTGGGCCTATGTGGGAAGTAAATGAGAAAACTGTGGGTCAGTGGTCAGTGGCGGGGAAGTGTTCCTGGATTTGATGGGCCCCGAGAAAGGATAGGCCTGGGATGGGAGGGGCTGTGTGGTCTGTCCCCTCTCAGCCCTGGTGTGGCCTCCTCATCCCCTGGGTGGTGCAATCAGCCGCATGGCTCACCCTAAGGCTCATTACCTGGGCTCTCCTGGAGGACAACAGGGAAATAAAAAGGGCCTGCAAGTCAAAGAGTGTTCTCCAGGGTAGAGCCTTTGGCCACCAGGTTGGTGCCAGCTTGTCACTCCACACTGGAGACACAGGCCTGGACAGTGGTCCTCTGAGACCAGACCCACTAATGCTGGCCCCTGAGCAGCTGTCTTCTGCTGTCTAAATCTCCTTTCCCATTTGGAGGCAGGAACTCAGGTTCTTTCTAAACCAAAGTGTCCTCACCTGCAAAACAGGGACTAGGGTTCCTGTCTCTTGGGTAACATGCAGGAAGCCTGGCACACAGTAGGTGCTCAGTCGCTTGATGTTTCTTTCATGTCCTTGACCCCAGCCCCACCTCCAACTCACTGGGCCACTCACGTGGTTCCCAGGGCTCACAATGATGCAGAGAGGATCGGTTTATTTAGCTCAGATGGCCCCTCTTGAAGTTTGCCCATCCGAGTGGCTAAGAATGCCCAGTTTGCAAAGGAACAGCGAGAAGGGCATTCTCCCAAGGCTCAGGGATGCCCTAGCATAACAGCCCCCTTTCTGGGGCTTTCTCCAAGTGCTAAATGCTCCACAAACATTGGCTTGTCTAGTTCCCGCAAAGTCCCTGTGAGGTGGTTCTGGATGGAGAGGCTGAGGCACAGCAGAGAAGTAACATGACATGCTCAGTCACAAGTAAGGGGTAGAACCAGGTCTTCCTGAGGAAGTAATGACCTTGAGCAGCAAAACCAAAGGTGTGAACTCAAGAGGATCCCAGAGCAGGCTCTGCAGAAGGCCTCTAGAGGGGATGGGGAGGGGGGTCTGACCCGGGCCTGCCTGAAGGGAGCCCTTGAGGATGCTGGGCTCACACAGAAGGGCGTTCAAGGTGGAAGGAACCACATGCGCAAGAGCCTTAGAGTGGGAGCCAGGGGCAGTGCCGGGGTCGGGGCTAGGCTTGGCTGGCACGGGGTGTTTTCTGAGGATTCCAGGCAGGACCACTGAGGCCGTTCCCCTGCAGCAGCAGGAAGTGCCTGAGAGTTCTGAGTGTGAGAGGGACTTGGGCTGGGGAGGCAGAGCTGTCCAGGAGGGGCTGCTGCAAGATGGAGAAAAACAGCCTCCCTGGACCCTCAAGGGCGGAGGACAGTGACAGCACAAACCAGTGGCTGGTTTGCAGAGAGGACCAGACCTTCCCCATGCAGATCAGTTCACATTGTCTCTGTACTGAACAGCCCTGAGAAGGGGTGTTCCATCCATTCAGTCCTCTCTGGGGGCTTCTTGGGGTGATGAGAACAGGATGCCCCAAGTAGGGGCTCTACCACAGGCCTAACAGGTACCAGGCTGCGTCACCTCATTCCCCAGAGGAGCCAAGAGCGGAGGCTGCCCAGAGTGTCCAGCACGGTCTCTCCCCTTCAGGAACATGACATCGAGACACCCTACGGCCTTCTGCATGTAGTGATCCGGGGCTCCCCCAAGGGGAACCGCCCAGCCATCCTCACCTACCATGATGTGGGCCTCAACCGTAAGTGCAGCCCAGCCTCAGTCAGCCCTCCTCTGCCTCCCATCAGCCAGAGCGGTGAGGCCCCCCACCCTCCCCACAGGGCCCTGTCAGCCCCACTCACACTCACCTCTGTTGCCTTCGCCCTCCGGGCCTCCATTTCCCCGACGGACCCGAGGCTTACACTTCTGCCTTGCCTGCCCTCTGGGGGCCCGGCCTTCCTTCCAGTCCCCCGGCCCCTCTGCTCAGCCATAGTGGAAGTGTGTCTTTGCAGACAAACTATGCTTCAACACCTTCTTCAACTTCGAGGACATGCAGGAGATCACCAAGCACTTTGTGGTGTGTCACGTGGATGCCCCTGGACAACAGGTGGGGGCGTCGCAGTTTCCTCAGGGGTAGGTACCCTGAGCCCCCTCTGCCTGTCTCCAGCTCTGCACCTGAGGCCACACCTGGGCCCTGACCTCCTGCTCTGCCTGCAGGTACCAGTTCCCCTCCATGGAGCAGCTGGCTGCCATGCTCCCCAGCGTGGTGCAGCATTTCGGGTGAGTCCCCGCACAGCCCCTGCGCTAGGGCCCAGGGGTGCCTACCCCAACTGCAGAGCCACCTGGCTCCAGCTGAGGGCTTCAGGCTATGGGCAGGGCCTGCTCTGGATGACATGTATGGGAAATGGCACCCCTAGCCCTAGAGTGACCAGCCTGCTCTGCACCAGGTTCAAGTATGTGATTGGCATCGGAGTGGGCGCCGGAGCCTATGTGCTGGCCAAGTTTGCAGTGAGTCTCCCCATGCCCCCATTACCCCAAACACCAGGGCAAGCCAGGGATGTCCCAGTGGTGGGGACTGGGGGGAACCCTTCAGCCTTGAGGAAGTGTCCCTGCTCTCGCTTCTCCTCCTCCCACCTCCTCTTTATGTAGAAAACCTCTTTTTTCTTTTTTCCTCCAGGGAAATTAACTTTTTTAAAAAAGAGGTTCCTTTCTCCATATAGTTTTCTCAAGAGACTAGAAACTATAACTTGCTTAAACTATTATCCAAAGCCAGAATTTCTAGTAGCAACAAACTATACAACTAACTGCTCTAGCCACTAAATAAGGATCGTCCTTCACTAATTGCCATGGTATTTCAACATGAATAATTTTTTTAGCAAAAAATTTTATTATGGTTGGGAGGTTTAAAGAAGGCACATTTCAAAAACATCATTGTCGGTGGCTCACACCTGTAATCCCAGCACTTTGGGAGGCCAAGGTGGGCAGATCACGAGGTCAGGAGATCAAGACCATCCTGGCTAACACGGTGAAACCCAGTCTCTACTAAAAATACAAAAAATTAGCCGGGCGTAGTGGCGGGCGCCTGTAGTCCCAGCTACTCGGGAGGCTGAGGCAGGAGAAAGGCGTGAACCCGGGAGGCGGAGCTTGCAGTGAGCTGAGATCGCGCCACTGCACTCCAGCCTGGGCAACAGAGCGAGACTCTGTCTCAAAAAAATAAAAAAATAAAAAAAATCATTGTTGGGTAGGAATTCACAAGCTTTTCATCTCTAAAAACAAGCAAAAAAAAAAAAAACAAAAACCCAAAAGACTAATTTTTCACGATCGAAGACATTTACTACTTCAAAAGAAATGACCAAGAATTTTCAACTCCAGTTGCAATGTCAGCACTTAATCATTTTGTTAACTGGAGGCCATTCCCTGCCACCCTAGACAAGCTTGATGTGGTTATGCTGTTTTTCTTTAAGCACAGTCTAACAGTTGAAAAGAAAATACCTCTTTTGCAATGCCTACGGCAAAACAGACTTTGAAAAGGTTGTTTTTTTCTTAATTTATATCATGAGGGCTTCATTTTCTTTTTTTTTTTTTTTTTTTTTTTTTTGAGATGGAGTCTTGCTCTGTCGTCCAGGCTGGAGTGCAGTGGCATGATCTCGGCCCACTGCAACCTCCACCTCCCTGGTTCAAGCAATTCTCCTGCCTCAGCCTCCTAAGTAGCTGAGACTACAGGTGCATGCCACCACGCCTGGCTAATTTTTGTATTTTTATTAGAGACAGGGCTTCACCATGTTGGCTAGGCTGGTCTCGTATGCCTGACCTCAGGTGATCAGCCCGCCTTGGCCTCCCAAAGTGCTGGGATTACAGGCGTGAGCCACGGCGCCTGGCCAGGGCTTCATTCTCTATAAAAGCAAAAAAACAACATGCTTAAGATTTTAAGATGTTTAATACTCAATTTTGCACTTCAAAAATATATTAAGAGCTGATTCTGTTGAAAGAGCGTGTGTGTGTGTGTGTGTGTGTGTCTGTGTGTGTGTAGGGGTGGAAACAATGATAGAGATTCTAAATAAATCCAAGAACTGTGAAGGGTTCAGTGAGAGGAGGACAGGCAGGGGCATCTGGACATGGGTGTGCATGCACAGACCCGGCTGTAGCCGGGTGGCTGATCAGCAGCACCTTGAAGACTTTACAGAGTGTTTCTGCCATCTGCACCCATCCTGGCCCCGCCCGGCCCTGTTTCCCCTCTTACTGCAGCTCATCTTCCCCGACCTGGTGGAGGGGCTGGTGCTGGTGAACATCGACCCCAATGGCAAAGGCTGGATAGACTGGGCTGCCACCAAGGTGTGTGTGGTGACCGGGGGTGGGGTGGGTATACCTAGGGTGGGGTGAGGGGCGGCACTCACGCTGGCGCCCTGCTCCCTGCAGCTCTCCGGCCTAACTAGCACTTTACCCGACACGGTGCTCTCCCACCTCTTCAGCCAGGTAAGGGGGGGAACTTCTGCAGATCTGGGGTGATCTGGGATTTGCCCCTCCCAGCTGGCTCGGTAGGAGGCAGGCGGGTGTCTTTGGCATCTGACCTGGCTCACTCCAGATGCTAAGCCATCTGAAAGACAGACATCCCCTCCCAAGGCCCCACACCTCCTACCTGCCCCCACCCTGTCTCCCCTGCCTGCTGAGTGGGGCAAGGGCCACTCTGGCAGTGACATCTGCCAGCCCCCTCTAAGCCTGCGTCCCTCTGTCTGCCCCTCTGCATGCCTCCATCCATCTCCCTGGGCCTAGGAGGAGCTGGTGAACAACACAGAGTTGGTGCAGAGCTACCGGCAGCAGATTGGGAACGTGGTGAACCAGGCCAACCTGCAGCTCTTCTGGAACATGTACAACAGGTGCGGGTGGGATCAGCAGCCCTGGGACCCAGCACACCCCAGTGGGGGCCCTTGCACACTGCCCCCTGAGGGAGGCAGGCAGACAACACCCTTGCCCTGGTTTGTAGATGGGCACGATATTGGGCCTCAAAGGAGGTCATTTCCTGCACAAGGTCACACCCTGTGAGGGGCAGAGGGGAACAGGGTTTCAGACTCCGGGCCTTGGGCTCTTCCACTTTTCCTCCTCCCCTGGGGGCTTCCCGCTTGGGAATGTTGGGGGTGTTAGTGACATCCCTGACTCCAGTAACCCAGCCTTGATGTTGACGTCTGCAAAATGAGGAAGAGGTCGGATGAGCCTGTGGTTTTCAAGCTGTGCTCCTTGGAGCCCCCTTTAGGGGCTGCCCTGCCCTGCAGGAAGGTGGCCAGGCCCCCTCACTCACGTGCCCTCCTTCTCATTCTTCTACAAATATTAAGCACCTGCTGTGTGCATGGTGCTAAGAAAACAAAACAATAGAGAATAGAGAGACCCAGGGCCTGCCATCCCATATGGTCCAGGAGACAGGCCAGTAGCAGAAACTCCCACAGCACAGGTGGCGGTGCGCATGGCTCTGAGGGGGATAGAGAGCAAAATTTGAGAGCCCACCTGGTATGTGCTAGGGAGTCCAAAAAGCCGTGACAGGGAGCCTCCAGTTCATTTATGCAGAGCAGGTCCACGCCTCCCTGCTTTACCAATTGGCAGTGTTGGGCTTGGGATGCCCCTCATCCTGTCCTGGGGTGCCCACCTCTGCCTCTGCCCCTCCCCCTGCCCCACAGCCGCAGAGACCTGGACATTAACCGGCCTGGAACGGTGCCCAATGCCAAGACGCTCCGGTGAGTGGCCCCTGGCCCTCTGGCCTGCCCTGGCCTTTGCCCCCATGACCCAGCCAGACAGCCCTTTTCCTCTGTATCTGCAGCTGCCCCGTGATGCTGGTGGTTGGGGATAATGCACCCGCTGAGGACGGGGTGGTAAGTGAGGGGCTGTGGGCTCACTGGGGGTGGGAGGTAGGGGTGAGGGGCTCACTGGCCCCTGCCCAGCAGGGACAATTCTTGATCCAGCCCAGGGGAGCCTCCAGGGCCAGCAGTGGACGGTGGGCTTCTTGTCCACTTTCCCACAGTCTTGCCAAGCCTCACATCTGGCATAGCCCCCATCCTTCTGGCTGGGGAGGCCTGGAAATGGGGAGAGCTGGGGCCAGGGCTGGGCCATCAGAAGGTCCCCTCTTCCCTCCCCAGCAGCACAGCCCCAACTTGGTCCCTACCCACCTCAGGCCCAGGGTGTACGATCTTTTTTCTAAAATGTGATCAAGCCATTATAAATCATTAACGCATACAGCGGCACGGTCTCCCTTTTCCCGTCACCTGCAGCGGTTATGTTTGGGGGCCGTGTGTCACCTCTCCTGCTGGAACTCTGGGAGCAGGTGGCCTGAGGCTGGGATGCCCCATCAGCACAGAGCTGCTGGGAAGCTGCAGGGTCCAGAAGTGCCCAGAGCAGCCCCGTGCGCCCTGAAAATACCAGGCTTTCCCATGCCCACTGGGAGGTCCTGGAAGAGCAGGGTGGTGGGCTGTGCCAGCCCCCTCCACCCAGTCTCTCTCAGACCCTCGGCACCCCTCACCTCACTGCCGAGGGCACTGGGGCTTTCCCAGGCCAGTCCCACCACGGCAGCCCAGCCCTCGCCTGACTCCCACTCCTAGCAGTTGTGAGTGGGCTCCAAGGGTCCCAGGCCCTTCAGTGGGGCTGTTAAACTGGTCTCCAAGAACATGGGGAGCCCTGGGAGAAGAAAGCCTGGGAGGAGCAGCCTGTCACAGCTGCTGGGCCTCCCTCTGCCTCCCTGCACCCCCTCTCCTCCCCGAGCTTGGGGCATCAAACCTGCCTTGGCAATGGGGGTGGGGAGGGGCAGGGGCTGTTGCTGAAGCTGGCTCCTTGTCCTCAGGTGGAGTGCAACTCCAAACTGGACCCGACCACTACGACCTTCCTGAAGGTGAGGCTTTCTTCCCCAGCCCTGGGCCAGCTTCCCTAGCATGGGCCCAACCTCAGGGAGGTGTTTTCCTGGGGTCCCAGCCAGGGTGGGAGCTTGTCCTGGAGTGAGGGCCCTGCTCAGGTCACCCCACTCTCTCCCTTGCAGATGGCAGACTCTGGAGGGCTGCCCCAGGTCACACAGGTGAGACTTTTGGCCCTCCTGCCCTTACATCTATGGGGAGGGGGAAGCCTCTACCCTACCTGCTAATCCTAGGCAGCCAATGAAAGCATGTGCTTGTCCTGCCCTCCGCAGCCAGGGAAGCTGACTGAAGCCTTCAAATACTTCCTGCAAGGCATGGGCTACAGTGAGTACATTTCCACCCCACCCCACACCACCTAGAGACCGGTGGGCAGGCAGTGCTGGGGTTGGGGCTCCTGTTTGCAGGGCTGGCACGTGGTGTCAGGTGGTAGTAGGGAGCCCATAAGCATAGGAGTTTTGTGTGACCTGGGCCCCGGATGCTGGGCCCCACAGATGCCACCTGAGTTGCAAGTTGGCCATCCCAGGCTGTGCCCAACTCCCCTTTGCCCTTAGGGAGGACTTGGCGCACTGTTCTGATGGCAGTGCTGGGCCTACTGGGGGAAGGGACTCTTCCTTCCGTGCTGGGGGTCCAGGGCCAGGGGCCGTGTCCTGCCAGGGAAGCCTGTCTGGGGGTGAGGCACACTCCCCTCACCCGCCCCAGGGCTTGGGGTCAGAGCTGGGTCTATGGCACCTGAGAAGGCCTTTTGAAACAACTCATGGCTGCACCCAGGGGCATCATAGGAGTGGGCTTGGAGTTTGGGGCCAGGGAAGGCAACTGGGGCCGCCTGGCATTCAGAGAGCTGAAAGCAGCTGAACCTGGCTTGGCAGATCTGAAAATCTGGGTCTGGGGTGGAACCAGGTACACACACACAGACACACACACACACACACACAACACACCCCTTGTGTGTCTCCTTGACTTCCCCCTTCCCTCCAAGACATACCTGTTCCTCCAGGTCCCCACTGCCAGGAGGCAAACTTCCTCTTCTCAGTTTGTTTTTTGTTCCCCTCCAGACTTCAGCCTCTGGAGCTATCTCCAGGGCAAACAGGAGGGCTGCCTGTGGGAAGGCTGGGGAGGACACCCAGGAATAGAATGCTCTCTGGAGCAGGGCAGAGCCCTAGGGCCCACAGGGAGGCTCCGCAGGAGCACAGAGTCTGGAATCAGGGCACAGCAAGCATTTGCGAGGTGAACGGAAGAACATTGTCAGGCGCTGAGACGCGTTCTCAGGGTCCTGGGGAGAAACTCCACCAGGCAGCCCCAAGCTGGGAAGGGCACAGAGCGGGCAGGCCTCCCCCATTCTGTATGCAGGAGACTGAGGCCTAGGAGAATGGTGAGGGGATAAGCACCCCACCTGTCAGGGCTTCCTTGGGCCAGAGATCCTTCTGGGGGCCACTGCTGGGTGGGCAGGCAGGAGTGGGCTTCCAGAAGCCTCTGGCCCTGCCCCCAGCCTCTCTGTGCCTGTCCTTTGTCCCATCTCTCTGGCTCATCTCAATGCCCTTGACTCAGCGGACCACGCTCTTCACTGTGTTGTGTCTCCCCCATCCCCGCCCCCTCTCCGGCTCTGTCTTCTCTCTTAGTTGCGTACTTGAAGGACCGAAGGCTGAGTGGAGGAGCAGGTAGCCCCACGGCCCTTCCCCTGATGCATGGACGCCCAGCCTCCTCCTCCCCCGCTCCTTCCTCTGCGCAGTGTGCTGCAGCCAGGCCGCATCTTGCTGTGGTTTGGAACCTTCTTGTGTCCTGTTCAACTCAGAAACCCCACAGATTCTTGCTTTTCTGCAGGCTTGGCCTCTAGGTTGGCTGGGTTGCAGAGCAGTCTTGCTTCTAGGTTGTCATGAGCTGCGTGGCTTCCAGAGCTCTGGGGATAGGAAACAGACCCTCCTTAGAGGTAGAGCCCAGGCCTGGCCCTGCCTGAGCCACATAGGTGGCCAGGAGAGTTCCGGAGGGTAGAGTTTGCTGCCCGCAAGTCTTGCTTGTGAAACTCTGAATTAGGGAATTAGGGCACAGTCTGAATTGAGGGCAGTATGCGACCACCGCTCCGCGTCCTCCTTTACAGAAACAGTCCTACTTCTCCACTGGCATCCTCTTGAGGGAGGCACGGCTGGAAACCCAGCACCTCCCTGCACCAGCTCAGGGCTGCCTGGTCAGCTGCTGGCCGCAGCCCCCTAGGCCCACTCACTGTCGCCGGCCCTGCATGCCCCCAGCCCGACAGCTGTCGCCAGCCTCCTGACTCAGGAGGAGCCCTTTGTGCCTTCGAGGAACGGTTCGCTGGCCGCTTTGCTTGCAGCCTACTTTTCCCACCAGAGGCACCTGGCCCTGCCCGCCAGTCCTCAGGCCCATCCTGTCTCTGTCCACAGTGCCCTCAGCCAGCATGACCCGCCTGGCACGCTCCCGCACTGCATCCCTCACCAGTGCCAGCTCGGTGGATGGCAGCCGCCCACAGGCCTGCACCCACTCAGAGAGCAGCGAGGGGCTGGGCCAGGTCAACCACACCATGGAGGTGTCCTGTTGAAGCCCTTGATCCCGCTGACGACGCCCACGTCGAGGCCCCACCGCCATCCTTGCGCCGGCTCATGTTCCCTTTAGTTTATTTTTGTGAGGGCAAAGGGGAGGAAATGGGGTTCTGTTTGAAAAAAATGAGGGGATCTTAGATGCTGCAGCAGAACAGTCTCCAGGTGTTTTAAGGGGCTCAGTCCTCCTCATCCCATCTCACTCTCCGTGGTAACTTAGCCAACTTGACCCCTCTCATCCCACTCCCGGCGGCCCAGGCACAGAAGGGCAGGGCCATAGGGAGGGAGATTCGCTACGGATCCAGGCCATTCCTGGGTGAGCCCTTGGGCAGGCATGTTTGGAGATGAGAGAGGCTTCGAGAGGGTGGGTGCTGGGCCACAGGGGTGCGGGGCCAGCTCAGGCACTGGCGTGGGAGCCCTGGGAGACCCCTTCCCCCACCCTCCACCAAGCACACCTGTTTCTGTCTCATAGCACATGTGACAATCATCTGGACAACAGCCACAAGGGGGCGCTCGGACCAGGCAGCCACTTTCCTGGTGCTCTCTGGGCCCAGCTGGTGCTGTAGGGCCACGCAGGCAGGGGCGTCAAGGGGTTTCTCTGCCCAAGGAAGACAGAACATGGAGAACCGTCAGGGCAGGAACCCCACAGACTGTCCCTTCCAGCCCACACTCTGCCACCTCCTGGCCCTGTCCCAATTCTGAGCCAAGGCCTCCCCGAGGCAGAAGTTGCCTGGTCCTCTGTCCCCACAGTGACCTGACTGGGGGTGAGGGAGAAGGAGGAGAGAGCCCATGTGTGGTGTGTGTGCCCCTGAGAACTTCGTGGTGACTGCCTTTGGGAGCCCGCAGGTGGCCAGAGGCAGGGGTAGCTGAGTTCCTGGAGACCCCTTTTTTGCCCCCAGGTTCCCCAGAGGGCAACGCCATCAGTAGCAGTGTGGTGTTTCAGGCAGAGCTCTGGCCAGGCTGTGCCAGTGTGTCCCGGACGCATCACTAAGGAAGAGAGAGTTTATTTAGTCAACTGGCCCAAGGCAGCGAGGCTTCTACAGTCCCACACCCCATAGCCGCCTGGGCTGGGGCTTACTGGGGGCTGAAGGTTCTGGACATGAACAAGGGTCAGGTAGAAGAGAAAGGCTTCCCCTACACCCCAGCCTCCTGCTGTCCCCTGAAGCCCAGGACTGCGTTGTATGCTTTCCATCCACTCACCTTACCCCATAGCATCTTGCGGCCCAGAAACCAGAGCCATTTGTCTCAGACCCTAAATCAATAATCACAAACCCCAAAACGGGAGAGAGCAGTGAAAACATGCAGGGCTGTGGACGGGGGAAGGGTTGTGGCGGGTGTTCTGAGGCTGAGAGGACACCTATATGCGTATTTCCTCTACACACATCACCCCCCTTCTATAATCTTAAGCCATGACTAGCCTGGTGGCGTGTTAGTTTCTGCCCAGTTCTACCCCCTCATGTGCTTCTTCTGAATACTGAATGTGACTGTTTGAAAGCTGGTAGAATTCATCCCTCTTACTGTAGATAACACTGCAAATCTTGGAATTTTGTTTTTTGCTGTTTCCAGATGTATCTATAAATATCTATACATTATATGTGTGTGTGTGTGTGTGTGTGTGTGTGTACATCGGGTCCTCCCATGTGTGGTGTTCTTCTGGAGGTTGTCTCTTTGGTCAAGGTGAACTTTTAATGTTTATTATTTTCTTCTCCGCACAAAGTAAAGAGCCTAATTTTGTGTATTCTGGTGGCTGCTGTCATGAGATGATAAAATGTAAAACAAAACTCTAGTCAACGTAGAAAGAGTTAACTGTGCTGAAAAACTAATAAAGAACCTAAGAAGAATTCCAGTGTGGTGATGCCATGCCCATCATGGGAGGCTTTTGGAGAAACAGAATGTTTGGGCAGGGGCTGCTGGTGCTGCTTGGGTTTTGGGTTGAGGGTGCTAGGAGAGGATGGTCTCCACCCATCTTTCTATTTCCAGTACACGTCACATTATTTTACCGGTGAGATGAGAATGTCACAAACATTAAAAGCCTTATGTGCTCATTTCTGCTTATGTGCTCATTTCTCCCCTGACTCTGTGACAAAATACAGCTCTCCTCAGCCAGGCACGGTGGCTCAAGCCTGTAATCTCAGCACTTTGGGAGGCTGAGGCGGGCAGATCACTTGAGGCCAGCAGTTCGAGACCAGCCTGGGCAACATGGTGAAACCCCGTCTCTACTAAAAATACAAAAATTAGCTGAGCATGGTGGCGCGTGCCTGTAATACCAGCTACTCGGGAGGCTGAGGCAGGAGAATCGCTTGAACCTAGGAGGCAGAGGTGGTAGTGAGTGGAGATCGTGCCACTGCACTCCAGCCTGGATGACAGAGCAAGACTCTGCCTCAAAATAAAACAAAAAAACAAAATACAGCTCTCCAGAAAAAAATGCCTTAAAGACAAAACAAAACACCCCTGCCCTCCAAATCTCTTGCCTGAGTCACTACATTCCTTCAAAGATAAATGACCTACTCTTTGCCTTCTCCTAAACATACGATCATGTCTGACAGGGTTAATGATTATACTCTGCAATCTATAACCAGATATACTTATCCCTAAACTTTGATATGATTTTACACATACTAAATCTTCACCTATGTATAACCTAAACTAAAATACCGTGTTAGAGGAGCCTCACAAGATTACTCCTGGGCTACAGGCCTCAGTCTATAGTCCTCAATAAGGCTTCTAAATAAAACTAATTTTAATTATTTAAAAGCTTAATATTTTTTCTTTAGTCAACATACCAATCCTTACATTAATTCTACAGAGTAGGTATTATCTTAGTTTCGCAGGTGAGGAGACTAAGGTTCAGGAAAAAGGATTTGCCTGAGTAACAGACCAGGCCGCGCGCGGTGGCTCACGCCTGTAATCCTAGCACTCTGGGAGGCCGAGGCGGGGGGATTGCCTGAGCTCAGGAGTTCGAGACCAGCCTGGGCAACGCGGTGAAACCCCGACTCTACTAAAAATAAACACAAAAAATTAGCTGGGCATGGCAGCGTACGCCTGTAGTCCCAGCTACTTGGGAGGCTGAGGCAGGGGAATTGCTTGAACCCGGGAGGTGGAGGTTGCAGTGAGCCGAGATCGCACCACTGCACTCCAGCCTGGGCGAGACTCCCGTCTCCCCAACGCGCCAAAAAAAAAAAAAAAAAAAAGGAAAAAAAAAAAAAACTGAGTGTTGAGCTGCGGCGTTGCTTGGCTTCAAAACCCATTCCTGTAACCTCTATATTCACAGCCTCATTTTCTTACATTTAACAGCATGCTACTTCCCCAGGTTTAACCACCATTTGTTTTATTCATTTATTTACCCAATAGGTAGATATTGAGTCCCTACTATGTCAGCTAATAAAACCCACCACGTGCTATGCAGCAGATTAAAAACGAGGATGTACTGGCAAATAAGGGCAGAGAGGATCTATTCTAGATCCAGGAGCCCTCTAGGCCACGCCACTCTGAAACACACACGAAAACTGCTCTGAACGAATACCACCAGTAAAAGGGTTCCATGGCCATCGGCAACAAGGGGTCGAGATCAGGAGGTCGCTCGCCGCCCAGTTGCGTCGCTCACCACCGGCCGGCCACCAGACCCTCGGCTTCCGATCCAGAAACCGTATTTTGTTCTTGCACCCAGACCGCAAGAAGCCTCAGCCCTCGGGGACAGACCGAAGGCCAGGGCTGTACCTGGCTCAGAACCAGGCGCCAAGCGGCACGGGACTCTCCTTCTGCACTCGCAGCGCGTGAGTGCAATTGGAGATCCTGGACTCAAGATGTTTTCATGAGGAACGATTCCAGCCCGCGGTAACTCCGGCCAGTCTGCAGCGTGGACGACAAAACAGGCACCACGTGGTTCCGGCGCCGGGGCGGGGCCAGAGACGCCGGAAGTGACCGCGCGGTGCGCCGGCCCGCGAGGAAACGCGCTCTTAGACCATGGCGACCCAGGCGAAGCGTCCACGGGTGAGTGGCGGGCGCGGGGTCCAGCCTTTTCCTCCGCGCCTCACCCCTTCTCCGTTCGCAGAACCGTCCGCCTGCGCCCCCTCCGCTCCCTCCCGCGGGTCCCGCGCCCCTCTCCGCTCGTCCCCTCCTCCACCCAAAGCCCGTTCTGCGCTCGCGCCGCGGTCTCCTGCAGTTCCCAGCGGCCTCTCTGGGGGTCGGACCTGGTCACTGCGCGCACTTATCTCAGGTGGCGGGGCCCGTGGACGGCGGCGACCTGGATCCTGTGGCCTGCTTCCTGAGCTGGTGCCGGCGGGTGGGGCTGGAGCTGAGTCCCAAGGTGAGCGAGCGAGCCGGCGGGCGGAGGACCCGCGGCGGGGCGCGGGCTGCCCTGACCAGCCCTCCTGCTCAGGTGGCGGTCAGCCGGCAGGGCACGGTGGCCGGCTACGGCATGGTGGCCCGGGAGAGCGTGCAGGCCGGAGAGCTGTTGTTCGTGGTGCCGCGGGCCGCGCTCCTGTCGCAGCACACCTGCTCCATCGGCGGCCTGCTGGAGCGAGGTGGGCACGGCGGCGGGCTAGGGCCCTGGGGCGGGGCGGGGCGGGGCGGGGCGGGCCCGGCCCGCGAGGCCGCGCCGGGGCGCTCACACCTGTGTCTTCCTCAGAGCGAGTTGCGCTGCAGAGCCAGTCGGGCTGGGTGCCACTGCTGCTGGCGCTGCTCCACGAGCTGCAGGCCCCGGCCTCACGCTGGAGGCCCTACTTTGCGCTCTGGCCCGAGCTGGGCCGCTTGGAGCACCCGATGTTCTGGTGAGAGCCTTGGGAGGGGTTGGGGAGCGCCTGCACCGTAGCCTGCTGCAAGAAGTTTCCCCGCCCCTGCACCAGTCCTACCCAGTAAAGTGTGTGAAGGAATGAAGGGAACCTGGGTGTGGGTGTCCCTGCAGGCCAGAGGAGGAGCGCCGGTGCCTGCTCCAGGGCACAGGCGTACCTGAGGCCGTGGAGAAGGATTTGGCCAACATCCGCAGCGAGTACCAGTCCATCGTGCTGCCCTTCATGGAAGCCCACCCCGATCTCTTCAGCCTCAGGGTTCGCTCCCTAGAACTCTACCACCAGCTGGTGGCCCTTGTGATGGCCTATAGGTCAGTGGGTGGGGCCTCTGAGGACGGAACCCTTTTCTTTACAACTCTATAGAGGGACAAAAGTGGAAAAACAGTGAAATCCACCCCCAGTCCCTCACCCAAGACAGGGCCTTAGCCAGGTTCTGTCAATGGCAGCTTTCAGGAACCACTGGAGGAAGAAGAGGATGAAAAGGAGCCCAACTCCCCCGTGATGGTGCCTGCTGCAGACATACTAAACCACTTAGCCAATCACAACGCCAATCTAGAATACTCTGCGGTGAGTGGAGTTTCTCTTGGTGCACTGATTGAGCATGATTCAAGCCATTGTGTCTTAGGCTCCATTCTCTTACTAGTGCTACAAAATGAGTAGGTGAAATCAGCTCCTCCTGTATGTCCTTTTAGTATGCATATTACTGTAGAATCATTTGAATGCGAAACATTTTAAAGTCCTCAAAGTAAGTTGTGGTTAATCCTCTGATAAACTATACTACCATCATTTATTTAGTGCTAGACATTGAGTGGTCTGCATAGCCATGTTTCATTCCTTTCTGGCTGATCACATCAGTGAGCCCAGACTGTGTGTGGCTCTGTGGATAGCAGCCTGGAACAGTGATAGTCTCCGTGTTTTGGAGGGATGAGGACATTCACAGGCCAAAGGTCTAAGACGATCCTAGAACTGATATAAAGCTGTGTTTATACCAGCTCTATTCTATATAAAAAGTAGCCTGAAAAGATGGCACATTTATAGGATCAGAAATTAGTAAGTATGGTTATTTCTTAATCCTTGCCTCCATTTTCCTTTCCCACTTTGATCTGCGAAAGTTCCATTTTTTCCCCCCCGAGGCGGAGTCTCACTGTGTCGCCCAGGCTGGAGTGCAGTGGCGTGATCTCGGCTCACTGCAACTGCCGCCTCCTGGGTTCAAGCAATTCTCCCTGCCTCAGCCTCCCGAGTAGTTGGAATTACAGGCTCCTGCCACCATGCCCGGCTAATTTTTGTATTTTTTAGTAGGGATGGGGTTTCTCCGTGTTGGCCAGGCTGGTCTTGAACTCCTGATCTCAGGTGATCTGCCCACTTTGACCTCCCTAAGTGCTGGGATTACAGGTGTGAGCCACTGCGCCTGGCCGAAAATTTCGTTTTTAAAGCTAGCAACTTTTTAAGTGCTGAAGAGGACTGTGCAGAAATCCACCCAGTTAAACATGAAGCTGGCCTTTTAAAGTTAGCCCAACCCTTTTTTGTTTCACAGTTTAGGGTCTAACAGGAACTAAAGGTAGAACTTTGGTAGTTAACAGCATCAGTCATGGCTGAACTACACCTGCTGAAGGCTCTTCTTAAGTGGAAATAATCTTCATGGGGCTGGCCCGTGAAAGGCATGGCCCCAGCTTCTCCCTTTCACCTCAGAATTGTCTTCGGATGGTAGCCACTCAGCCCATTCCTAAAGGCCATGAGATTTTCAACACTTATGGGCAAATGGCTAACTGGCAACTGATTCATATGTACGGTTTTGTTGAACCATATCCTGACAACACAGATGACACAGCTGACATTCAGATGGTGACAGTTCGTGAGGCAGCATTACAGGGTGAGTGTATCATTAACTCAATATTTGACACTGATGGTGTGTCTATACCCATGCCTCAGGTTAAATAGCTTTGCTAAATAGCAGTTGACTTTGTAGACTGGGTGGCAGACTAAAGAAGAAATGAACCCTTGGGTGTACTGAGACTTTCACATTGCTGTTTCATCTACAGGAACAAAAACTGAAGCTGAAAGGCACCTAGTGTACGAGCGCTGGGATTTCCTATGCAAACTGGAGATGGTAGGGGAAGAGGGAGCCTTTGTGATAGGGAGGGAGGAGGTGCTGACTGAAGAGGAGCTGACCACCACACTAAAGGTAAACGGCTGAAAATGGCCATTTAATGCTGATAATCTAAGTATTTAAAGCAAAATAGCTAGAAGATGAGAGAGGAAATGTGGGATTTTTAATAAATGCTAAGATGAGTTTAGTCTCCTGAGTCATTTCAGAAGTACAAAAGCAGTACATCTAATTAAAGAGCTCTGTGGTTGCTTCTAGGTACTGTGCATGCCTGCTGAGGAGTTCAGAGAGCTTAAAGACCAGGATGGAGGGGGAGATGATAAAAGGGAAGAGGGCAGCCTGACGATCACAAATATTCCCAAGCTCAAAGCATCGTGGAGACAGCTGCTTCAAAACAGTGTTCTACTGACTTTGCAGACCTATGCCACAGACTTAAAAACTGACCAAGGTTTACTCAGTAATAAGGAAGTCTATGCGAAACTCAGCTGGAGGGAACAGCAAGCCTTACAGGTTCGCTATGGTCAGAAGATGATCTTACATCAGTTGTTGGAGCTGACAAGTTAGCAGTTTCCCTGTTCCCTGAAGGAACAGCAATAAGAACTTTATTCTAAGCTAATACTCATTGATGTTTGAAAAAGAGGAAAATTTGGATCTTTCTTTTGCTTACTAAACACCAAGAGGAAAAGTAGCAAAGTTGGTGTGCTAGGATTAACTCAGGTAAGGGTGATGTGTTTTAGGATTGAGAACAGCAGACTTGGGAATCACTGCTAATTGTTACTTAAAGCATGTTACAGATGTTTTGTTCTCAGTTTTAACCAAAGCCAGTGGACATACGGTAGTAATAAGTAAGTCTTGTTGTGTTTCAGCATTTAATAATAGACTTTGGAGGTAGACCCCTGGTTTAAATCTAAGTCTAGTTTGAGGAAGTCACTTAACCTTTATTGAAAAGACTCTGGATTTAATAAGCTGTGTAACTGGTACTCGATAGTTACCCAAAGTTCAGTCTAGATGGCACAAACCACCTCTCAGGGAATAAACCCTAAGACATCACTCAAGGAGGACTTCAATTATTTAATTTTGAACTGTTTTGTCCTCTCTGGCCATAAAACTTGACAGTCATGAAAGGTAAGGCAAATTTTAAGTGGGTTAAGTTTTTAAATACGTATCTACTCATTTTCTTTAAAAAAAAAAAAAAAATACCTGGGGGAAAAGGATATTAAAACTGGGTATTTTAAACTCAGCTTAACCAGATAAACCTGCTCCAGCATTTGTCCAGTGTTGAAATAAATAGGAAGAAAAATACAATTTCCTTAAACATGCCAGCTTAGTAGTAGGAATGACCTATCAATCAATCAATCAATCATTCAGCAAGAAGTTAGTTGGTGGTTCCCCATGGCCCCAAGGTCTGCAGGGCTGGATTGTCCACTTTTCCTCCTCACCACCAGCACTGGCTGCTGCTACTGAGAAAGGCACAGTGGACTCATGTGTGTGTCATGACTTTAATGGTTAGCTACAGTATGCATACACATACAAGAAGTAGGGGAGCTGAAGCCCAGGAAAAGGCTACAAAATACAACACAGGGACCAATACATTTGCAAAACATTCAAAATCCTTATAAAAGGGGCTGTATTGGTCCTTTCAACTTTGTCATTATTCAGCTTAGCCTGTATGGCCATTCATTCAGTGGGGTAATGGGGGAGAACAATTAATTAATGAGATTTGGTTCCCTTTCCTATATTCCCACTGTTTTTAAGTTTCAGGAGAGGATTGGGGGGGTGAGGGTAGGGGTGGGCTTTAGGCCTGGTCTGGTTTCCCTTTATATAAAGAGCTGACCCCCATCTCAGGCGGCTGAGGTGTATAATCCCCAAAAGAAATAAGATGGTACAAATGCAGTCAGCTTTGGAATACGTTTGGGTAGAGACAAAATGGAAACTCATGGGATTCCAATAGTGAGCCCTTCCCATGTTCCTGGACATATCCAATTCTAGCACATCCACATTTTTAATAACTTAGTGATTTTCAAGGTCCCCTGTCCACATTAAAAAAATAAGTTACATAATATTCAAACTGGCTTTTTGCTATTCTTTGGGACACCAGGAATGTCAGAAGACATGGAGCTATGCCCTCAGACAAGTGCATGGCATCAGCTGCCTCTTCATTACAAGGTACCAGTTTATGTACTTGCCTTGGACACAGCTTGCACAAAGCCAAGAAGTTCCAGACAAAGGTTTTCTCTTTCATGTATTTACACAAGTTCAAAATGATATTCACAGCATCTTCTAAATTTTGGCCAAGAGTCAAAAAAATGCATTTAAACTTTGGAACGTGCCCACATAAGACAGGAGGCTGATCCCAACAGTAGTTGGGGCAGATACCCACAAACCAAAGGGCTGGGAAAGTCAGGAAGAGCTGAAAGGATTCTTCAGTCAGTTTATGAACTCGGTGCAGTGAGACCTCTAGACTGACACGTACAACAGAGATGCAGTTTCGTCTAACTGGCACCTGTCCCTTCCATTACTTGCTGGGCCTGCTTCTGTCCCATGCAGCACTGTGCGACCGACTGGAATAACCTGAAGGATGAAGACAGTTACAAATCTCTGATTAAAGAGTAGGCCTAACAATACCTTGCATCTCATTCAGCTGACCCAACCTAGAGACAGATGGTTTTCAGTCTCCAGTCTCATTCCTAGACAATTAAAAATTACTTTGAACTCACTTTTCGATTTCTGGGGCACAGTGTACAAATTCATGGTTCCAGAACTTAAACGCTGGGTTTTTAATCAGCTCAATGAAGGTAATAAGAAGACCCCAAGGATGTGGCCTATTTACAATCAACCGTTCCAAGAGAACTCTGGAAAAAGGGAGAAAGAGCTAGTTAATGTATAGAAGCATACAAATTCATGATTATTCTTCCATTACTTTTTTTCTAACTTCTCCCTGACTATTGAACCACATGCAAAAGTTTTCACCTTTAGTAAAGACAGGTGGATTAATATACTCCAAATAGCACAGGTTGGAATACCTGGGTTTGAACCCTGCTCTTAGCCGTAGAAGACTAAGTATTTATATAAAGTGCAGATAATGGTATCTACCTCACAGCTGTTCAGAATAAGGGGTGATGGGGGAGAGGAAGCCACATAAAGCCCAGAGTACATGGCACACAAAGTTAGTACAAAAAGTAGTAATTTCCAGAATGAGCTCCCAGGCCGGGCACAGTGGCTCATGCCTGTAATCCAGCACTTTGGGAGGCCGAGGCAGGTGGATCACCTGAGGTCAGGAGTTCGAGACCAGCCTGGCCAACATGGTGAAACCCCATCTCTGCTACAAATATAAAAATTAGTCAGACATGGTGGCCACATGCCTGTAATCCCAGCAGTCGGACGCTGAGGCAGGAGAATCGCTTGAACCCAGTAGGTGGAGGTTGTGGTGAGCCGAGATGGTGCCACTGCACTCCAGCCTGGGAGACAGAGTGAGACCCTGTCTCAAATAAACAGATAAATTAAATAAATAAATAAGCTCACTCTCAATAAAAAGGAAACAGAAAATAAGAATTAAGTATTCTAACACTGCAGGCTGGGCACAGTGACTCACGCCTGTAATCCCAGCACTCTGGGAGGCCAAGACGGGTGGATCACGAGGTCGGGAGTTCAAGACCAGCCTGGCCAAGATGGTGAAACCCCGTCTCTACTAAAAATACAAAAAATTAGCCGGACGTGGTGGCAGGTGCCTGTAATCCCAGCTACTCAGGAGGCGACAAAGCGAGACTGTCTCAAAAAAAAAAAAAAAAAAAAAAAAAAAAAAGCTAACATTGCTAGTTCACATGTAAATTGGTAAAATTTTTCCGAATGCCAGTAAGCATTGGCTTAACTTTATATCCTTTCACGTACCAACTGTACATGAAGCATAACAAAGATTACAAGTCCAAGGAGACTTACTGCAGCTTTATATAAACAAAATGGATCATCATCATCTAAGCATCCAATAAGATATTAAATTTTAGTACACAAATCAAAGGAATACCATATTTAGCACCATAGGTGACTAATTAGGCAAATGAGCAAGTTTTAAGAGTCTGGCCCAATTTTTAAAGTGTGTGTGTGTGTGTATCACAATCTCTCTAATGCTATATGTAGTCTAGGCAATCTGGCAACAGATTCCTAACTATTGTTAGGAAAATGCAAGTATGATCCTGTTATTGCTACTGCTTTCAACCCAGAGGTAATGAGGAAAAGTCCAAGTTCCTTAACATAGACTTCATAGGCCTGCATGATTTAGGACTGGTTATCACCACCACCTCAGAGAAACTCCTGACCTTTAATCAAAATGTGCCTTGTGGTAAACTACTTTTCATTTAAGCCATGATTGCGATTTATAATTCCCTATCTTGTGATAAATGTCCATCAGAATGAGTATTAAGAGGGCAGGAACCATCCATTTTGCTCACAATTGTATCCCACATTTAACACATTATTGGACATGTAAAAGATTTTCACTGAAGGCCGGGTGCAGTGGCTCACGCCTGTAATCCCAGCACTTTGGGAGGCTGAGGCGGGTGGATCACTTGAGGTCAGGAGTTCAAGATCAGCCTGGCCAACATGGTGAAACCCCGTCTCTACTAAAATACAAAAATTAGCTGGGCGTGGTGGCAGGCGCCTGTAATCCCAGCTACTTGAGAGGCTAAGGCACGAGAATCGCTTGAACCTGGGAGGCGGAGGTTGCAGTGAGCCAAGATGGCGCCACTGTACTGCAGACTGAGTGACAGAGCAACACTCCGTCTCAAAAAAACAAAAAAAAAACCAACCAAACGGATTTTCACTGAACACTGAAAGCATAAAGAGGAAAAAAAAAAGATGAAAGGGAGGAGATCCTTTTGAAGCATTTAAAAAATAAGCTGCTCGCTTACCTTGTGATCTGTTCTTGGATGGCTTCCGTATTGGCCTCTGCAAAAAGGTACAGCATGGTGCAACTGAAGTAGTGAGTGTGGCTATTTGGGTACCGGAGCTGATTTGCAATTGCATTCAAAAAGAGATAGCGACCTAGAAATTAAGAAACCTTGACTTAGGACTTAGTCTGAAAGGCCAACATGGGAAGACAGTTCTAACTGGCTAGGGTTTGGGTTTCTGACAGAGGCTTTCAAATTAATCTTTGGTTTAAAGCAGTGGTTCTTGGGACCCCAAAGAGTTCTCATTTCTGTGCGTTTTATTTCAGAATTTTCCACATTAGAAATTAGATTTTAAAAATATTCATTTTTAAAAACAGACCCACTATGTGCTAATGTAAGAAACATGAACTATTTTCTGGTGACACTCATCACTAAGTCTTTCTACATTTTGCAGATCTCTAAGTCTTGCTTAATAAAAGACAGCTGGATTCTCATTTCTGCTTCTGTGTTCAACTTGTTACAGTATATTTCATGTAACCTCTGAGAAATTCAACTGTACACTCATGACAGAATAGACCCAAAAATGTAAATGTTGTTTTATGATGAAAACAGTTTTGGGCCGGGCACGGTGGCTCACGCCTGTAATCCCAGCACTTTGGGAGGCTGAGGCAAGTGGATCACTTGAGGTCAGGGGTTCAAGACCAGCGTGGCCAACATGGTGAAACCCCATCTCTACTAAAAATACATAAAAATTAGCTGGGCATGGTGGCGTGTGCCTGTAATCCCAGCTCCTCGGGAGGCTGAGGCAGGAGAATCGCTTGAACCCCTGAGGCGGAAGTTATGGTGAGCCGATATTGCGCCACTGCCTTCTAGCCTGGGTGTGAGAGCAAGACTCTATCGCAAAAAAAAAAAAAAAAAAAAGTTTTGACCTCACAGCCCTCCTAAAAAGGTCTTGACACCCTAAGGGTACCCAGCCCACATTTTGATTAGTCTAAACTACACTGGAATAAGTATTATCTTAATTGGGTTTGGTTGTTTGCCTCTGCTTGACATTATTCGTGTTTGTGAGTCTGTCACAGTGACACGTTTCTCTAAAGGCTGCCGTCCTTTTATTGCCGAGCTCTTGGACGTGATGGTATTCAATTTTGTTATATCTTGAATTTAAGCTGTCTTAAATCCATCCCACATATAGGCATGCAGCATATATGCAACATCAATTCATCTCTCAAGAATCAATAGCAAAGTTAAAGAGTAGTGTCCCCCTAAAATATATGTATGCAAAACTGGACAGGACTGTACAACTAGTTAGCACCTAACTGGGGTCTCTATTTTATAAGATAAATATAGAGGACCAAATGAAATGTAGCTCAAGCAGAAAAGCTGCAACCTGCAACAGGAGTTATACTGTGAGCTTTTTGCAGAACAGGAGAGTCCTATTCATTAATCTTTATACATGAACATTTAACAAGATGCCTGCCAAACACGCACCAATAAAAATGCTTATATAAGGCAGCCTAACAAAACAATGTAACAAGAGGCTATGTTTAAAGGGACTTTAAGTTTATTTTCACACTAAAAAACTTCAGTCACATACACCAAAACTGATACTGCACGATTCTGGATAATTCTTTCCTTTATGCTTTTTTGTATTTCCTGCACTGAGCAGATAATGTCCAATTAAAGATAAAATAATCAGCTAGACCTGTGAATAAATATACTGACAGAACATTCCTTCACTATTGTGGCTTGAAGCATTTTTACATTTTTGTGATCAGATTGTAGCAAAAAGCACAGAGAACTCTACTCTGAAAACTGGCAGGCTTCACTCACCCTCAGTGTCCAAGTCCACAGCCAAATTCTGGAAGATATCCATGTGTGCTGAGTGAGTGATGGTGCTCATTGAAGGTGTGCTGCCCTTGTTGTGGATGTGCGCAATGGCCTGAGTCCCGACATAGAGCACCAGTGCATTGATGAGCTGGAGGTTGTAGCGATTCCCAGGTTCATTGGATACCTTAAAATGAGCAAAACAGAACTCCTTATGCTTACTCCTGCAGAGGACCAATTCTAGCACCAGTATTTCTAAACCCTTCTTACACCTTCATGGAAAGGCCAAACATTTATTGTGATTCACTTGCTTGAATTTGTGAGGTTATTTAACAAACACACAGATGCTCCAAAGGTGGTTGTATCAATAAGAGAAATGTGATTTCCCTCAGGAAGCCGAAGCTCAAGGCACAGCTCTAAAGTAAAGTTTATAAAATCAAAATATGCACTGTGCCAATTAAAGATTTGGAGAGAAAGTTGTAGTTGCATGGCATATACAGACTGTAAATATATAACTTTCCAAAATATCCTATAGAGAAATGTAAATCAGCATCCAGGTATTCAGAAAAATCCTAGGAGTACCAACAGCTAATGACTGTCTGTGGTCTACTCTTCTAGTGCTGTCTTGTCCAAAGCTGTAGCAAAATATCACTGATTAAATGAACTAGTAAAATACGTAAATCCAGTTAATCAACCTCACCCAATTGATGGAAATGACAATAAAAGACTAACTCCCAAATGGACCACACACAGGACCATACATAGAAAGTGCTTTATATGGAAGACGTAGATGAGTTTTAAGCCAAACCAATTAACCTGTAGGTTGCTGCGCAGATCAGACAGGAAAGTGACTGGTGATCGAGTTTTAAGATAGGAATCCAAATCCTTTTTGAACTGAGGTGGCATTACTCCAGTGAAATTGGTGAGAATCCGGGGAGCAATGTTAATTTCACTCAACATGTCCACCTGCCACAGATAAAATGCAAGAATCACAAGCAGAATCATTTTTATTAGTAAATTACATCTATGCTTAAGTGGTGGGACTGTTTTTCTAAAACTATATACACTATAAATGCCTTGAAGAGCACAGCTGCCACATTTTATTAATCAGTCTTTCTTTCTTTAGAAGAATCTTGGTTCAAAATGATAAAAATTTCCCACTCTATAATGTATTTCCTTCCCAGAGGCAAGATACCTTTTGGGCAAAGGTCTAATTTGCACAACTAACTGATTTTTCTTGGACTTCGGTTTCAAAATAATAATCCGGAATAAGATTCCTCACTCACCAAGAGTCTTTGAAAAGAAGCCCCAGCAAGACCAGACATCACACTTACTCCTTAAAAAAAAAAAAAAAAAAAAAAAAAATTGAAGCCGGGCGCAGTGGCTCACGCCTGTAAACCCAGCACTTTGGGAGGCCGAGGTAGGCGGATCACCTGAGGTTGGGAGTTCAAGACCACCCTGACCAACATGGAGAAACCCCATCTCTACTAAAAATATAAAATTAGCTGGGTGTGGTGCCTGTAATCCCAGCTGCTCGGGAGTCTGAGGCAGGAGAATCGCCTGAACCCAGGAGGCAGAGGTTGCAGTGAGCCACAGCTCGCGCCATTGCGCTCCAGCCTGGGCAACAAGAACGAAACTCCGTCTCAAAAAAAAAAAAAAAAAAAAAAATGCATGTGTCAGAAAGAGTAGAGACTACATCTAAACTATAGCTGGGCACTTCTAGTG
This sequence comes from Homo sapiens, assembly GCF_000001405.40. Taxonomy (NCBI): domain Eukaryota; kingdom Metazoa; phylum Chordata; class Mammalia; order Primates; family Hominidae; genus Homo; species Homo sapiens. Next base: position 58,526,898 of record NC_000016.10, read on the forward strand.
GTGTGCACCTCTAGTCACAGCTACTCTGGAGGCTGAGGCAGGAGGACGGCTTGAGCACAGGAGCCTGAGGCTGAAGTGCACTATGTTCACACCTGTGAATAGTCACTGCCCTTCAGCCTGGGCAAAACAACGAGACCCCTGTCTCTTAAACAAACTATAGTAGCCATGTCAGGGTGGTGAGATTTTAAGTGGTCCTCTCTCTCCTTTATTCCAACAACTTACAAAAAAATACAGTGGGTTCTCCATACCCTTAGGTTCCATATCTAATTAACCTCAAATCGAAAATATGGGGGGTGAAGGTAGAGGTAGATGATGGGGTCAATAAAAAATAATACAACAATAAAGGCCGGGTGCAGTGGCTCATGCCTGTAATCCCAGCATTTTGGGAGGCCAAGGCAGGCAGATCGTGAGGTCAGGAGTTTGAGACCAGCCTGGCCAACTAGTGAAACCCCGTCACTACTAAAAATACAAAAAAAAAAATTAGCCAGGCATGGTGGCGGGCACCTGTAGTACCAGCTACTTGGGAGGCTGAGGCAGGAGAATCACTGGACCCCAGGAGGCGGAAGTTGCAGTGAGCTGAGATTGCGCCACTGCACTCCAGCCTGGGTGACAGAGTGAGACTCTGTCTCAAAAATAAATAAATAAATACAAATAAATAATAATACAACAATAAAAAACACAAATTTTAAAAAGTTATTAATATAGTTTAAAATAGTTATTTCCATAATAGCATTACACTACATTAGGTATCATAAGCACTACAGATGTCATTTAAGGGGATATGCAAAGGTTATATGCCACTTTACATACAGGACTTAAGCATACTTAAAATTTGGTGTCCCAGTGGGTCCTAGAACCAATCCTCCAAGAATAGCAAGGGACCAAGGAACAACTGCACAAGTGCACAGACACAAAACTGTGAAATATGGAGACTATGGCAGGGCGTGGTGGCTCACACCTGTAATCCCAGCACTTTGGGAGGCCGAAGCAGGCAGATTACTTGAGGTGAGGAGCTCAAAACCAACCTGGCTGACATGGCGAAACCCCATCTCCACTAAACACATAATTAGCCAGGTGTGGTGGCGAGTGCCTGTAATCCCAGCTACTTGGGAGGCTGAGGCGGGAGAATAGCTTGAACCAGCGAAGGGGAGGTTGCAGTAAGCCGAGACTGCACCACTGCACTCCAGCCTGGGTCACAGAGTAAGACTCTGCCTCAAAAAAAGAAAAAGATTACAAAGGTCTGTTTGTTCTGCAATTCTTTGCCATGTGGGGCACACCCAGCAAATGACTGCCCCAACACCTAAGCTGTGGTTCTGTAAATAGAGCTAAATTTAATATCAAAATTAATATGAAAACTAGCAACTAGAAAAATGCTGTGAACCAATATTCACCAGCAACAGCAATAGCAACAATATCATACCTTCTATCAGGCTTAATAACATTATTTCCTTTAAAGAGTACCCTTAACTAATAGTGTGCGTGTTATGTTGGGTAGGAAAGTGCTGAACAGTCTACTTATCAGAGAAAGGACTGAAATATTAAGACATAAGTTTTCCTTTAACTAGTTGGAACCTTACCTTTAGATTAGGAGTGAATGGGTCGGGGAGCCTCATGTTTCTTGGAAAGGCACTCAGGATCAAATTTCTTAACTGGATACAATTAGGTGGGATCACATCACAGAACCCATAATGGTAATCACAAAGGAACTCTGGGAAATCATGCAAAAGAACCAGCAGCACTCTTAAAGTGCCCTATTTTTAAAAAACAAGAAAAATATTTCCACACTAAGGAAAATGGAGTAACATTTTCCTATTGTAACTTAAGCCCCCCACCCCCCTCAAAAGAATGAAGTATACTTTAGTAACATTTCTTAAAAAGTTTTAGGCTTTAATTAACATTATCACAGATGATTTATCAAATATTTCCATTTAGGTATCATGAAAAACTAGGCATCAAGAGTTTACAGGCTGAAATGAATATGCTAGAAGAGGAGACTGGACAAAAAATAAAAATACAATGATGTAAGCGTCTATCTTCAGAAGCTAAAAAAAAAAAAGAACTAATGAAAACCAAAGAAAGTAGAGTAAAAGCATATAATAAATTTTTTAAAGTACTGAAAAGGGAGAAAATCAGGGCCCAAGTTAGTTATTAGAAAAAATAAATTGATAAACCCTAACCAAGGCTGACAGAGAAAACACAAAAATTATTAATGTCAGGAATGACATTACAGATCCTACAGTCATAAAAAATAGTTTCAGAACATTAAACGACTTTATGCTCATAAATCTGACAATTCAGATCAGTGGAAATAGAACACCTTAGCACACTGAGACACGCAAAGATTTCCTACACAAGTCACAAAAAGCAACTTTTAATATAAGTTTAAAAATCTGCAATTTTGACTACAATAAATTTTAAAGCTTCTGATCCTCAAAAGACACCTCCCCCTTCCTTTAAGGGAGTAAAAGGGCAAGCTGTGAGAGTGGGAGATGTTTGAATATATAGTAACAACAAAGGGCTTGTATTTAAAACATATAAAGAATTATTTAATAAATAAAAATACAAACAAGAGCCAAAAGACTGGAAGAGGAGCATCACAAAAAGGTGATATCCATGGCTGATCTACACATGAAAACCTCATTAAGAAGTCATCAAGGAGGGTGGGTGCAGTGGCTCACGCCTGTAATCTCAGCACTTCAGGAGGCTGAGGCAGACTGATCACTTAAGGTCAGGAGTTTGAGACGAGCGTAGCCAATGTAATGAGATCCCCCATGTATACTAAAAATACAAAAAATTAGCCAGGCATGGTGGCACATGCCTGTAGTCTCTGCTACTAGGGAGACTGAGGCACAAGAATCACTTGAACCTGGGAGGTGGAGGTTGCAGTAAGCTGAGATCGCGCCACTGCACTCCAGCCTGGGTTTCAGAGTGAGACTCTGTCTCAAAAAAAAAAAAAAAAAAAAAAAAAAAAAGATAAATCACCAACAAACAAAATTCCATCCACAATGAGATCTCACAGTACAACTGCCAAAATGGTTAAAATGAAAAACAGATAATACCAGGTATGGCAAGATGAAGATGGGGGAAAACCAGTAACTCCTCCAAGCTGTTTACAAGTATAAACTGGTACAAACGCTTTGTAAAACTGTAGTATCTTCTACAGTTGAACATATACAAACACTGTACAATTTGGGTGCTAGTTATGCAAGTACACTTGATTTTTACACTTTTCTGAATGTATATCATGCCTCAAAGGCTTAATAAAAACAAAATAAGGCCTCAGATTCCTAAAGTGTATTTTCTTAAGATCTCAGTTATTTTAATTTATAATAAATCCAAGTTAATTACCTTGTAGAGGATTTGCATAGGTTTGGTGAGTTCCACATTTCTAAGGAAAGGCGCTAAATATTTGAATAAATCAATCAGTAGCTGTGCATACATAGGCCACCCCTGAAAGAAAGAAATGTACATGAGTCATAATTATACTCAGCTGTTTTTCAGCCACTACAAGTCGCCCAAGCAGCTACACTGACTTATCTTCTTCATGCTAATATAAGTAGAGAATACTAATGTTAAGTACTTTTACAAAAGATCGGCATTAAAGGCCAGGCACGGTGGCTGACGCCTGTAATCCCAGCACTCTGGGAGGCCAAGGCCAGTGGATCACTTGAAGTCAGGAGTTCGAGACCAGCCTGGCCAACATATTGAAATCCTGTCTCAACTAAGAATACAAAAAATTAGCCAGGCGAGGTGGCGGGCACCTATAATCCCAGCTACTCTGGAGGCTGAGGCACGAGAATTGCTTCAACCTGGGAGGCAGAGGTTGCAGTGAGCCGAGGTCGTGGCACTGCACTCCAGCCTGGACAACAAGAGCAAAACTCCATCAAAAAAAAAAAAAGAAAAGAAAAGAAAAAAGACTGGCATTAAAAAGATTAAAAAGGACCAAGTTATTATGGAGATAGTGGGAAATAATATTTGAAAAAAACTGGCTCCAGAGATTTCAAGACATAATGGTCCCTGTGTACCTGTAGCAAAATTTAAAAAGGGAGAGGAGTAAACTTCCGAGAGAACACAAAACAGTCAACTGCAGAAACTGACAACTAGAAATGTGTTTTCTTAATTCCTTATTAAGTCTCAGCCATTTCCTTTCTCTCTTCCAGCTCAACTCTTCGCAAATAACCTTGTTCAGTCCACGACATGAATTCTCTATTTTCAGCCAATGTCAGCCTGCTCACCCTCCCCCAACTATACCAATTATGTTCAATTAATTCTTGGATAATTGCATTTAATATGTTGTGTTCCTTCCTCCTAGAATGCCCTTCTCCACCAAACAAAACTTCATTTAAGAGCTATTTCACCTTCTTTGTCAAGTTCACTCCATTACATAGCAGTCACATTTCTTCTGATCTGAGGGGCCAAAGAATGGTACTTTCTGCAGTACTCATTTGCCAATTTAATTCCAAGATGGGAGGAAAAAAACTTATCATGTTAACTGTGTTGTATTACCAATTAGATAATGAACTCTTAAATAGAACTTGATCATAATCCTTCAAAATAACATAGCCAGTAGTCCTCAACCTTAGTTTGAGAGCCTTCCGCATTTAAAGTGAGAGTCTGTAAAACCAACAAGCTCCAGAGCCCTGTTACCCAGAGATTTATTCAGATATTTATGAGGGCACACATGGATTTCAACTTTAAAAACAACACCCCTACCCCCAAAAAAACCCTTAACTGACAAATATGTAAAATAAATCATTCCTGTATATAAAGAAGCAAAACATTTTAAAAGAAAGAAAGGAAAAAACAATAAAAAAAAACTTGAGAGACTGACACAGGTGGCCCACAACTGAGTTGAAGCAGCAACACCTAATCACTGAGGAATGGCTTTCAGGCAGAGGCAGTCAAGTAATTGACTTGAGTGAACACTAAATAGCATTCCCAACTAAGTTTGGAAGAAGTACAATTACTACTAAATGACTAATAGAAATCTATAGGCAATGCTAATAAATAAGCCCAGGTAGTTATAGTCTTCATCTACAGGAGATAAACTGCAGCCACACCTTCTGCTGTGGCGTATGTGCCAGCATTCTTGCAATAAATATCCGATGGGAAATCAGTTCAAGCCAGGCATATACAAAGCCAGGAGCTTTGGTAGGCCTCAAGATGTGGAATGTATTGCTGAAAGAAGAAAAACCTTAGTCAGAAGCACAGTCCAACTTAAATACAGTGAACAGCACATGAATGTAGGCTCAAAATGCTCAAGAGTTCTACTCCCAAAATTTTACTACATTAATCCAGCAAACCTTAACACAAAATCGCAAACACAATACTCACCAGAAAGCTGTAAGTGTCTGGAAATTAATGGTTTCCAACACATGCTCAGGTGCATTGAGTTCCAAGAGAAGCATGATAAAAATTCGATGGTAGGGAAGTTGCTGAAATTCACTCTGACGAACATCATGATCCTGAAGGAGAACTCCCACTACTATACCAAGGACCTACGTAAAACACAAATCAGAGCTTGTAAATCATTCAGATAATCCACTCACCACTTCGATGTCATGCTTTTTAAACTTTGCATTCTTAAACCCAACATTAAAGGAAAGCATATATACAATTTGAATACAAAATTACATGCTGGCAGCCGATAGGGTCATAAATTGGTCTGACTCCGCCTTCAGTGTTTTGTGTGTTTCTTTGCATTTCAACATCCTTGGACCACACCTGAATATTCTCCACAAATGCCCAATGGTTCTTCTTCAGCTCTAGAAATCAGCAAGGCCCCTCACATTTCACCATGTTAACACAATATAACAATCTAATTTGTCTGGTCTGACATGAAGTTGACATGTGGGAATGATTTACTCCTATCTTGGCATTTAGTAGGCAGGGGCCAGGAAAGCTGTTAGGCTGCAGAGATCCCATTCCACTTGACTTGCCCACTGAACAGTGAGGGGCTTGAAGAACACATCTCTAATTTCCCAAATCCAAAATCACAGTCCATTTTTACAAGTATTTTTGCATTGTTTTAATATTCAAATTTCCAGGAACTCCACTGTGTAAATCAAGCCAATGACTAATATCACTCATGTACTTGAGTTGCCAATCTATCAGCAGGAGGCACGTCTAGCCACCCACTCACAGTGATTCTGTATATGGGGCAAATTCATACTACCAAGCATTAACATACTGAAATACATTATGATCTCTTTTTGTATTTCGGTTAAGGCACTATATTCTAAGACAGAGCGGGTATGTTTACATATTATTTACAAATTTAATTTCAGGACAGAAAAGAGACATTAACAAAATGTTTGGGGGAAGGGTTGGCCTCAATAGGGTTAAGAACCACTTATGTGGCCAGGCATGGTGGCTCATGCCTGTAATCCCAGCACTTTGGGAAGTCGAGGCAGGCGGGTCACTTGAGGGACCCAATAGGGTTAAGAACCACTGACGTGGCCGGGCGCTGTGGCTCACGCCTATAATCCCAGCACTTTGGGAGGCTGAGGCAGGCGGATCACAAGGTTGGGAGAGCGAGACCATCCTGGCTAACATGGTGAAACCCTGTCTCTACTAAAAATATAAAAAATTAGCCGGGCGCGGTGGCGGGTGCCTGTAGTCCCAGCTACTCGGGAGGCTGAGGCAGGAGAATGGCGTGAATCTGGGAGGCGGAGCTTGCAGGAGCTGAGATCCCGCCACTGCACTCCAGCCTGGGTGACAGAGTGAGACTCCGTCTCAAAACAACAGAAAACAAACAAAACAAAAAATACAAGAAAAATTAGCCGGGCATGTTGGCAAGTGCCTGTAGTCCCAGCTACTCACGAGGCTGAGGTAGGAGAACGGTGTGAACCTAGGAGGCGGAGTTTGCAGTAAGCCGAGATTGCACCACTGCACTCCAGTCTGGGCGACAGAGCGAGACTCCATCTCAAATAAAAAGAAACCACTGATGTGGCCAGGCATGGTGGTTCATGCCTGTAATCCCAGCACTACGGGAAGCCAAGGCAGGTGGATCACTCGAGGCCAGAAGTTTGAGACCAGCTTGGGCAACATGGTAAGACTCTACTAAAAATAGAAAAGCTCCAGGAATCGTGGCTCATGCCTGTATTCCCAGCTACTTCGGAGGCACTCCAGCCTGGGTGACAGAGTGAGACTCTCTCAAAGAAACAATATAAAAAATAATAATAATAAATAAATAAATAAAACACCCCACTGATGTAGACCAAGACTAAGGCAAGAAAGGATTTCAGACCTTGTTCAGCAGATTAATCTTTGTGACAGTGTTGGTGGCCTCCCCTGAGTGTTTCACGAGCAGTGCAATGAGTCGAACAAAGGCATCCAGGTTGTGATAGCACTTGGCTCGGATCATGGTGGGATTGGCAGCAGGATTGTGCTGCTGCTCAGCCTGAGCACGGTAACTGATTTCAACACACATTTCAGTACACAGACGAAAGAACCTTGTTATGAGATCATCGGTCTTCAGTATTCCTTGCTGGTGCATCTACAACAGGAACAAAAAATAAAGACACAATGAGGTAACACACACAAATAAACTTCATATACCTTTAATTTTCAGGCTTAAGAGATATTCTCATTTGTTCCTACTGTCATATTTCTAATTCTTACATTGTAATAAATGTATTATCAGAATTATTTTCCCATTAAGGTGCCATGACAGAATTCCTCCAGTTTTAAGTTTAATGTAGAACAGGGAAGATGGAAACTGACAGACAGATTATCATGGCAATTTTGAACAGTAGGTCCCCACCAAATAATGTGAAAAATTAACCATGCAAATAAAACAAACTGTTCGTTAACTGTAAGTCATGTTAAGACATTGTGGACTCCAAGGAGAAGACTAAATTGCACATATTTTACTTTCTCACAGAATTTAAGGTAATTTACTTCTGAAGGATTTGAAGATAATTTCCTCAAACTGAATTAACCAATAACAAAGATTTTAAAACTCCAACAAGCTACCCCCAGAAAAATCAATAATTTGTACAACAGGTAAGTACCAAATGGAAATACAAATCTGATCTAGGTATTTTAATGTAATAAAATGTTACATTAAGTTAAAATAATGTGGGAAACACAAGTTTATTTAAAAGAAAGGAAAAATTAGAAACTATATGACATATGAACTAGAAGTGAAGCACAGTGGGAATGTTATTTGGCTAGTTCCCCTCAACCCTTTAAACAAACAAACAAAAAAAGACAACAGTAAAATATGCATTAAGGCTACAGAGGAAGAACAGTTCACTACTTACTAAACACAGAAACCAAGTTCCGAAAAAAAAAACTTCAAGGTTATCTTGAAATTTTTGAAACAACTTAACTGTTCCTGATAAGCAGTAAAGACAACTGAACTGGTTGGACTACGATAATACTGTACCCTGCTGGGACAGAATGCCAGCATGGCAAAGGGACTTTTTGTCTACACTGGTATCTGTAAAACTAACAGAGAGTGAGGAATATTAGGACTGAGTACTATGGTCAAGGAGGAGCGCAAGAAGGAAAGAATTTTCAAAAGGATACAAAACAGCACAGAAAAGTATAATACACTATCTTTTTCAAGAGAAAGATGAAATGAGAGCAAATAAGCCAGCAGGAAGGGCTGAGACAGGTGCCACATCCATACCCACGAAATAGCAATGATCAGAAAGACCAATGGATTCCAATTTCTTCCATTCAAATTATAAATCAGACTATAAAACATGCAGTAATAGCTTTTCAGTAGGGTATGCTTTGTAATTCCCTGGATTCTTTTAGGGGAGAAATATACTCGGTATGATTTACTGAGTAACATTCATTTTGAAAAGTAAACCTAATTTCTTTTTTTTTTTTAATTTTTTTTGAGACGGAGCCTCGCTCTGTCGCCCAGGCTGGAGTGCAGTGGTGCAATCTCGGCTCACTGTAAGCTTCATCTCCTGGGTTCACGCCATTCTTCTGCCTCAGCCTCCCGAGTAGCTGGGACTACAGGCACCCGCCACCACACCCGGCTAATTTTTTTGTATTTTTAGTAGAGACAGGGTTTCACTGTGTTAGCCAGGATGGTCTCGATATCCTGACCTCGTGATCCGCCTGCCTCGGCCTCCCAAAGTGCTGGGATTACAGGCGTGAGCCACAGCACCTGGCTGAAAAGTAAACCTAGTTTCAAATAACTTCTAGAATTGAAGTCAGTTCTTCCACATTCAATTGTCATTAATTTGAAAAGAGACCTAATTTGTAATCTTTCTTTAGCAATATACCTAAAAGTTTTGGGTTCAGTTTGAAGAAATATAATGGTCAATCTGCAGAAATAAGCAGACAACTCACCCTGAAAAAAAATTACAACAGTTCTAATAAAGGAAATTCCAAGGTCAATTCAGGAAAAGTACCACTCTTGCCAAGTTATATTATAAATTAGGACACATGGACTTATTGTGTCTGATTCCCTCACAGTCGCTGAAAGCAACCAGTGATAATAAAAAACGAATGCTAAATGGTACTATGGCTCGGTTCCGACATTTTTCCTGTTCATCCTATTCACAAACATTCCTGCCAAACTTGATTTTCAGTTAGGTGCTTTGTTCCTAACCCTTTTAAGTCAAAGTCCAACTTGCATCAAATCTAATGAAAATACTGGGAAGTATTTTCCAAAGGAACATGTCACTACGTTTAGGTAGATATTTAAATTAGAAAATACAATAAAACACTCTACCATTTAAATAAGCATTTTTGTTTTGTCATTTTTTTTTAATGTGGGCTACTGTGAGAATTTTACATATTTATTAGCCCACAGTCCCATCAGTGCTAGTAAAAATACATTTGGTAGTTTTATTATTCATTATCTGACCCATTGTACTTTGTAGCTGTGACAACTGAAATGGAATATACAGAACCAACGGTGGGAGGGAATGTTGCCTTTACTGCTTAGTGATCAACCATGAGAAAACAGGCTGTAATTTAACCATATAATGATGACAGTTTGGGTTTGCATGAGTATGGAGGTAACTGTCTGACCACATGTACGCAATACTGAGCTTTAATATTGGAGGCATCACACCCTACTTATGTTGAATAAAAAGCACCTTTCTTTCCAAAAGCTCTACCTGTCCAACAAATGCAGAGAAAGCTTTGGTACTGTCGCGGCCAGCTGCTGCTGAATGGTAGAGATTCACCCATTCCCTCAGAAGATACTCTGCCTTCTCCCTCAGGCCTGGAGGGTCATCATACTCTGAGGCTTGAGAGATCCCAGAATGCATCATAAAGTTTGGGCCTCCATGAGCACGATCAATCATTGCTTCATAGTTGGATCGCACTACTTCCATCAGCTGGGGCAATCTAGCACAATAAATAAAGGGTGAAAATCAGTCTCCTCGTAGTTGTGATTTTACAGACATACGCATGTATAGTTTGCTTATTTAACAGCAACCACCAGAGTGGTTTACCACTTCGCTTTACCACTTCCACACTGAAACAAAACTATACTTAGTCTCTTATCCGCTTGCTCATGAGCATACAACACACAAACAACTGCCCTCAGTTAAGCTACTTCTTGCCCAAAAAACGTGTTCATTTAAATGAAACTGATGTTCAGAGTCGACAAATATTCACTGTTTGCCTACTATGTACCATGCTTTCTTTACGTTACTTCTCTTGATTTCCAATAGTTCTTTGAGAAATTATTTCCATTTTCTATAAAGAATAGGTTTAAGGAGGATAAGTCAATTTGCCTAAAATCAGAAAGCTTTTAAGTGGCATGACCAGGGCTTAAACATAGGACTCTGACACTAAGTCTGGTACCGTATGTACTGCTCTGTGCCAAGAAGACTTGGCAGTCAATTAGGCTTTCATACTTCAAGTGACAATATTAGCCCTTACCAAAGCTACCCACCCATATGTGGTTGGTAAAGCAGTTATAACAAGTAATGTTAGTAAGTCTGCATATTCATTCCTAAAGATATTAGAAGACTACTAAATGCACAGGGATCTCAAAGCATTTCATCCTCACCCTTCTGGAGCATTGCCTCTGGAATGAGCATTAATCCTCATGAGGGTTTCAATGGTGTGGAACAGATCTGCCTCAGTAACATGAGCAACACTCCTTTCATCCACCAGCAGGATTTTTACTAACTGCATAGCAAATGCCACAGCCATGTAGTTTAAGCCATTCTCCATTGACTGGCAACACAGAAAACATAATGTGAGAGGGAAAACACTTAAGAGCAAACGTACTTCCCTGAGTCCTTTTGTCCGTGCAAGTAAATTCCTTCCATACCTGCGCTAGGTGAAGATCATACTGCTGCATATTAACCAAATGATTGCGAATTAGCAGCTCCACAGCCTCCACATTATATTTATATTCATCTCGACATTCAATTAGGCACCTAGAAAAAGTTCAATATCTTTACTCATATAGGCTTAACCATACTGTAAAAGGGCCCATTTTACTCAATGGAAATTTGCTCCAAACTAAGAATGCCTTGAGATTCAACTCCAAATCAGTGTCCAAATTTAAAAACAGCCAGTAATGAAATAGAACAGATAGCCCAAGCTTTCCTTTCAAATCCTAGGATACAGAGTATTCCATTTAAGACATTAAAATACTTATACACGAATACCACTTCTGAGAAATCACTGTAACCTTTTAAAACAATGACCTACAATTTATTCCCCAAAACAAGGTACTGGTTTTCTATATCCAACATGGGGAGAAGGTAGAGACCAGATGGAAAACAACTACTTAACAATTCTCACCTCTCAGAAGTAGGAAGTCTAAGTGTCCGACCTACCTACTAGAAAAAAGGGAAACCCCTGGACATAAACAGTACTATCTATGTCAAAAGGCAGTCGCAGTCCAATACTCACTACTTTTCGAAGATGGCTACTGACCTTGTGATCTGTTTGTTGCACCATGGAGACCCATATGCCCGGCCATCCTGCAGAGCTTTTAGGACCAAGAGGTGGCATTCCCTGTAGCGCAGCAGAAGGTCAGCATCAGCACCACTTGTGGCATCTAGTAAGCCCTCTACAGCCTATGGGAGAAAGAAAGCGTTCAAAACCATGAAAAATACAGTGCTTGGCCCAACTATCACAGCCAGAAACCAAATCTCAATGCCAAGTACCAAATACCTTCCAAAGCCTCCCTGTCCTTTCCACTCTCCAAACATCCCTTTCAGTTGCCTATCACACACACTCTAAATTCTATCTGATTTAAGTTCATTCTGTGCTCTTCATTGTCATAAAAGGCTCTGCTGTAGTTAAAATCCAGGGCTCCCTACCTACCCTGATCCAAATTATTGGATCAACTTGTCCCTCAAAATCTAAAGGGCAGCTGGGCTCAGTGGCTCATGTCTATAATCCTAGCGCTTTGGGAGGCTCAGGAGGGAGGGCCACTTGAGCCCAGGAGATTGAGAACGACCTGGACAACAAAGCAAGACCTGTCTCTACAAAAAAATTAAAAATTAGCTTGGCTTGGCAGTGAGCACCTGTAATACCAGCTACTCGAGAAGGTGATGTGGGAGGTTCACTTAAGCCCATGATCACATCACTGCACTCAAGCCTGACAGAGAGAGACCCTGTCTCTTACACACACACACACACACACACACACAGACACACACACCCCTCTAAAGGGCTACCTTTTAAAGTTTCTTCAAATCACATTTCCAGAATATCTTTAAGAAAAAAAATGAAGATTTCCAAGTTTACCATTCAAAACTGCCATGACTACATTCTACGTTGGAAAAAAAAAAAATCACCTACTTACAGAACTTGATTTATATTATGAAATCTTAAGCATAACTGCATAAATATGTAGATGGTGGTGCAGGTCAATAAATGTTTACACACCTAGCATTTTCTAAAAGTAATAGCTTAAGAACCAACCTTTTGGAGCAATCCAAGAGCAGCTATGGCATCCCGAGAGTTTCGAGATAAAACTACAACCTCCAAGAGACTTCGAAGAGCCTGAGCTTGAGGGTTCATGGCCAAAGTTGGTGGGATGGCATGTAGATGTTGCTCCAGTTCTGTAATACACTTATCATAAATCTGAGCTACATCATCTGTTGCCCAAGCTTGCTGTTTTACAGAAGGAAACAACCAACAAGAGACAAAAGAATGTTAAGGTTTTTTATTGACACATGTATCAAATAGAGGTCTACTAGTATGTTTACTCCCTTTTTCTTATTTTTACATTCAAACATGGAGGGCCTCTTCTTTTCCTTCTTCCTGAGCTATTCAGAATTAATACCATCAAGTGGCACAGTACAAGGCAGGCATAAGGGAAGAGGTGTTTCATTTGAGAGAGGAAAACCTGGCAGACAGCAGCATAATCAAGTGATAAAAGAGAGCATTAGTAACAATGAGACAGACTGAGGGCAGCACCACTTGTACCATCTACTAAGCCCTCTATATCCTAAGAAAGTAAGTGTTTCAAACCATGAAAAATACAGTACTCAGTCCAACTGTCAAAGCCTGATAGGATAGAGTAAGAATACAGCATTACTTCTGAGCTATTCCTATTTTTAAAAACACATTACCTGAACCTAGTCATGAGAATACACTGGACAAACAAATCAAGTCATTTAGAAAATAATTAGCCTATAATATTCAGAAGTGTTATGGTCATGAAAGATGAGGAAAAACTGAGTTACCTACACCAGCTAGAACTGAGGGAGACTTTAAAAATATGACAACTGAAGAAATGTGTGATTCTAAAACAGGTCTTTTACTATACATTATTGGGATACATGGTGAAACTCGAGTGAGGTCTATGAATTAGATGGAGTAAGGTTATTAGTATTCATTTCTGACCTTAATGGTTGTACCATGGTCACACAGGAAAAGGGTTTTTTAAGAAATACAAACCAAAGGAAAAAGGTTTTGTAAGAAATACAAACCAAAGGATTCAGGAGCGATGGGGGTATCAGGTCAGCAACTTACTATCGACCGGTTCGGGGGAAAATATTTTTCCCTATATTTCCAAGTTTTCTGTAAACACCTTTGAAAATTTTAGAAAATTCTTTTATTTAAAAAATGGGAAGGCTGGGCACAATGGCTCAGGCCTGTAATCCCAGCACTTTGGGAGGCCAAGGTAGGCGATCACTTGAGGTCAGCAGTTTGAGTCTAGTCTAGGCAACATGGCAAAACCCCATCTTTACAAAAAATACAAAAATTAGCTGAGCATGGTGGCACACGCCTGTAGTCCTAGCTCCTCAGGAGGCTGAGGTGGGAGGATCGCTTGAGTCTGGGAGGTGGAGGTTGCAATGAGCTGAGATCGCGCCACTGCACTCCAGCCTGGGTGACAGAGAAAGACCCTGTCTCAAAAAAATAAATAATAAAATTTAAAAATAAAAAACCGAAAGTTATTATGTTACCATGAGAATTCCCCTAATTAGGCCGAACATTAAAGTTAAATCACCCACACCCATGTCAATTTTTCTTTAATCCCCTGTATGTCATACTTAATTGGACACAAAGAATACCTACAACTCAAAAACTATAGGTGTTTTTTCCCCTGTAAATTATTCTCCCAGGAAGCAAGTCAAAAACATATATTAAATGTCAAAAACATTTAAATTAATTGGCAAAACACTCAATTTAATCTAAAACACATTTACCTTCATGGGCTGGGCTAAAAATCCCGTGGGCTGACTTAAGTCATTTGTAGGTAAGAAGCCAGGAACATTGCGTGCAAACTCTTCGTAAACAGCCAACTGCTTTGGGTCCACACCACCAACCTTGAAAGAAGAAAACCTATTTTGACAGAATTCACTCAATAATCAAAATAAACTGTTTTGAAAGTGGAAAGTCTGCATGTGGGTAAGCTCAGGGACACAAGAGTCATTACAACATATAACAGCATGATTAAGCATGCACGCACACACAAATGCAGTTCAGAAGAGGGCTTCTCATTTCCCTGAATCCTGCTAAGAGTCACCTCATTTATAAATTAACTGAGAGTTTCTCTTGGAAAATGCCTCACATGGGACGATGCCAGTGCAATTCTCCCTTGAAGCTGGTAAATATTATCAGATTTCTCACTGTCTCACTGGGAACAATAAGCAACCATTAATGTGAGAAGCCCAAGTTGGGAAACATGAAAACTAGCAGGCACATGAACTCCTTAGAGTAATAACACTTCAACAACTCTGGAGGAGCAAGGGAATTTAGAGCTATTTCCATACCTCCTCCACAGGCAGCCATTCAGTGAAATGCTATCAAGTTAAGATGTTTTCTCATAAACAATATTTAACCCTGCTGTCCTAATTCCAGTAAGGAGTTCAATCAACAACAACATTAAAAATAAAACAAAGATGGGACGGGGAAAGACAGAGCCCCAATTCTCACTTTCAGCCTGATTTGCTCTGGCATCCGTTCAGCTTGATATGTTAAAACAACAGGATCACAGTATCTGCGTCCTTCTTGCCTAGCATGTTTTCTCAGCTCAAATTCCTGCAAACAAAAAAAGTCACTGAGGTTCTTGTTATAAGGCACTTCCCTAAATTAAAAAAGAAAATCTTAAAAGGCAAATTCTAAACACTTACAGTTGCTAATCTCTTGTCCATCTCAGGGCCTGCTTTTTCTACTGCAGTCTTCTGAATAAAACAGCAAGCCAACTCACAATTGTCCTGAGCTAATTGAGCAGCTGCCTGATCCATCATTTCTCTTTGTTGTGGGGAAGCAGTCTATTAATGGAGGTGGGTGGGGGGGTGGGGGGAATAGAAGGAAAAAGACTTGAAAGTTGATGTGGACAGACAGGATAGTAGAAAATGCAGTGCATTTGGCAAATGCATTTTAAGTTCTGACTCTACTTATGAACAAGCTGTGATCTTGAAACAGTCTTAACAGCTTCCTCACTTTTAAGACAAAAATATCCTAGACACCTTATCAGTTTATTGTGAACATGCCTTAAAATCAGTAAAGCAGGCCAGACGCGGTGGCTCACACCTCTAATCCCAGCACTTTGGGAGGCCAAGGCAGGTAGATCACTTGAGGCCAGGAGTTTGAGACCAGCCTAGCCAACATGGTGAAGCCACTTCTCTACTAAAAAAATACATAAATTAGTGGGGCGTGGTAGCACATGCCTGTAATCCCAGCTACTTGGGAGGCTGAAGCACGAGAATCAGTTGAACCTCAGAGGTGGAGGATGCAGTGAGCCAAGACTGCACCACTGTACTCTAGCCTAAGCTACAGAGTGAGACCCTGTCTCATGAAACATTAAAAAAAAGGCAAAAAACAACCAAAAAAAATCATTAAAGCAGTAAACAAATTATTAATCATGATACCTGAATTATTAACCATGATATCTGAGACTCAAAACTAGTAAGTGAATTATTTGAAAAGTGTGTGCACATGCAACATCACTTTAAGTCATTTTGTATCGGCCTTCTCAAACAGCTTTCATCCTTCCTGGTTAACAGAAATGAGATTGTCAGATATCACATTTCCTTTTTAAATCTTAATTTATTTAAACCAACAAATATTTGGGTATCTACTATCTGTCAAACATCGTGTTGAGAATATAACAGAAAAAAAAAAAAACACACAGACATGATGCTTTGCCTCACAGAATTACAATCTAAAATGATGGAAGACATCAAACAAATATGGTGATTATTAAGAATAAGTGGTAACGCCCAGTGCCATATATAGACAAAGAAAAAAATTATTACAGACAAGCAGTAATACGTTTTGTACCTATACCAAGGAAATAGCCAACTTACACGAAGGGCTGAGGCAAAACTGTTTTTTAAGTTGGTAGATATGCTCATGAGCAAAGGTTCCCTGCATGTAATCATAGCCATTCCAGCTGTCAAGTTACGCATCATGTGATGAGCTGCTATTCGCATTCGAGATTCCTCCGAATCCAGGGCAAAATCCTTCCTGACTATTTGCTCACAAGTAGTCATGGCAATCTTAATTGATCGATCCACCACAGGATGGACCAGCTCCTGGACAGCCCGTTCAATTGCCTGACGCACACACTGCTTCAACTGTGGATGGGCCTGAAACAAGGGAATCTGGGGGGTTGGGGAGGACAAAGTCAACACCTTGTTTAAATAAGACAATCCAATTCCTACTGGCAATCACATTCATGATTTTGTAAATCAAGATTAACCAAAAACTACCAGTTTCTACTTAAAGTTAACCAATGGAAAATTCGGGTAACAGAAACTGAGCTCCATACAGGGAAATGTATTCAGTATACCCTGTGATACACAATAATAGATATGTCTTTTTTTTAAATCCAAGTTTAATGGACAAACTGTTCATTACAATATGCATTAACTACTTAAAGACACACTGCTGGCTTATTTAAAATTTGTGGCTCAAGTGCTCTTAAAAGAAAGCAACTTCTCCACTAGCTTGGGAAAATGTAAAAAGAATAAAGTTTATAGAAAAAAGACTTCTTACAAAAACTATTAAAATTAATTCATCAGAATAGTGAGCATTTTACAGTGCCCACTGAAGTATTTGGCTTCATTTGAAAGGCTGTTTCTAATCTTTTATTGCAGGTGTAAATTATGCCCCAAAACTTACTTGGTCCCTTTAACTTGTTGAATTAAAAAAAAAAAAAATTAAACTAGCATATAATAGTGTTCACAACACTAAGAGTATTCTAAAGATGAATCACAATTTCTGGATCTAGGTGTCCCACTGCCTCTCACTCCACCCCTCTAAAACTAAGTACCATGTCTATAGGAGTGGGGATGGGGGGACAAGGATAAAATGATTTCTCTGATACCCTTTCAATTCCTTTTAATAAAAAGTTCAATGTATTAATGTTACTCTTGTATTTGTGAACATTTTCAGTTTCTAAAAAGTAAGGACAATGAAAACTCCACTCACCTGATTCTGTATTATATATTCTGTTAAGTAGAATAAAAGACTAAAGATAACAATAAAATGTCCCCTTGAATGTACAAAGCAAATACTAACTATAGGAAAAAGGACTGATCAGAGGTCATCTTACATGACCATATTGTATCAGACCTCCTTCTGGAACCAGGCCACAACAACATAACTCAAAGTGCTAAGTCCTACTTCAAGATCTTAGCCTAGAAATTGTATACACACCCACAATCAGCTCATTTCCAGCCTTCAGGTGGAAGAAATGGCTTACTGCAGAAGGCTAAAGTGACAAGATAAAGAAAATAAAAAGCTATGATATACATTAAGCATCTTTTACTCTGTGTAAGGAATTCCTGGAGATTGTGATTTTATTGCTAGCTAAATTTTAGTATCATGGGTTTGGATATGAGGAACCAATATAACTAACATCTAGTCACTCTATCTCTTAAGGGAAGAAGAACAATCCCAACTGAACTACACAGCAGTTCTAGATCTCCATCCTCTCTGACAAACTCTACAACCTAGGAATCCAGAGGGAAGGGCAAAGAGCTGAAGAAAAGGTGGCCAAACAAAATTTACCTTATCACAAACTAGAAGCTGGGAGAATGGAGCAGTGTTTACTTACTGTTGGATTCAGAGTAATGTGTGGTGCCAAGCCCGCAAGGGAATAGACATTGATGTCGTGGTAGCTGTACTGTGGCTGTGGTGGAACCGTGGCTGTACAAGTGGTGTTGGTAGCTGGTGTAGTAGAAGTTGCTAAATGTCAAGTAATAAAAAGAGATTTAAAAAGTACATTTGTTGACTTTATTATAAAATTAGCTTAATATCATTAAGTGGTCATTATCTAATTAAACGAATTAAATTGGGAGAGGAGGGAAGGATGTAGCAGGTCCTATTTTTCCCACCCTGAAAGGGAAATTCTGTTGTTATAACAGAGATATACACGAAGTATGTTAAACTATGTCAGTGCCAGTGCCCCACAGCACAGAAATCAACTGAGCAGCCATGCCATATTGTCAGGCCCAAGTCCTATAAACTTAGTCTATATTATAAATGTATGTTTTCAACCTAGCCTGTTCCTAGGTTTATCTGGGGATTCTCAGCTGCTGAGGACTGAGAAAGAAAGAAAAGCTCAATTTATTCTAACCACAACTCCCAATCATTCAACACTCCCATACCCTTCTCCCATCTTCTTCATGTAGATAAAACAGTCCCATTCCCTTGGCAGATCTAGCAGGTCTGGCCATACCCAGATTTGAGGGGTTAACAGGCCATCATAGTATGCAGTTATTTCTGGGACTTCACACAACAAAGGAGATAACCTGGCCTAGCTGGGGTATGAGAGGCAACTGATTAAATCACATTTAGTTAATAATATGCATGAACTGTCAGGATGGAATCTAAGATGGTAACACAAGGCCTAGTCATTACTTCTGCTTGATAATTAGAAGGCTCACCAAAACGTATACAAAGTTTCACCACTACATTATGTGGGAAATTATAGTTTGCGATATACATGGACAAGTACCATTTAAGATAGTATCCTAGCTAACAGAAGCCTTCCTTGACTAATTAGCACACTTACTTGTGGTTGTGATGGGAGGGAGTTCTTCTGGCTGCTTGACATCTTTCTTTGGAGCAGAGAGTTGCTCATCTAAATTCTTCAGGCGATCTTTATCCTTTAGGAGGTTTCCAGGTTTTAGCTCATTGATGTCTAATGCAAGGTTCTTGCAGAGAACCTCGATTTCAAACTTCAAGTTTAACTGCACAGTTCCAGAGTTGGATTAGAATTTTTAAAAGAAAACTTTAGTTTTACTCATAATATACTCTACTTTCAGTTATTATAGTACTTCCCCCGAAATACCCTGCCTTCACTGTAAGTTTTAATAATGTGAAGGCAAAGAATGTTCCAGAGGACAAGGAAGCAGTAAATTACCTTTAAGTCATGCTCCTGATGTAGCTCAGCTAATACATTCATAATTGCCATTGTCCAAGGGTTTGGTGGCCTAAAAACCTAAAGAAAAGCTATTATGTTAAGCTGGCCCAAAATGTGCCCTTTAATTTGGATTATTTAAAACAATTCAATACAACATAAGGGGGTAGGGGGGAGTCAAACAAATAAAAAACAAAAAACAAGGATTAAAAAATAACCAAAAACAGTTAAACATAGTTAAACACTTATACCTCTGTAGCCATAACAAAACCCCTAGCCTTCTCACCTATATCACATTTCAAAAACAAAACAAAACAAAAAACCAAAAACCAAAGCCAACCATTATAATCTTTCTTATTTCACCCAGCCTCTCAAATTGGAAATCCAAGTGCCATAGAGGAAAACAGACTTAACTAGCTTTACCTCACAAGAACTAAGAATATAATCTCTTGACCTCATGCTAAAACAAAGCAATGCTTAGAAATTAGTCATAAATAAAATATTAAAATCTACTCACCACACTACGAATGCTAGATTCTAAGACTTTGGCAACAAAGGGCACTACATAGAGCAATTCTTGTTGTCCTTTAACATAAGCCTCTAGCAGCAATGATTTCACATCCAAGTCCTAGAATAAGAAAAATACTTTCAAAAGCGGGGAATATACCCCCCAAAATGGTATAACAAAACCAAAGAAAAGTATTTTGCCAAGCTTATCCCCAAAACAGGAATCAACATAATGTCTAGTCCTTGCCTTACAAAAAGGGGTTAACAACTCAAAACGTGGGCCAAAATCTTACAAAACCCCAATAATCATTAAATAGCTCCAAACAGCCAATACTTGTAATCATAATGTGCTGAAGATTCTCAATTTTTACACATTTAGATGAAACTCACAGTGTGTAAGATGGGTTTGTTTTTAGCTAATGTGATCATTCCTAGCCAATGTCCCAAGTTCTTCAGCAAAGAACGATCTGAGAAATTGGCTGCAGCTTTATCAGAGGTCAGGAGCACCTGAAATAGTGTAAGATTAAGAAAGATATGAGAATAAGCTTATGAAAGAAAACTCAACTAAGTATTTGAGAATTCCATTATCCTATCCTAAAGACAAGTCATCATTTCTAAGAACAGGCCCCAAAGTAGAATTACTCTGTATATCATTCTCAATATCATTTTGCTGTGTTTATGATTCAACAGTGCTATTTTTACCTTGAAGAAGTCTTTACATTTTATTTTTTCAAAATAGGTACAAACACATTGCACAAAATTCAAAAAGAACACAAAGTTATGTGCCAGCTATCCTCCCCTAGAAAAGTATTTTCAACTCTGAAAACCTTAGCTAGGTTTAAAGCAGAGACCTAACTACAAAGCTATTTTGAAGTGCTAAATTAATTTAAATGAGGATGATAGCCATGCTTAAGTCCTTAAAGGCAGCAAGCATACAAAGGAATATAATCAAATTAGCCTCCTATTGCAATCTTCAGTATACCCAGGTCATTAACAAATCTCTGCAGCCAACCAAGATAACTTTCTGAGATATAGTATAATACTGTTTATATACTTCTTTTCAAATTTCTAAAAAACCCAAACCATTTAACTGATTCTCCGGTTACTGTTTTTCTAAGGGGGGGCAGAACTAACATAGGAGAGTGTTTTGGCTGCAGGTATGCACACATGTATATACCCATCTACTCTGTGGTACCTCTTGACTTAGGGCTATATTTAAACTTCTGTTTAAAAAACATGGTCTTGAAACTTTGCTACAGAGTATGTGGAAACTTTTATGTATCCCAACCACCCTTGCTATCAGATAATAAAAACGAAATAGAGCCATGTTCCTTAACTCTATACAGCAACAGCAGAATGGCACAAGTCAGCTGTGCAACAGAGAGCCAGGAATTCTTTTGCACTACAGCGTAACCAAGAATGGGGAATATTCCCATCCACAGGTTTAAATATAGTGCTGGTTCCTAAGCCAATGACCCAAGTTATTGAGCAAAGAATGACCACAGCTGTATGCTGGTTCTAGAAGTTTTTCCTCCTAAGAAATAAATGATGGTTTAGAAATTAAAATACTTGAATTTTGTTGAATAAGCCTCAGCTCAGTAGAATTTGACCTTAAACTGCACAGACTCCTAGACAACAGCTATTCCACAAACAGATTTAGAGTCTAAAGATATCTTGCACTTGAATACTACAAGATACAAACGAAAACATTCAGGACAGCATTGTTTATAATAGTTTAAGTGATTAACAACACAAATGCCCAGCAGCAATACAAATACATACAATGGTTTTCTACAAGACTATATTTTTCTGTTTTTTAAAAAAGAGGACTGGCCGGGCACAGTGGCTCAGGCCTGTAATCCCAGAACTCTGGGAGGCCGAGGAGGGTGGATCACCTAAGGTCAGGAGTTCGGGACCAGCCTGGCCAATATGATTAAACCCCGTCTCTACTAAAAATATAAAAATTAGCTGGGCATGGCGGTACAACTATAATCCCAGCTACTCGGGAGGCTGAAGTAAGAGAACTGCTTGAACCTGGGAGGTGGAGGCTGCAGTGAGCCGAGATCGTGCCACTGCACTCCAGCCTAAGCAACAGAGTGAGACCACATCTCAAAAAAATTGAAAAAAAAAAAAAAAGGGGGCTACAGCAAAGAGCATTATCATTATCATGAATAATATCCAGGGGAGAAAAAAAAGTAAGTGAAAAAAAAAGAAAAGGATGTACAGAGGGCGACACCATACAGAATATGCTAACCAATACTATGCTGCTTATGTATAACAGTGGTAAAGTTCTAAAATCATGCATGGCATGACAAAAACAATTCATAATAGTGGTTACTTTCAAAGAAAAGGCACAGGGTATGCCTATAAATTTAAGTTCTGCATAAAATTTAGTTCCATATAAGAAACAAAATCTACAGCAATTTCCAGAGGTACCTAATATTGACAATATATATGGAAAAATAGCAAAAATCCTACCTATATAATCAAATATTTCCAAATTCAAAGCAATAATTAAAGGAAATATAAGAACCAACTCTTACTTTAATGTTTCTGTAGGTCTCATTCAGAACCATCTTGTTAAATTCAGGATTCTTCAGCGTGTCAAGGAAGTTTGAATACAGGCTATGAAAGTTTGGCTCAATACTGACTCTCTTCATAACCAGATACTGTGAAACCCAAGGCATAAATTCTTCTTTCACCGTTTCCTTTAGCTCTTCAACCTAGCCGGTCAATACGACATGGGAAGCACAGAATTACACTATGATAAAATAACACTTGGTTTCTATGAACCATACTATACAGCACATGGCTCCTTGCAAAACTAACTAGATGCTAAAGAATGACTTTCCTTCACACCAGATAGATGCTATGAAGAAAAGTATGCTCAATTCCATAGTCAATCACAACTCAACCCATACGTGATTGGGACTGAAACATCTATGGCTATTTTCAGCTTTAAAATTATAAAACATGTAGTACCCCATCTCCACATAAATTACTAATCTATAAGCTGCCATTAACATACCTACAGTGTAACCAAGAATGGGGAAAATTCCAGAACTATGTTTTCCTAAATTTCCATCTACAGGAATCCTTAGCTAACTCTGGCGTTTCCAAGTACAGTTAGTTGACCCTTGAACAAGGATTTGAACTACATAGAGTAAAATTAAATGTAGATTTTCTTCTATTAATACCTCCACTACCTCGGAGACACCAAGACCTCCTCTTCTCCTCCTCAGCCTATTAAATATAAAGTTAAAGACCTGTATGATAATCCATTTCCACTTAACAGATGGTAAATATATCTTTTCTTCCTTATAATTTTCCTTCATAGTTTTTCTAGTTTATTTTATTCTTTTTTCTAGTTTATTTTATTCTAAGAATACAGTATTATATGCATATAAGATAGGTGTTAATCAACTATTTGTTTTATCACAGTAAGGCTTCTGCATGGCAGAAAAAATAGTAGGCTGTTAACAGTTAAGTTCTGGGGGAGTAAAAAGTTATAACAGGATTTGGCTACATACAGGATTGGCAACCCTAACGCCCATGTTGCTCAAGGGTCAACTATACTGTCTTACCATGTAATCTGAGGGGCAAGTAGCATGCATTCTTTATGCTTTTCACAAAGTTTGCCTCAGTTATTAGGTTGTAATAAATACTCTGAATAGTCTCTGGGAGAAAATGAGGTATGACTAATGACTAGTACAAATGAAACTTTCTATCACCATGAGAACATTAAGCTTATTTCAAAAAGCTTATAACTTGCTGCAAAACAAAACCTTAAAAACTGGTACTATTTAATGTCTACCAAACCCACTAGTTAAATATACATATTCCCTTTGAGTTTATTACCTCTACCTTTAAAGTGAGTATGTAAAAGGGCCAACTATACATCCTTTAGTCCATTAAGGAAAAAAGAAGGCATTTATAAACTATGACAGCATGCTCACCTTTTGTGTCATATTTGACTGTGAGAGATTATTGAAAATAAAAGCAATTTTCTCCTGGATATTTTCTGGGGGCTCCACAATTCTCTCAGTTTGATCTGTGGCCACAAGCAACGTATCTATATTTGTAGTATTAATAGAAGGCTAAAAAAAAAAAATAAAGTACATAAGGCAAATAAGTTGAAATGCTTCCCTGAAAAAAATCCAATAATGTATACAGATTTAGTGTTAAAAAATACACATGGTATGACTGTGTATTAGAAATGTAGGCAAGAATAGTGAACTATTAATATGTTTGCCTCTGGGAAATATAAGGATGGGAGATACAAAGGAAGACATGTCAGTCTTTTATATCTTTTTTAGTAGGCATGTGTTATGATAAAATTCTAATACATGTTCACCACTGATTATTACAATATAATCATAAATCCTGGAAGAGAAAAAAGATAGATCTACTTACTGGCACATCTTTCTTAAAGCTGACTCCAGTTGGCCTGGTGACCGTAACCGTTTTAGCAACAGTGGTAGTTGTTGAGGTGGTTACCATAGTGCTAACTTGACCAGCAAGAGGAGCTTTTGCTGGAACCTGGGCCTGAGCCTGGGCCTGAGCCAGTGCAATACTTCCAGGGGTTGTGATAGAGCCTTGCATTTTCACAGGAGGATCTCTAGACTGCTGTCCATACTCAATATACTAAAAGGGTAGGGAGAGGAAAAAGAGTTAACCTTAATTGCTAAGTCTGGATTATACGTCCCTCTTTTCTGAGAGGGTAAAAAACATGTCTGAGTGCTCTTTTGGTTCATCTAGCTCACATACTCTTTGCCCCATACCCTGGCACTAATACATAAGTAGATTCCATGAACTTCAGCGATAAAATCTTAGTATTTATGAGAGAACTACAGCAAAACAACTTCTAAAGAAGCAGCCCCAGATACCTGCATATAAATGCCTTTAAACTTCTTTAAAAACGCAAACTTTAAAAGTCTTAATAATTCATACAGGAAACTCATCTGTTTTCTAATTAGGCAGCAATGAGAAACCAAAGGCCTTAAAAAACAAAACAAAAACCATGGTAGTATGAGTTATTATCACAATAAAGCTGTTATTACGAAAAAAAAAAAACTCACTTTACATAGCCCATCCCCACAATTTAGAGTGATAAGGATCCTGAAGCTATTTCAACAGTCCTTACCTAGCAGAACTAAACCTACCAATTATGTATGCAACAGTTTTATTTTTAGAGGGACATTTCTCAAGTAGGAAAGAGTCTCAGAAGAAAGTATAGCCCTTTACGCTGATAAAGTACAGAAAGTGATGATCTCTCTCTCTCTCTGGCTATCTTGCTACAGTGGGTGCTAGGGACTAGTTTTGAGTGATCACTCCCCTGCCATCTCACTCTTTCTCCAAGTCTTTCAAGCTCTATATTCCTGTCTCTTAATTTGTCTCAATCCACTCACTTGAATGAATATACTCCACATTCCCAGAGATTAAGTCATTACAATAACCCTGCCCTCCTAATAAACCTAGAAGGATGAGGTAGAGAACACTGAACTAAATTAAAATACAGAATATCAAGTAGGTTCAAATTCTGATCTTCCTGATTCCTTAAAATAAGATCTTATAAAGTTGCCTACTGCATGTTAAAAATAAAGTCAATTAACCAACTTTCCTGTTCTATATAAACTGATGTTGACCAAAACCAAGACAAAGGTATAGATAATGCTTACCAATTAACCTAAAATCAGTCACTGAAACAATGCTTCTCAAATTTCAGTAATAATAACAATCATACAAAATGGTTTTTAAAATGTATATTCCTTACGTCTATTTTCCCAGGGACTGACTCCTTTTAAATAAGCATCTCAGGCGGGCGCGGTGGCTCACACCTGTAATCCCAGCACTTTGCAGGGCGGAGGTGGGCGGATCACCTGAGGTCAGGAGTTCAAGACCAGCCTGGCCAACATGTTGAAACCTCGTCTCTACAAAAATACAAAAATTAGCCAGGCATGATGGCAGGTGCCTGTAATCGCAGCTACTCAGGAAGCTGAGGTGGGAGAATCACTTGAACCCAGGAGGACAATGTTGCAGTGAACCAAGATTGCCTCACTCTAGCCTGGGCAACAGAGCAAGATTTCATCTCCCCCTCCCAAAAAAAAAAGAAAAACAAAACAAAAACCACACCTCAAAGGAATCTAACGAGGTGGTAAGAAGCCTGTATTTTTAATAAACATGATCTAAGTCTTATGTGTAACAGTTTTGGCTCATATTAACTCAAAAATTTCAGATTTTTATACACAAGATTCCCACTCCAATTCCCTTTTAGCATCAGGCAGGGTGTCTGTACTTTATCTAAGATAAAGATTCTCTTAGTAAAACTGTTTATTCTTCAACTGCATTACAGGTTAAAAGAATGAGTAAAAAGTTTTTGAGGTAAGCCTGCTACTTAGAAAAGATAATCCAAGAATGATTATTTTTTCATGTTCTCTTGTAAGGCCACAAAATGAGCAACCTCAACAAAAGATATGTGTACCTATATCATGCCAATCATTAAGAAATCTTAATGCCATTACTATCAAGTCTACAAAAAAAAGCCAAAATATTAAACCCTCCAAATACTACATAGCTATTTGGGTTTTAGTTACAGAGGGCACTTACCTCCTGTAAATGATGTGGAAATTGCATAAAGTGACTGATAGAAGCCAAATGCTGACAATACTGGGGATAGTCCTTCAATCTGCCAACAAAATTATTCTACCATCATTTCATGTCAGAACAGAAGCATCACTAACAAAATGTTTTTGTCCAAATGCTAATCTAGGTCATTTTTTTCCATCTTACCTATGAATAACTTATTTGAAGAAAATGTCAAAGTGAAGAAAACAAAAATAGAAGGAGAAAATACTTATGATTTTCACAGGATTTACATCAGAAAATACACTACCTCTGATTTTTAAAGGCTATATTTTACTTAAAAATAGATTAAAACGAGCCACTTCTCTGGAAACAATTCAAATTTTCACCAACATACGAATGGAAAAATAATTTGTAGTCAACTCATATAGTAGAATACTACACAGCTGTAAAAAAAAAAACAGACTACTGAAACGTAGTAACGTAAGTCTCAAAAAACTACATATTTGTATGACTCTGTGTAAATGGCATTCTAGAAAAACTTTAGAGATTATCAGAGATTGGAAGTCAGGGAAGGGGACTAACTACAAAGGGGAACAAGGAAACCTCTTGGGAGATAATGAAAATATTCTGCATCAGCCAGGCATGGTAGTTTATGCCTATAATCCCATCACTGTGGGAGGCAGGAAGATCACTTGAGGCCAGGAGTTCCAAAATATTCTGTATCTTGATTGTGGTGGTAGTTACACAACTGTATAAATTTGTCAAAATTCAAAGAACTATACACCTAAAGGGAAGACTTCTACTGTACGAAGTATACCTCATAAATAACCAACCAAAAAACCTCTGTTCTCATTTTAGTTTTCCTACCACTTATATTAAAAAAGAGAGGCTTTGGCTGGGCCCAGTGGCTCACACCTATAATCCCAGCACTCTGGGAGGCCGAGGTGGGTGGATCACCCGAGGTCAGGAGTTCAAGACCAGCCTGGCCAACATGGTGGAACCCTGTCTCTACTAAAAATACAAAAATTAGCTGGGTGCAGTGGCACGCGTCTGTAATCCCAGCTACTTGAGAGGCTGAGGCAGGAGAATCGCTTGAACTCAGGAGGCGGAAGGTGCAGTGGGCCCAGATTGCACCACTGCACTCTAGCCTGGGGGACAGAGCAAGACTCCATCTCAAAAAAAAAAAAAAAAAAGCTTCAGGCCAGGCACAGTGGCTCACACCAATAATCCCAGCACTTTCAGAGGCCAAGGTGGGAGTTTGAGACCATGGTGAAACCCTGTCTGTACAAAAATTACAAAAGGCTGGGAATGGTGGTATGCACCTGTGGTCCCAGCTACTCAGGAGGCTGAAGTGGGAGAATCACTTGAGCCCGCAAGGTCAAGGCTGCAGTGAGCCGAGATTGCGCCACTGCACTCCAGCCTGGATGAGAGTTAAGACCCTGTCTGCGGGGTCAGGGAAGAGATCCTTCACAGGAAACCTATCCACTTACCTGTTTTTAAATCTATCTAGTGCAGCAATCCCGAAATAATACATTTTGGATCCAAAAGGCTTGCGTAAGGCTTCAAGAACATATCGTAGAGCCAGACCTAGTGCCATGTAAGTGACCAGTCCTTTCTCAATTATACCACCAAATAGGCAGGCTGTTATATGTAACTCTTTATCAGGATACTGGGGAAAAAAACGATATTCTTCAAACAAGTTCCTTAGCATACAGTTAAATACTTCTCGTTCCCTCTTTATAGTAGAGTCTTTAAATCTCTGCAGCATTTCTAATACCTGGAAAAGCAAGACAAAAACAACGCACACATAAAGGAAACAATTACTAAGAGCCTTTCTCAAATATGCTTAACAAAAGACTATTAAGTAGAACATTTACCAAAAGAGCTTGAGACAAATATTAAGGTTTCAAAACACAAACCGCTATATCAGGGCACTTTGAGCTGGATTTCTAAAAACATTGAAAAGGACATTTATTTAAGACTGGCCTAAACAATAAATAAGTAGATCATCCTAGACACTCACCTCATCAACAGACATGGTTGGATGTGGTGGATGATTATATATTCGCTGGAAATAGCTGTTTGCTTCATCATCTATCTCTTTACTAAAGTGCTGGTTTGCCTCTGGCCACACCTGAGACAAGTCCGCTGTTGGAAACAAAAAAGGAATCAGTGGGCATTTAAGCCCTTCCTCCACTTCCCCATAAAACACAGCCAGCCAGAGACTATTATAGCTCTAACTTCAAGGGAAATATAAAAAAACTGGAAAAGGTATTAAGCGGTCAAGTTTCAGTATTAATGTGTGCTAGGGTAGACGTAAAAGATCCTTAACAAAGTGCCTTCCATAATTCTACATTAGTATTATCTTCATCAGGACTTATTAACACAAAAGTTAACTTGGTTCAAACTCATAACGCACTTACCCTTAATACAACCTCATTAGGTTAACAAATCTTTATCACTTTATAATAAAAATCACATTTAACATATAAGAATTATCATGCATGTGCATGAAAGACTGATGTAAACACAAAGCATGCTACAAAACATAACATTCAGACAAGCCTTTCACACTAACGTTATCAAGTCAGCTGGAATACTTTCAACCTCGTGTCATGACTATGCAGTCCCAATGACAAGGACTTCAGTCAATTATACCTATGGATTTATAAAGATGACTTCTATGAGTTTAGTTAGCATAAAAAATTACTAAGGAGGTGAAACAAAAATTGGAAACAGAAATCTGAAATTGTCCTTCTCACTCCTGACTTGCTTTAAAAAAAACTCAACACATGTTTAGGTTAAGTTCAAGAGTTACATTCGTATATCTACCACATATTAATTTCTCTTTATCATACCTACTTCTTACTTTTAGGATAAACACCCTCAGGATGCAGCCTCTTATTAACCACGACTTTGTTCTGGGAAGGAGTGATACCTCTAACTTTTAATAATTCAAATTTGTGAATTTATTCCCATTGGTCTAGGAGGCACATCAACACATGGCCCTACTAACACAAATGAGACATACAACTAAACATTTTTATCAGTCACACTTCACAATCACAGACAACACTACCACTTACAAGGTTTCATCTTACTCTGCTGGAATGTAGGCTGATTCAGTCCAGAGGTGCCCAGTTTCCTCTGTACAAAAGGGTCGTTATTCACTGCAGGGAGTCCAAGAGCACCAGTTCCTATACCAGTCAGGCTGCCTGTGCCAAGACCACCTACTAGAGAGAACGAAGGCAGCCACAAATCCTATCATTATTCATATTCTTGATTTTATTCACATCTCAGATATATTAATAAGACAGACTTTTAAAATAAAGTCATAGTAACTCTTACTTTAAAAGTCAGAGTCTTTGTTAATTCCCTTATTACATCTATTCAATTTTACAGAGCCTATAAACTAGGCAGTAACGGATAATCCCCAAATTTCTTTAGCATCTGGAATTATTTATATTCTTGATAATGTGCAAAAAATTAATGTATACATTCTCAAAGCACATACTCCTATACCCAAGGTAGTTAAAATAAGGAGCTGGCTGGCTTTTCTCAATGATTCAAATCAAATAATTTCATGATACTATCTTCTAAAGTTACCATGAGTCTCAAAACTTCTTTATTCCTCTCAACTCCGACAAAAGGAATCTTACAATAATTAGAGCTTTGCTAGGAAGGCCTTAATAAGTTCAGTGACGTTTATTTAAATGAATTAATCAAAGCTAGAAGCATACAGTAGCAACGCTAACTAGATTAGAGTCAATGACAACATGGAAGTCCTTAGGTTTTAGTGCCCAAACTTACAGTGTCAACATAAAAGGTACAAGGGGCTAAGAAGATGTAGGTACAAACAACCACAACAACAACAACAAAAAAAATATAGCTTTTATTTCAATGTAAAGTTACATGGAACAATATCTGGGAAAAAAACTGAAAATGTGGCCAAGCGCAGTGGCTCATGCCTGTAATCCCAGCACTTTGGGGGGCCAAGGTGGGTGGATCACCTGAGGTCGGGAATTCGAGATCAGCCTGGCCAATATGGTGAAACCCTGTCTCTACTAAAAATACAAAAAATTAGCATGGCATGGTGGCGGGCACCTGTAATCCCAGCTACTCGGGAGGCTGAGGCAGGAGAATCGCTTGAACCTGGGAGGCGGAGGTTGCAGTGAGCCAAGATCGTACCACTGCACTCCAGCCTGGGCAACAAGAGCGAAACCCTGTCCCCCACTACCCAAAAAACAAACAAACGAAAAAAAACCTTAAAATGTTTTTGGGATGTCCTATCATTTTCAAGGTTGGTGAAATGCAATAAGGCAGGCAGAACATATGCCTGAACCTGATAGGTACAATAGTTTCTACCTTTATTATACCAACCTGAATTCATAAAGCTGTGAGTTTTTGATCTAAGCCCTTTAGAATGTGATGCACATACATGTTACCACTTATACTATCATTTGTTAATAAAAAATCCTTACTAAATAATTCAACTAACTTTACAACTACAAATATCCTAATTCTTTCCTCCAATTAGACTGAATTGAATATAATCTGTTTTTCTTTTCCCAACTTTGGATACTGAAGTAGCTTTCACAATTTCATTTAAGCAGCTTTCCTTATCACAGTGACTCCAAACCCCTTACCAAACACTAAGGCATAACTAAGGCAAACTTATGAATAATCCATGCTCTCATTTGCCTCCCCCTTACCTGGAAGCTGTGATGAAAGTCCTCCAATACCACTGAATGCAGTGGTCTGATTGGGGGTTGAAAGGGGTGGAAATGCTTTTGCTGGTGACTGAGGGGTACTGAATGCAGAACCCAAATTTGGAGGAAAACCCTGCATACTCTGGGTGTGAGGGGCAGCTGAACCACCTATACTAAGAGATGTCATTCCAGCAAGAGGGTCAATCTAAAGAAAAACATTATAAAAATGTATTAAACATACTTCGAGGAAAGGCAGACACATGTAAAGCAATCTTTAACAACAGCTCTTCATAATCTTAAAAAGCAAACTATTACACCCACTCAATCACGATGATACTTAAATCCCAGTTATCAAGTCAAGTGTGTCAGTCACTTTTCTTACTGTGTCACATACAGAATAGGTTTAAAGAGTTTGCCTTTGACAAAGTACAGGTTGAGTATCCCTTATTGAAAATACTTGGAACCAGAAAAGTTTTCAATTTTGGATTTTAGAATATTTGCATATACATAACCAGATATCCTAACAATCCCATCATGGGGATGGGACCCATGTCAAAACATGAAATTCACTTGTTTCACATATACCTATATACACATAACCAGAATGTAATTTTATACAGTTTTTTTAAAAGAATTTTTTGCATGAAACATAATTATGACTATGTTTTGACTCAACACGTAGCATCAGATCAGGTATGGAATTTTCTACTTGTGGCGTGTCATGTCAGTGCTCCAAAAGTTTGATTTTGGAGCATTTTGGATTTACAGATTAAGGATGCTCAACCTATAACAGAGCCATAAAAAGGGCTACAAAATCTAATGAACAACACTTAAGATGAACTGCCCTAAACTAAACATTTAGTAGTGACATGGGACACTTATTATATTAATAAATCCTCACAAATTCCAATAAGCCACTTTAAAACAATCAAGCTAAATTTAAGTAAGTTTCAACATAAATAAAAGTATTAGAAATTAGAAACGAATCTCCCAAAATAAATTTAGTCGAAATTTGGGGATTTTTGAGGTGGGGGAAGATCAGCTCCAATTTTGAAAACAAAAACAAGGTATGCTATTCACCAAAATATGTATTTTTAAAATATCTAATAACTGCACTTCCAGGCTTAAGTGTGTGGCACTACTTCATACCTTCATGGCTATAGAAAATGACAAGCAAATGCCTTTTATAGGGAAGTAGCCACTGAATCACTAACTTTTAGCCTCTTTCTTCCTTAAAACCCAATCTGCCATTCAATGCATCTGAAAATAGAAGCGCAATATGTTGCTCCCAGAGAGAAGGGGGTGGTTGATGTCAGGGAGTAACTTAAATGTACCTTGTTTTTAAAAGAGCAGTTCAGTTGAGAGCTGAAGAGCCCCAGTTATAACAAGTCGTTATGCTCTAGCACTGTTGCTTGGCCCGTGAAGCTACAAACAAGACACATCAGGTTCAAAGGCAGTGCTTATGTCTCAAGAGTCTACGTAATTCATATTTTAAAAAGAAACCCTCTTCATTTACCTAAATAAATTGTCTGTATATTTCCTCTTAGAGTCACGTTCTATTTGATGATAAAATCTATTGTTAACTACAATGCCTATTTACATATCTCCTTTAAAATAAGTGGATGCTAGACATGCAGTTATCTAAAATGTAATAAATTCAGACAATTTATTAATGACATAGGAGCTTATTCTATTCCAAATCTATGGCAAATGAAGATGTATCAAATGTAGCACTCATTTACCTGAACAGGAGAAATGGCATCTAAGCTGCTAGCACTAGGAGGACGTCCTTTTGGCATAACTCCAGGTGGTGGTTGTCTGGCCTTATTCATAACATTACTGCAATTGGCTACCATGGTGAGGATAGTTTCTGATAGCTCCTGAGAAACACTCCTAAAATAGAGGGGAAAAGGTAAAAAATATCAGTTCCTATTCTCTAGCACATGTAAGTAAACCAACCGATCTGATTTTTTTTTTTTTTAAGATGGAGTCTCACTCTGTCACCCAGACTGGAGTGCAGTAGCACGATATCAATTCACTGCAACCTCTGCCCCCCGGGTTCAAGCGATTCTTCTGCCTCAGCCTCCCGAGTACCAATCTGATTTTCTAATAAAGAAACTTTGTTGAGGCTGGGCACGGTGGCTCATACCTGTAGTCTCACTGCTTTGAAAGGCTGAGGCGGAAGGATTGCTTGAGCCAGGAGTTTGAGGCCAACCTGGGCAAGATAGCGAGACCCCATGTCTACAAATATTAAATAAGTATTAAAAAGTCGAGGCTGAGCGTAGTGGTTCATGCCTGTAATCCCAGCACTTTGGGAGGCCAAGGCGGGGGTATTGCCTGAGGTCAGGAGTTCGAGACCAGCCTGGCTAACATGGTGAAACCCCGTCTCTACTAAAAACACAAAAATTAGCCAGGCATGGTGGCGCATGCCTGTAGTCCCAGCTACTCGGGAGGCTGAGGCAGGAGAATCACTCGAATCTGGGAGGCAGAGGTTGCAGTGAGCCGAGATCGCGCCACTGCACTCCAGTCTGGGTGACAGAGTAAGACTCCGTCTTCAAAAAAAAAGTTAGCTGGATGTCATGGCATGTGCCTGTAATCCCAGTTACTTGGGAGGCTGAGGTGGGAGGACTGATAGAGCCCAGGAGTTCGAGGCTGCAATGAGCTATAATCGCACCACAGCACTTCAGCCTGGGTAAGAGATGAGAAGGGAAAGCGGAAGGAAAACTTGCTGGAGCATGTAGCTAAATTTCTGCCACATCCCATCCCTCTGCATCTGTCACTCATCACTAGAATTTTCTGAGTACTGGCTTTCTCTTGAAACTAATTTGCACCTCTGAAATGAACTAGTATATAGTACAACCAAAATATATTAAAATTTTCCAGAAAACATTCCATAGCTTCAACCACTTTGTCAAAAATTATGCCCAAACCCAGACATATCAAAGCAAACAGGCATGCAATTTTTATACTAGTATATCACAGTCTAAGATAATACATGTACTTATAGACAAAAACACCATGCATAGTAATTACCTTTAACAAGCACATGAAGCAGTGACTGACCTCTAAAACAAATGTCAAGTAGGGTAAATGTTTACTTGACAATTAAACCAATTTTCCTATCTTAGGTTGCTATTACAGGTTGAGCATCCCAAATCTGAGAATCTGAATACCAAACGCTACAAAATCTAAAACTTTTTGAATGCCAATGTTTAAAGGAAATGCTCATTGTAGCATTTCGGAGTTTGAATTTTGGAATTTGAGGTGTATATTAAGCAAGTAAGTATAATGCAAATGGTTTTTAAAAAATTTTTTAAACCAAAATCCTAAATACTTCTGACCCCAAGCATTTCAAAGAAGGGATACTCAATCTGTATTGCCTCATACAACTATGGGGTCCCTTGTATTCAGAAGCTCTACTCGGGCCGGGTGCGGTGGCTCATGCCTATAATCCTAGCACTCTGGGAGGCTGAGGCAGGCAGATCACCTGAAGTCAGAAACTCAGGTCAGAAGCTGAGGTCAGAAGCTCAAGACCAGCCTGGCCAACATGGTGAAACCCCATCTCTACTAAAAATACAAAAACTAGCCAGGCATGTGGCGGGCACCTCTAATCCCAGCTACTCAGGAGGCTGAGGCAGGAGAATTGCTTGAACCCAGGAGCCAAGATTGCACTACTGTACTCCAGCCTGGGCAACAGAATGTGAGACTCCGTATCAAAAAAAAAAAAAGAGGCTCTACATGGTAGCTGGGAGGTGGAGGTGGCTTACACCTGTAATCCCAGCACTTTGGGAGGGAGGCAGTGGTGGGAGGATCGCTTGAGGAAGGAGTTTCGAGACCAGCCTGTGAACACAGCCAAGACTTCATCTCTACAAAAAATTTTAAAAATTAGCCAGGTGTGGTGGCACATGCCTGTAGTCATAACTACTTGGGAGGCTGAGGCGGGAGGAGTGCTTGAGCCCAGGATTTCAAGGCTGTAGTGAGCTATGATCACATCAATGCACTCCAGTCTTAGAGAAAGAACAAGACCCTGTCTCTAAAAAAAATAAATTAAAAAAAAAAGCGGCGGGGGGGCGGCCAGGCACGGTGGCTCACACCTGTAATCCCAGCACTTCGGGAGACAGAGGCAAGCGGATCACAAGGTCAGGAGTTTGAGACCAGCCTGGCCAACACAGTGAAATCCCGTCTCTACTAAAAATACAAAAAATTAGCCGGGTGTGTTGGCAGGTGCCTGTAATCCCAGCTACTCGGGAGGCTGAGGCAGGAGAATCGCTTGAACCCGGGAGGCAGAGGATGCAATG
Organism: Homo sapiens; assembly: GCF_000001405.40. Classification (NCBI taxonomy): domain Eukaryota; kingdom Metazoa; phylum Chordata; class Mammalia; order Primates; family Hominidae; genus Homo; species Homo sapiens. The sequence goes on from NC_000016.10 coordinate 58,562,768, forward strand.
ACCTGAGATCGCGCCACTGCACTCCAGCCTGGGTGACAGTGCGAGACTCCATCTTAAACAACAAAAAAAAGCAGTAGCAGCCGTACATGAACTTAGTCTTTAAATCTTCCCACCTAAATTCAGAATGTTACTACTGGCATTAAGAAGTAAAAGTCATCACTCAGAAAAGAAAGCTGTTTCACATTTGGGGGGAAAAAATAAGACTAGGGTGCTAACAGTACTGAATAAGCCTATATTACATTAAATCAATAGAGAAAAATCTATGAAAATTTGTACTTGTGCCAATAGCAAAATAACAATAGTCTGAACACAGACAACAAATGAAATAAACGCGTTGTTTTATGTCCACTGAAGCCAGGAAGAAAAATACAGTCCCATACCACATAATGACATTTCAGTCAACAAAATGGTATATGGGACCACATATACAATGGTTGTCCCACATATTATAATGTATTTTGCTGTAACTTTTCTGTTTAAATATATAAATACCATTGTGTTATAATTGCCTTCAGTATATTCAGTATAGTAACATCACTGTATGGGTTGGTAGCTTAGGAGGAATAGGCCATACCACATAGGCAAACTGTATACAGTACATTATACCATCTAGGTTTCTAACAGTATACTCTATAATGCTCACACAAAGACAAAATTGCCTGATGACACATATCTCAGAAATGCATTCCTATTGTTATGCAATGCAGACCACAAAAAAGAAAAGGGAGCCTTATACTCCTAAAGGTATTGGTCTACTTATTTACTTTAGAAACAAGTAGAACATTAGTTTCCACAAAAATGCTCAAAATAATTAAAAGTATTTCAAATTTAAGGAAACAAGAGGTCCTCTGAAGCTTCATTTACAAATGTATCTGCATTCCAAATACTCCACAACAATTAAAACTTCATAGAGATACCGTATCTCCATGTTGTCCCATATCTCACCATAATAACAGGCACATACTATATTAGCAAGGCTGTGGGGAAATAGATGCAATAACACTGCTGGTTTTACAAAATAGAAAAATCCCTATGGAGGAAAATTTTGCGATACCTAACACAATCGCAGATGAATTTACCTATTATTCTGACACATCCACTTCTAGTAGTCCAATTATACATTGGTAAAAATGATGGATGCAAAACACTGCTCACTGCAACACTGTATGTGATACAAAAGCGAAAACAATGCAAATTTCCACCAGTAGGAGACTGGTTGACTACAGTACAGAACAGCCATTCAATGGAGTATTATGCAGCAAGTAAAAGAAATAAGGAAGCTCTCTAATTGTATGGAGTGAACTCTAGGATATAAGATCAAGAAGCAAGTTGCATATTATCTCTTCTACAGTGAAGGATAGGGATAAATATACGAATAAGTATGTATTTGTTTTTAATATAAGATAACCCAAAAATATTAATGATAGTGACTAACTACAGGAGAAAAGGAGAACAAGGTAGAGGTATCAGAGTTCAAAGGAAGATTTCTCCAAATGTATCTTGCTTTAGAGTTTTGACTTTAAAACCACACCTATATTTTACCAATCACAAAAACAAAAGCAAACAAACAAACCACTAAATTAAAAAGAAACTGTTCCAAAAAGACCAGTGCCATGGGTTAGAAAAACAGGGTACCAAGCAGTAGATGGTAATTATATTATACTGCATTGAATCCAAAATGCCTTCAATTGTGTAAGCCACACTAATATTTTATGTCCTATGCAAAAACAAAAAAAGTAATTCCACCAATTGTAATATAAGACACATCACCAATGAGACACATCATTTCAGAAATGTTAAAGTAGGAAGAAAAATAAAATGGGCACTTTAGAATAAAATATGGTAAATTAAAATATTCACCTTTACTATTTAGGGATAAATTCTTATTTCTTACACAGTTTCAAACTTAGAAGTGGCAAGAATTGGCCGGGTGTGGAGGATCACCTGTGGTCAGGAGTTTGAGACCAGCCTGGCCAACATGATGAAACCCCATCTCTACTATAAATGCAAAAAATTAATTAGCTGGGCAGTGGTGGCGCGCACCTGTAATCCCAACTACTCGGGAGGCTGAGGCAGGAGAATCGCTTGAACCTGGGAGGCAGATGTTGCAGTGAGCGAAGATTGTGCCATTACACCCCAGCCTGGGTAACAAGAGAAAAACTCCGTCTCAAAAAAATAAATAAATAATAAATAAATAAAAGAAGTGGCAAGAATATTACAATTAACTCCCACAAATGCTTCTCACGCCAATGGTATACATTTGCCTTATTAACCTAACCATTATTTCTATACTTTTCGCCCTGAAGCATTGGTTTGGATATACCATGAATTTATCCCTAAATGCTTCACTACATGTTTTCTTCTTTTTTTGAGACAGGGTCTCACTGTCGCCCAGGCAGGAATGCAGTGGTACAATTATGGCTCTGCCTCTGCCTCCTGAGTTCAGATGATCCTCCAACCTCAGCCTCCCCAGCTGCTGGGACTCCACGCATACAGACCATGCCCAGCTAATTTTTAAATGTTTTTTTTCAGAGACGGGGTTTCGCGACATTGCCCAGGCTGGTCTCAAACTCCTAAGCTCAAGCAATTTGCCCACCTCAGCCTCCTAAAGTGCTGGAGTTACAAGTGTAAGCCACCATGCTCAGCCTTCACTATATATTTTCTATGAACAAAAACATTTTCCTACATAGCCATGTAAAATCAAACATCAGAAGCTTAACAATGATAAAATAAATAGGCCATGTTCACATTATACCAACTATTCCCACAATGCTCTTCAAAGCTATTTTTCCCATTGCATTAAGTTGTCACCTCTCTTCAGGTCATTTAATCTGAAAGATTTTCTTAGCCTTTACGTGTTCTTCTTGACTTTATTTTTTTAAGTACAACTCAGGGCCAAGTGCAATGGCTCATACCTGTCATCCCAGCACTCTGGGAGGCAGAGGTGGGCAGATCACTTGAGGTCAGGAAGTTCAAGAGCAGCCTGGCCAACATGGCAAAACCCCATCTCTACCAAAAATACAAAAAATTAGCCAGGTGTGGTAGTGTGCGCCTGTCGTCCCAGCTACTCAGGAGGCTGAGGGAACTGCTTGAACCCAGGAAGCAGGGGTTGTAGTGAGCCGAGTTCGCACCACTGCATTCCAGCCTGGGCAAGAGAGCAAGACCCTGCCTCAAAAAAAAAAAAAAGTACAAGTCAGTTGTTTTGTAGAATGTCCCTTGATTTGAGTTTGTCTGATGTTCTAAATTCAAATTAGGTATTATAACCTTACAGAATAAATTACCTTGTATTCTTCTCAGTGCATTTTATGAAACACATGATGTAGGTTTCAGATGGTGATCACTTTGATCAGTAGACTAACATGGTATCTGACAGGTTTTTCTGAAGTTGTTTTCCCCCTTTGTAATTACAATGTAATTTGTGGAGAGATATTTTCAAACTACATAATTATCCTGCTCTTCAAACATATATCCATTACTATTAACACACATTAAAGATTACAACTCCATCGTAATTCTTCTATATTTATTAGTTGAAATAACTTTCCTTCTCTGGCATTTATTATCATCAGTATGGACTCAAAATACTTTGGATACATTATCTTATTAAATTTTTCAACAAGTACTGCTAATAGATCAATTAAAGAAATTAATTGAAACCTGGAAGTTAGGTAAACTGCCTTCTTACAATAAAAACATTTTGCGCAATTTTAACAGGCAATTAACTTTCCAGAATATTCCACTGCAGATGGATTAAAATGTATAAATGTAAAAGGTTACACTTTAGAACTTGAAACTGTAGAACATTTAGAGCTTATAGAGCAGAGTGCTTTGGAATGGATAATTATTTGTTGTACAAGGCAGTCTTGTGCACTGTGGAATGTTTAGCCAGTATGATTGGTTTCTTTTTTTTATTTTTGAGACGGAGTTTCACTCTTGTTGCCCAGACAGAGTGCAATGGCAAGATCTTGGCTCACCCCAACCTCTGCCTCCCGAGTAGCTGGGATTACAGGCATGCGCCACCACGCCTGGCTAATTTTTCTATTTTTAGTAGCGATGGGATTTCTCCATGTTGATCAGGCTGGTCTTGAGCTCCCAACCTCAGGTGACCCACCCTCGGCCTCCCAAAGTGCTGGGATTACAGCTGTGAGCCACCGCGCCCAGCCTAGTATCATTGGTTTCTACACTACTAGGTATTAGAGGCACGTTTCTCTCTAATTATAACAGCCAAAAAGACCATCAGGCCAAGCATGGTGGCATGCGTCTATAGGACCACCTACTCACAAGGCTCAGGCAGGAAGACTAAGCCAGGAGTTCAAGGTTGCATTGAGCTATGATTGTGCCTGTGAACATGCACTGTACTTCAGACTGTACAACAACACAGTAAGACCTCATAAGAAAAAAAGAAAGAAAGAAAAAAAAAGGCTGAGCATAGGTGGCTTATGCCTATAACCCCAGCGCTTTAGGATGCAGAGAGGACTGCTTGAGCCCACGAGTGAGCCATGATCACATTACTACACTCTAGTCTGGGTAATAGAGTGAGACTATTTAAACAACAACAAAAAGAAATAATGCTGGCCGGGCGTGGTGGCTCATACCTGTAATCCCAGCGCTTTCGGAAGCCAAGGCAGGAGGAGTGCCTCAGCTCAGGGGTTTGAGACCATCCTGGGCAACATGGTGAAGCCCCATTTCCACAGAAAATTAAAAATAAAAATAAATTTAAAAAATAGGCATGCATGGTAGCATATACCTGTAATCCCAGGTAATTGGAGGCAAGACATCATCTCAAAAAAAAAAAAAAAAACCTTCTCATAAAGCAAAACGACAGGGTATGGGCTGACTTCCTCTCCTTCATAAAAGCAACTAGAAAAGTGTCTGAATCAACTTTTTCAGAACTTTGGAAGTTAACCAAAGGCTTATAACAAGTGGGAAATTTTTATTCAAGAGACTATCAAGTTTTCTAGCACATTAATTTGCCCTATTATTCCCATCTCCAGCTCCACAGCCAGCTTAGAAGCTGACAGCCCTCAATCACAATGAAAACCAGAAGCCTGAGAGGTGAATCAAAACAGGGTTAAAACATCTTCAAAGCCTCCTTCTCAGTGAATTGTCATTATTTCATCTGTATAGGGAGTCTGTGTGAGAACACAATGACAAGGTTGGATTTATTTGACCTGAAAACTGACCCAAACAAAAACCTTTTCTGCATGAGGTGTTTACAAAAAACATTTGAAAGTAACTGTTTTAAACTTATTGCCTATCTGAGGTGGAAGACTACTACAGTTGGAGCAAACTACATACAGGCTAACTAAAAATCTGTAAAGAAGGCCGGGCACGGTGGCTCACGCCTGTAATCTCAGTACTTTGGGAGGCGGGCGAATCACCTGAGGTCGGGAGTTTGAGACCAGCCTGCCCAACATGAGAAACCCTGTCTCTACTAAAGAAAATACAAAATTAGCTGGGCGTAATGGTGCATGCCTGTAATCCTAGCTACTCGGGAGGCTGAGGCATTAGAATCACTTGAACCCAGGAGGTGGAGGTTGCAGTGAGCCGAGATTGTGCCACTGCACTCCAGGCTGGGCAACAAGAGCGAAACTCCATCTCAAGAAAAAAAAAAAAATCTGTAAAGAAAAACTTTGAGCCGGGTGCAGTGGCTCAAGCCTGTAATCTCAGCACTTTGGGAGGCCAAGGCAGGCAGATCACGAGGTCAAGAGATCGAGACCATCCTGGCCAACATGGTGAAACCCTGTCTCTACTAAAAATACAAAAATTAGCCAGGCGTGGTGGCATGCTCCTGTAATCCCAGCTACTCAGCTGAGGCAGGAGAATCGCTTGAACCCCGGAGGTGGAGGTTGTAGTGAGCCGAGATCGTGCCACTGCACTCCATCCTGGGCGACAGAGCGAGACTCCGTCTCGATTTTAAAAAAAAGAGAGAAAAAAAAAAAACTTTGGAAGTAAAGACTAAGGTGGCTGTGAATTGCCTGGCTTAGTGCTGAATTGATTCCCAAGATTAGGTTTAAGAAAATCTCGTCAATCTTAGCTGACAACAAGGCTAACCAAGCAGGAACTTCAGTAGCCAACTATTATAAAGAACAGAATTAGTTCAGGAAAGTCACTAAACAAAAAAAGGGCAATAACGAACAATGTGCTCTGCTGAAGAAGGAAGATCTGATTCCAGGAAATGCCATATTATTTAAAGTTGTCTGTTTTCAACAAAAAAATTACAAGACTTGTAAAGAAACAAAAGGGTGTCCCATGCAAAGGGCTGGAAAGCTATGTAGAAATGATCCTTGAGGAAACACTGCTGTTGGACTTACTAGACAAGGAATTCAAATCAGTTACCAAACACATTTATTTTCATTTTATTTTGGTTTTTGAGACAGAGTCTTACTCTGCTGCCCAGGTTGGAGTGCAGTGGCACAAACTCGGCTCAGTGTACCTTCCATCTCCTGGGTTCAAGCAATTCTCTTGCCTCAGCCTCCCAAGTAGCTGGGACTATAGTCGCCCTTCACTATGCCTGGCTAATTTTTGCATTTTTAGTGGATACGGAGTTTTGCCATGTTGGCCAGCTGGTCTCAAACTCCTGATCTCAAGTGATCCACCCACCTTGGCCTCCCAAAGTGCTGCTGGGATTATAGGCTGAAGCCATGACACCCAGCCACTACAGAACACGTTTAAAAGAAAATATATCAAAAGAACTGAAGGAAAACATAGGAATACTATCTCAAAAAGCATGTCCATAGAAATTAGCAAAAAAAAAAACCAAAAAACAGAAATTCGTTTTTTCCCATCAGATACTACACTCTACAACATACCAAACAGAAAAAGTACAGTAACTGTAATAAAGTTTCACTAACCACATGTCCCACCACACATTCAAGCAGACAAAATAGTTCATTTGAAGATAGATCAATTAAAATTATCCAGCCTGAGAAAATGAAAAAAAAGGGGGTGGGGGGATGGGGGCTGAGAACTCAAGGACATGTGGAGCACTACTGAGTGTGCCACCACAAACATAATGGGAGTACAAGGAGAGAAGAAAAAGGTACGGAAAGATTTGTAGAAATAATGACTGAAAACCCGATAAATTTTATTAAAAACATTAATCTAGACACCCAAGAAATTCAATAAATTCTAAGTAGAATAAACTCAAAGAGATTCATACCTAGAATAACATAATCAAGCTGATGAAAGAAAAAAGACAAGGAGAGTATCTTACCAGCAGCAAGATAGAAGCAACTCATCACATACAATACTCAATAAATTAACAGCTGATGTCTCATCAGAAACCATGGAGGACAGAAAGCAGTGGGGGAGCATATTCAAAATGTTCAAAGAAAAGGAATGCCAACCAGGAATCCTTCATCTGGCAAAGCTATCCCCAAAGATACAGGAGGAATTAGGATATTCCCTAGATAACAAAAAGAGGTAATTCATTGCTAGCAGTCCTGCTGAAACAAGAAAAATTCAAGAATCCTGGCTGAAATGAAAAAACACTGAACACTGACCTGAATCCGTATGAAAAACTACTGGCAAAGATACACAGGTAAATACAAAGGACAGTATAAATCTCCTAATTAAAGAACAACTGGGCTGGGTGCAGTGGCTCATTTCTGTAATCCCAACACTTTGGGAAGCTAAAACGGGAGATCAGTTTGAGCCCAGAGGTTCGACACCAGACTGGGCAACATACTGAGAACCTCAACTTTACAAAAAATTAAAAAATTTATCAGGTGTGGTGGCACATGTTTGTGGTCCCAGCTACCTGGGAGGACCGCTTTGAGTCTGGAGGGTTGAGGCTGCACTGAGCTGTGATCGTGTCCTGCGTGGGCAACAGAATGAAACCCTGTCTCAAAAAAATAACTGCATGAAGCAAGAATTATAAACCTTTTGGTGATCACATAATGTATAAAGGTATAATTTGCATGACAATAATGGCAAAAATCAAGGGGAAGGGGACAAAGCCATACTAAATGAAATTTTTGGATCCTACCGAAACTAAAAGATTGGAGTAAGTTAAAATGTTAGTTTTAATACCCAAGGCAACCACTAAGAAACAAAACAAAAAATAAAGTCAAAGAAACATAGGAGTTAAGATGGTACACTACAAAATATCTATTTAACAGTAAGACAGGCAGTAATGGAAGAACAGAGGAACAAAAGTGACAAGAGATAGAAAGATTAACAGCAAAAGAGCCCTATATTATCAATAAATACATTAAATGCAAGACAGGCAGAATGTAGTAAACACAAACACAAATTCACAAACATGCTCCAACCATACCTTCTCTAAAAGAGACCTACTTCAAATTAAGACACATATAGCTTGAGAAAAACAAAACAAAACAAAACAAAAAACAAAACAAAAATATACCAAGCAAACCACCATAAGAGAACTATAATGGTTATACTAGTATCAAACAAAACAAATGTTTAAGAAAAAAACTGTTAATAGAGACAAAGACATTTTACAGTAAGGGTCAATCCATCAGAAATATGTAACCATTAAGGCCGGGCACGGTGGCTCATGACCATAATCCCAGCACTTTGAGAGGCCAAGGTGGGTAGATCACCTGAGGTCAGGAGTTCAAGGCCAGCCTGGGGAACATGGTGAAACCCCATCTGTACTAAAAGTACAAAAAAAAATTAGCTGGAAATGGTGGCGCACGCCTGTAGTTCCAGCTACTCCAGAGGCTGAGGCAGGAAAATCAATGAAACGTGGGAGGAGGAGGTTGCAGTGAGACAAGACAGTGCCACCACACTCCAGCCTGGGTGACACAGCGAGACACAAGACTCCATCTCAAAAACAATAATAAAATAAAGAAGTATGTAACAATTATAAAAACACATGTACTTAAAAACAAAGCCCCAAACACCTGACGGAAAAACTGACAAAACTGAAGGGAGAAAAAGACAGTTAAAATAATAGGAGGCCGGGCATAGTGGCTCATGCCTGTGATCCCAGCACTTTGGGAGGCTGAGGCGAGTGGATCACTTGAGGTCAGGAGTTTGAGACCAGCCAGGCCAACATGGTGAAATCCCATCTCTACTAAAAATTTAAAAATCATCTGGGTGTGATGGTGAGCACCTGTAATCCCAGCTACTGAGGCACAAGAATCGCTTAAACCTAGGAGGCGGAGGTTGCTGTGAACCAAGATCACACCACTGCACACCAGCCTGGGGGACAGAGGCAGACTCTGTCTCAGAAAAATAAAAAATTAAAAATAAAAAAAATTGGGCTGGGCGTGGTGGTTCACACCTGTAATCTCAGCACTTTGGGACGCCAAGGCGGGCGGATCACCTGAGGTCAGGAGTTCGAGACCTGCCTGACCAACATGGAAAAACCCCATCTCTACTAAATATACAAAATTAGCTAGGCGTGGTGGCGCATGCCTGTAATCCCAGCTACTTGGAAGGCTGAGGCAGGAGAATCACTTGAACCCAGGAGGCGGAGGGTTGCGGTGAGCCGAGATCATGCCACTGCACTCTAGCCTGGGCAACAAGAGCAAAACTCCATCTCAAAAAAAAAAAAAATTGAATACTTCTGTACTCCACTTTCAATAATAGATAGATCTACAAAGATAGGCCAGGTGCAGTAGCTCATGCCTGTAATCAATCGCAGCACTTCTGGAGGCCAAAGTGGTAGGATGCCTTGAGCCCAGGAGTTCAACACTAGCCTGGGCAAGACAGTGAAATCCTGTCTCTACAAAAAATAAAAAATTAGCTGGGCATGGTGGTGCATACCTGTAATGCCAGCTACTTCAGAGTTTGAGGGGGGAGGTGGAGGCTGCAGTGAGCCATAATCATGCCACTGTACTCCAGCCTGGGTGACATACACACACACACAAAAATTAAGTTAACGCCAGGCGTGGTGGCTCATGCCTGTAATCCCAGCAACTTTGGGAGGCCAAGGCAGGCAGATCACTTGAGGTCAGGAGTTCGAGACCAGCCTGCCCAACATGGTGAAACCCCATCTCTACTAAAAATACAAAAATTAGTTGGGAGGGGTGGCATGTCTCTATAGTCCAAGCTACTTGGGAGGCTGAAGCAGGAGAATCACTTGAGCCTGCAAGGCAGAGGTTGTAGTGAGCCAAGATCGCACCACTGCACTCCAGCCTGGGCAATAGAGCAAGACTCTGTCTCAAAAAAAAAAAAAGAAAAAAAAATTAAGTTAAATAAATAAAATAATTAATAAATTTAACAAAATCAGTACAAGATGTACACTGAAAATGAAAAAATATCACTGAAAAAAATTAAAGAGGCCAGGCGTAGTGGTTCACACATGTAAGCCCAGCACTTTGGGAGGCTGAGGTGGCAGATCACCTGAGGTCAGGAGTTTGAGACCGGCCTGGCCAACATGGCAAAACCCCATCTCAACTAAAAATACAAAAATTAGTGGGGCATGGTGGTGCACACTTGTAATCCCAGCTACTCGGCAGGCTGAGGCAGAAGAATCACTTGAACCCGGGAGGCAGAAGTTGCAGTGAGCCGAGATCATGCCAATGCACTCCAGCCTGGGCAACAAGAGTGAAACTCCATCTCAAAAAAAAAAGAAAGAAAGAAAAAAAGAAAAAAATTAAAGACCTAAATAAGTAGAAAAACATCCCAGATTCACGGATTAAAAAGACAATGTTATTAAGACAGCAGTACTCCCCCAAATGAGCTAAAAATTCAACGTAATCCTCTCAACATTCCCAGTAGGCTGTTTTGCAATTTTTTTTTTTTTTTTTTTTTGAGATGGAGTCTCGCTCTGTCGCCCAGGCTGGAGTGCAGTGGCGAGATCTCGGCTCACTACAAGCTCTGCCTCCTGGGTTCACACTATTCTCCTGCCTCAGCCTCCCAAGTAGCTGGGACTACAGGCGCCCGCCACCACGCCTAGCTAATTTTTTTGTATTTTTAGTAGAGACAGGGTTTCACCGTGTTAGTCAGGATGGTCTTGATCTCCTGAACTCATGATTCGCCCGCCTCGGCCTCCCAAAGTGCTGGGATTACAGGCATGAGCCACCGCACCCAGCCTTAACTAGCTGATCTTAAACTTTTTAGGAAAATTCAAGGAACCGAGAAGAGCTGCAACAATTTTAAAAAACAACAAAGCTGGGAAATTCATAATCCCCAATTTCAAAACTTACTGAAAACCTATTGTGATCAAGACTGTGGAACTGGCCTTTGAGACACAGATCAACAGAATTAAGAAACCAAAAATAGCCCAGGTATGGTGACTCACACCTGTAATCCCAGCACTTTGGGAGGCTGTGGCAGGAGGATCACTTGAGCCCGGGAGTTTGAGATCAGCTCGGGCAACATACTGAAACCTCATCTCTACAAAAAGAAAAAAAAGAAGAAGAAGAAGAAGAAAATTTAACCAGCTGAGAGTGGGTGGCACGTGCCTGTGGTCCCAGGTACTTGGGAGGTTGAGGTGGGAGGATCACTTAATACAGGAGTTTGAGGTTGCAGTAAGCTATGATTGCACCACTGTACTCCAGCCTAGTCGACAGCAAGACCTTGCCACTTAAAAGAGAGAGACCACAAACTAACCCATGCACTATGGGCAATTGCTTTTTTTGAGAATAATTCAAAAGGCAAAGTAGTGGTCTCAACAAATGCTGCTGGAACAACTGGATATTCACATGCAAAAGATGAATTTGGACCTCTACCTCACACCAGATACAAAACCTTAACTCAAATGGATCTAGTATGTATCATAAATAGTATAGGACTTTGGACTTAAAACCATTGGACCATTTTAAACTGCTGTCACTTTCACTGAACCTCTTCTTCCGCAAGTCTACAATTATTCATATAATCCAATTCAAAAAAAGTCATATTCATGTATGTACTTCTTACCCTGCACAAGCTTGCAGACAGGCCAACATTGTCGCCAAAGTTTCTGGAGGAAGTTGAGCACTTTTGGGCTGGTCTTTTTCTGGGGCAAGTCCGCCCAAAATAGAAGGACACCGTCTCTTTAAAAAAGTCATACACGCCTGGATAAAAGGCTCCTGAAGAATAGAAAAGTCTCTCAGTGTATTTAAAATTGATCTTAAATGTTTTTGGATTAAAGATAACTACTAAGCACTATAACTAAAATCCAAAATAAGTAACATCTTCATTGCCATTTAAAAAAGTTGTTTCTTTCAAATTTTTCTTTAGTTTATTACTGCTGCACAAATTTTAAAAGTTGTACTTGATAGCCATTTTAGCCACCAAAATTTAAGAGCAAAAATAAATGAACAAATCCTGCTTACCCCATGCTCTCGAATTTTATCTGTGAGCCACTTATCAAGTTTGAGGTATTCACGACGTGAAGCAAGTGCAGCAAGGTCAATAACAAAGGCAAATGGAGTACCATTTAGCAGCATTGACAAGGCCTAAAGGACAAAGCACATTAGATAATGCAAATGGAGCAATTAAGTAACTATCTCTGTCCCATATTCTGTTTTTCGCTTTCCACAAACAAGTTCAAATAAAACACACTGCTAATACTTCCTTGGTCACAATTTAAACAGCTAAGCACAATTCAGGGGTAACATTAGTCATTATTTTCTAAAATAATGATCACATTTTAAAGGTGAATACATGACACTACCTTCCAAACAAACTTTACCGTGCTCTTTAAAATAACTAAACCTAGAGCAGAACAAGACTCAAAGCATGAATAATTATCCCTACCCATTTTTCAAAATCTAAACACAGGCTTAAGCACAACTATATCACCAGTACATTAATGCACCTAGTGATTAATAATATAGAGTCTAGGCTGTACGTGGTGGCTCACGACTGTAATCCCAGCACTTTGGGAGGCCAAGGTGGGTGGATCACCTAAAGTCAGGAGTTCAAGACCAGCCTGGCCAACATGGTGAAACCCTGTCTCTACTAAAAATAAAAAAATTAGCCAGGTACGTTGGCAGGCGCCTGTAGTCCCAGCTACTTGGGAGGCTGAGGCAGGAGAATCACTTGAACCCGGGAGGCAGAGATTGCAGTGAGCCAAGAGGCGCCACTACACTCCAGCCTGGGCGACAGAGTAAGATTCTATCTCCAAAAAAAAAAGATATAGAGTAATTCATCAAAAGATCCTGTTGATTCTCACAGAGTTGCTTAAGGGAAGAAGCATGCCTAGTTTCCCCAAAAACTGTATCTAACATAACTTATGAGAAAAGCTAACTTTTCACTATAAAACAGCTTTACAATATATGGAAGACCAATCAAAAATAAAAACACTTTTATCTACCTAAAGCCACTCTCCTTCCTATCCTTTTTAAGAAACCTCTAAATCTCATCTCATTCTAGGAGCTAGTCACATGTGAATTATTCCTAGAGCATCTTTGTTACATAAGCATTTACTTTTTTTCCTTTTTTCTTTTTTTTTTGAGATGGAGTCTCACTCTGTCACCCAGGCTGGAGTGCAGTGGCACAATCTTGGCTCACCACAACCTCCGCCTCCCAGGTTCAAGCGATTCTCCTGCCTCAGCCTCCTGAGTAGCTGGGATTACAGGCACGCACTCCACGCCCGGCTAATTTTTCTATTTTTAGTAGAGATGGTGTTTCACCATGTTTTGGTCAGGCTGGTCTCGAATTCCTGACCTTGTGGATCCGCCCACCTCAGCCTCCCAAAGTGCTGGGATTACAGGCATGAGCCACCGCGCCCGGCCTTTTTTTCTCATTAGTAAATAAACTGGTGTCAGTCTGTCCCTCTGAACTCACCTTCAAGTCCTGGGCCACATCAAGTATTCGAGACAATTTGGCCTGATCATACTGCTCCCCTCTCATGTACCATTCTGCCATTGCATGCATGATAAGTTGGCGAATTGAGGGAGACTGTCCCTAAAAAGGGGAAGAAAGATTAAATAGCAATACTGCTAAACACTGTGATAGATATTATTACAAATGCCCAGTTAATTTTGCTAGAACTTGTATAAAAATCAGGTATACCTGTGCTGACATTAAGTTCAGGCCTCAAACTATGCAATTACCGTGACGTTCTTTATGGGAAAGCCAAGTTACCTCCACATATTCCAAATAAAGCCTGTTCCTAAACTTGGGTCATATAGTCATTCAACAAACTTATTTGTCCTATTTTAAGTCTGACTATCATTTTCAGAAACACAAATGTGAACTAGATTATGTGAACATGAGGTTACATCAAGTTTATATAATTACTTTAAATGCAAATTACTGGTATATAAATAAAAACAAAACAATTTAAGGTAACTATTTCTGATGTTGCACAGTATAGTGTTGGATGTATCACTACTTCTGGGAGTGGCGCCTGTACACACATTCTAAATCTTATTTCCACAAACAAGAATCTTTGATTTTTTTAATTCCATTTCTTTTTTTTTTTTTACTGGCAGGTAGCCTGGTTTTCAGAAACAACGATGAATGATGCAAATATCTAGAATTCAGTGAGTATTTATCATAGAAGCAACAGCAAGACCACTACTATTGCTATATCTAAGTAATATCCCAGTTAATTGTCCTAGAGTGGCAGATGGTCTGCTAGAACAAGTATTCAATCACAAGTGAGGAGATGCAGCTCGTTTACCAGCCCTTTCTACCTCACAGCTATGGTGAGAAAGGAATGAAGACCATCTGGACTGCAAATGCTTGGTTAAATGTTTATCATGCATTTTGTAAACTGTTAAAGTCTACAATGTTAATTGAGTCTCTAGGAAAGGAGGGGAAACTAACTGAATGACCTAGAACTAAGGCTAACATTTTTCACTTATAATAAAGAGCCTTATTTCACTAATTTGTAAAAAGCACTTGTATATAATATAAACTACTCCAAGTATGGGTAAAGGATAAAAAGTAGCTAAAAAGGGCACTCGGGGTAAAGGGGAAGAAAGTTTTTTTCTGCATGTATCATATAATGTAGGATATTAGCTTGGGAAACAGGGCAAGACTCTGTCTCTACAAAAATTCAAAAAATTAACCGGGTATGGTGGCATGTGCCTGTGGTCCCATCTACTTAGGATGGCTGAGGCAGAATGACTGACTGAGCCTGGGAGGTTGAGGCTGCAGTGAGACATGTTTGCATCACTGCACTCCAGCCTAGGTGACAGGGCAAGCAAGATCCTCTCTCTCAAAAAAAAAAAAAAAAGTAGGGGAGGGAAAAAAATCAGTGGACAAAAGAATACTTACTTGCCAAATACATTCTACAAAATTAGAGGTAAAAAGCACAGGGGCTTGAAAGGCATTTCAGCACAAACTGAAATAAAATGTAAATGTTGGATTTAGATAAATTAGAAAAGAGTGCTAATTAAAAATTGCTCTGTGATCTCTCATTTCTTGTGAACATATGACATCAATACCTTCTGCCTCCATGATAGATGTTTAAGCTCCTTCGCATAAAAAGGAAAGTGATGCCCTAGCAATACAGACCTTTCTTAATATTGAAATTATTAAATATTGGCCGGGTGTGGTGGCTCACACCTGTAATCCCAGAACTTTGGGAGGCCGAGGTGGGTGGATCATTTGAGGTCAGGAGTTTGAGACTATCCTGGCCAACATGGTGAAATCCCACTTCTATTAAGAATACAAAAATTAGCTGTGCATGGTGATGCACGCCTGTAATCCCAGCTCCACAGGAGGCTGAGGCAGGAGAATCACTTGAACCCAGGAGATGGAGGTTGCAGTGAGAAAGACTGCACCATTGCACTCCAGCCTGGGCGACAGAGCAAGACACCATCTCAAAAAAAAAAAAAAAAGGAAAGAAAATAAAATTATTAAATATTATTTTGCCTCCTTGCTTTTGGGATCTTGTATTTTATTGCTCACATGATTCTAAAAGATAAAACAAGTTTTATGACAGTATGACTTTTAAAGTCATAATAATTCAGAGATGTAAAAAAAAATTTCTCTGGTTGAGCTTCCTCAACACTCCAAAGAAGATCAATTATTCAGATGAAAAAATGGTAAGCACACGGTCACATCTTACCTGCCCATGCCATGCATAGTGCAAAATAATAGCTGAGTTAGGATGGTTTCCAAGGAAAATTGGCATCAGAGTGGAGATAAGTTCATGGCGCAAGGTATGCCAAGAGGTGTTAATTTGTAGTAAGGCCAATACCAGCATGTCTGGACAGTGTTTGATAGGGAAGCTGAAGAGCTGTTTGACTTGCTCATACTGCCCAACCTCTGCAAGCCTCAGCAGAGATTCAATCAAATCCAAGCTCTTCCTAACGAGAAAGGAAGAAACATGCTTTATCAATGAAAATCCAAGTATACAGATTAATTTTCAAAATAAGTGATACCAGCTTGTAAGCACAAAACCAAGTTGGTGTCATGTTTTAATATTAGAAGTTTGAAGTCCACAGCACTCTCTTTAAGAATTATTTTTGCCCCAAGAGGTTGAAACTGGTTGACTTTAACTGAGCCTGAAGATCTAACTCTATCCTCAGCCCATGAAAACCATGGGGATAGAGAATGAAGTAAACACCATGAGAAAACAGGTAAGAAAATAACATGGGGTAGACTAGAGAACAAATGCTGTATTTCTCTATCAAATCAATGGCAAAAAATAAATTTAAAAGACAGAACAAAGACAGATTTACAGAATAAAAGAAACTATGGACTGCGTCTGGATTCTCAATCATAGAAATTTTTAAAAGACATTTTTGAGCCAATTGGGGAACTTAAATGTAAATAACTACCTATATTAAGGAACTGTTATTTGTTAATGTGATAATGGTATTTAAGCTTTATAAAAATGGAAAGAGCCCTTTATCTGTTCAAATAAAATGAAGAAGAAACACTACTATATACACTAGACTCATAAGGAAAAAAATAAGCAATTTTTCAAATCTAATGTTGGCTACCACCTAAGAAAAGAACACACCACCACCAAAAAAAGTAAAGACAATTATTTGATCAATAACAGAAATGTGTTCTGGGAGGGTATAGATAGAAAAAAATTGAAGATACATTATGAACTAGATCCCTTTGGGGAACAATTCAGGCCGCGCTCTCTCCCTGTAGCCCTGCGTACTTCAAAAATGATCAAAGTACTTGTACCATTCTTTCTTCACACATTCACAGAGAGGAATGACGGGACAGAGTTCCAAGAGAAACCTGATATACACACCAGGCCGGACTAAGATTCTACCTCGAAAATTTGAAACTGGAACTCAGAGAAACTAGATACTTTAGCTGAAAAGCATTAGATTTGGCCAGGTGCTGTAGCTCACACCTGCAATCCCAGCACTTTGAGAGACCGAGGCGGATGGATCACTTGAGGTCAGGAGTTTAAGACCAGCCTTGCCAACATGGTAAAACCTCATCTCTACTAAAAATATAAAACTTAGCCCAGGGCGGTGGTGAGCACTTGTAATCCTAGCTACTCGGGAGGCTGAGGCAGGAGAATCGCTTAAACCGGGGAGGCGGAGGTTGCAGTGAGCTGAGATTGTGCCACTGCACTCCTGAGATTGTGCCACTGCACTCCAGCCTGGGCAACAGAGCGAGACTCCATCCCAAAAATATAAATAAGAAAAGAAAAGAAAACTATTAGATTTGACAGGTTGGCCACCTTGAGCAACTTACAAATAAAAAAAAAAAAAGGCATAAGCTCTACAGAGAAGAAATCTCAATACTAAGGGAGAAAGGAGGAAGTACAAATCTTTCCAACATTTGATACTTTCAGATTTGATGCTTTTAAAAGAACACCTAAAGACAGACCTTACAAGATATAACTAACGATAGAGACTGAAAAAGAATTTATCTACCAACCCCCTCTATAAATACTTAAGATAAGTAAGGTCACTAAAACTACTGCTTCATTTAAACCTGTTAACTATGTACTTGGCTTACTATTAACTTTATATTTCACAAAATAAGAAGTAATCTTTTAAATGAAAGATGAATCAAAGTGTTTACCATGTGGCAATTTCTCGATTGTCATCCTCTGGTGGTGCTTTCAGAATATCAGTGGCAACAGTATGACAGGGATAGTCAGCAAAACAGAAGATCTCTGGATTTATAAGGGAATGTTGAATGAAGGAGAGCTGCAATGAAAGAAAATGCTTACCACCATAAATGATTGTGAATGCTATAAAAATCTGAAATGTTTTCACTAGGCTATTGTCAATCTTAAGGTTATTAGCATGGCAATTTCCCGTTTAAAATCTTAATTATTTGCCCTTTGAAAACCACACATAATTCAGACACATTAAAGGTGCATAATGAAACCCTGTCTGGATTATCAATCATAACAACTGTTAAAAGACATTTCTGAGCCAATTAGGGAAACTTAACGTTGCCTTGGAAATGAACATCATTAAACTATTGGGAAAACACCTTGACTGTTAAAAGACATTTCTGAGCCAATTAGGGAAACTTAACGTTGCCTTGGAAATGAACATCATTAAACTATTGGGAAAACACCTTGACAGTTACACCTTAAAGGAGTCTGCCTAATACTAAAACTATGATAATATTCCTTCAATACTTATGGACAGTCCTTGCTTTTCTGTGCTATGTATAACAAATTCTACTTTACAAGAATATTTCGATCAATGGGTAGATGGCACTACATAAAGAATAAGTCATGTTTTATTCCCCCATCTATAGCTAAATACCACTTACTCACCTGGCCTTCAGCATGTTTCCAAGGTCTATATATGAGGTCTACTGGGAACACTTCCATACCCAAACCCCTCTGAATGCCATAAACCACATTATGAAGTCCTTTACTGTCACGAATTTGAAATCCAGGATGGTCCAGTTCATAAGTTACTTCCTTGAAATTCAAACTTGGATTCTAAAAAAGACCAAAGCAGTTTAAAATGTAATGAATGTGTGTATATTTTGATACATTATCCAAAAGGCCAAATTAAATCTGAAATTCAATTTAGATGTTCTACTTACAAAATTTTTAATGTGAATTTTAAGAAACCCATTCTTTTTTTTTCTTTTTTTTTTTTTAAGACAGAGTCTCACTCCGTTGCTCAGGCTGCAGTGCAGTGGCATGATCTCAGCTCACTGAAACCTCTGCCTCTTTGGTTCAAGAGATTCTCGTGCCTCAGCCTCCCAAGTATCTGGGATTACAGAAGTACACCAACATGCCCAGGTAATTTTTTAAAATTTTAGTAGAGACAGGTTTTCGCCATGCTGGCCAGGATGGTATCAAACTCCTGGCCTCATGTGATCCACCTGCCTCGGCCTCCCAAAATGCTGGGATTACAGGAGTGAGCCTCCACAACCGGCTTATCACACTACCTTTTAATATCTAAAAGTTCCATTCTAGAGCCAGGTGCAGTGGCTTATGCCTGTAATCACAGCACTTTGGAAGGAGGGCGCATTGCCTGAGGTCAGGAGTTTGAGACCAGCCTGACCAACATGATGAAACCCTGTCTCTACTAAAAATACAAAAAAAAAAAAAAAAAAATTAGCCAGGCATGGTGGCACAAGCCTGTAGACCGAGCTACTTGGGAGGCTGAGGCAGGAGAACTGCTTGAACCCAGGAGCCAGAGGGTGCAGTGAGCTGTGATCGTGCCACTGCACTTCAGCCTGGCCAACAGAGTGAGACTCCGTCTAAAAAAAACAAACAAAAACAAAAGTTCCATTCTAGGCCAGGTACAATGGCTCACGCTTGTAATCCCAACGCTTTGCTCCCAAAGGTGGGAGGATCACTAACTAGAGCCCAGGAGTTAAAGTCCAATATGGGCAACACAGCAAAAGGAAAAATAAATAGAGTTCAATTCCTTTATGTCTTATTTAAGCCCTTCAATATTTTAGTAGAGGTACTTTATTTTTTATTCAGTTTGCAACCGAAGTAGAAGTGGCAAGATAATTATGATTTTCACTGTTCTTATCCACCATAAACAAGAGTAACTTAGAAGTAGCACCCCAAATTACAAGGTAACAACCCTAATGAAAAAATTTAAATTTGGTTACGTACTGCCTGCAGTACACAATTAACTTGGACACTTTATTACTTTTTGAGTTAACGAAGGTGGAAAATTCTTAAAAATTTGCTTTCTTTGGACTATATCATTCAAATACCACAAATCAAAAATCATCATCACATATACTCACCAGTTCTTTAAGAACGTCAATCAAGACTTCTACATTCCATGTGTGTGCCTGTGCTCCATCACTTTTATCTTTCCCATCACTCCAGATCCCACTGCCCGGAGCAGAAATACTCTGTAGAAGTAAAACTTGAATTAAACAAACCCAACTACTCCATGTGTTCACTTCTGGTCGATAGAACAATCAATCATACTGTAATTTAATTAAAAAAAAATAAAGAGGACAGGACATTAACTCACTTGGTAAAATAGCTGAATTCAACACACCTGTAATGGAATGCCATCTGTTAATCCTGAATGAGTTCGAGCCATCATTCCCAAAACCCTTGCAACCTGGGCAGCTGTGACCTCCCGAACACCAAACTGCACGATTATATTGCGACATTCTTCAATACTGAAACAGAAATATAACTTCAGAAAAATGCTACCAGCCTCAACACCGAGATTGAGAAATTCTGGCATTAAATGAACCTTGTTTGAAAGCCTTAGTTTTACTAAATAAAACAGGCAGAGCAGTAAGTGTTATTTCTTGTTACATTTATACAGCTAGGAATGTAAAAACCATCTACTTCAGTAAGAAAATGGCAAAAGTCATTATTCTAAGTAACTCGGGAATGGAAAACCAAATATTGTATGTTCTCACTTGTTAGATGGGAGATAAGCTATGAGGATGCAAAGGCATAAGAATGATACAATGCAGTGGGCTCCCAAACCCCCTGCCATGGACTGTTATCAGTCTGTGGCCTGTTAGAAATCATCCACACAGCAGGAGGTGAGCAAGTATTTCCGCTTGGGCTCCACTTCCTGTGGAGTACAAGAGTACTGGAGTACAATGGCACAATCTTGGCTCACTGCAACCTCTGCCTCAGCCTCCCAAATAGCTGGGATTACAAGCATGCACCACCACGCATGGCTAATTTTTGTATTTTTAGTGGAGATGGGGTTTCACCACATTGGCCAGGCTGATCTCAAACTCCTGGCCTCAAGTGATCCACCCACCTCAGCCTCCCAAAGTGCTGGGATTACAGGCATGAGCCACAATGCCCAGCCTGAAAATTTTTTTAAAACAGGCAAACAATTTTAAAAAATCAGTGTAAGAGCCGGGTGTGGTGGCTCACGCCTGTAATCCCAGCACTTTGGGAGTCTGAGGCGGGTGGATCACGAGGTCAGGAGATCAAGACCATCCTGGCTAACACAGTGAAACCCCATCTCTACTAAAAATACAAAGAATTATCTAGGCATGGTGGCGCTCACCTGTAGTCCCAGCTGCTCAGGAGGCTGAGGCAGGAAAATCACTTGAACCTGGGAGGTGGAGGTTGCAGTGAGCTAAGATTGTGCCACTGCACTCCAGCCTGGGCAACAGAGCAACACTCCGTCTCAAAAAAAAAAAAAAAATTCAGTGGAAGAAAATAAGACTCATGAGTAATGCTCTCTTTCACAATAACAAAATTATCTTCAATCTTCTTTAAGATTTTAACATCCAAAGTGAGTTTTATTATTCTGATATGTACACAGCCTTGAAAATCCATCCTAACTTTTTTTTGTTAGTCTCGCTTTTTTTTGACGAAGTCTCGCTTTGTTGCCCAGGCTAGAGTGCAGTGGCACGATCTTGGCTCACTGCAATCTCCACCTCCTGGGTTCAAGTGATTCTCCTGCCTCAGCCTCCTGAGTAGCTGGGATTATAGGCACGTGCCACCACACCTAGCTAATTTTTGTATTTTTAGTATAGACAGGGTCTTCACCATGTTGGTCAGGCTGGTCTTGAACTCCTGACATCAGGTGATCCGCCCACCTCGGCCTCCCAAAGTGCTGGGATTACAGGTATGAGCCACCGTGCCCAGCCTGCATCCTAACTTTTCACTATGCATCTTATTCAGTTTGATTAACAAAAATTATATGCCAGGCACAAGTACAACACTCACAAATGCACTATTTCAAACCTCAGTGAGAATGTGATTTGTCTGAGAGTTTTTAAAACATAAGGATTTTTAAGTCAAAGCAAAGCACATTAATCCCCTTAATAATTTGCTTTTAGAAAAATATTAATAATCCAGTGTATCACAGTCTTAAGTGCTACTAACAGTGTGAAACAATATCCTTTGGTGCCCTAAGCAAGTGAGAAAAATACGCAAGAGGCAGAAAAGGAAGGAAGCCACAGAAGAAGGCAGAATGAAGAAATTAGAGGGGTGGGGGTCAGAGAGGAGAAAATTAGTCACATTAAGTGTAAAGCGATACAAGTTCCATAAACACTAACTTGCTTCAATGCTCTCTCTTCCTTCCAAAAGCCAAAATATGCCTATTGTGGCAACTAGCCTGGAAACCTCTGGCTCCTAATTTTGAGAAACTGGTGAGGGGAAGGAGATAAACATTTAACACCCAGGATGTTTACAGCTGTCACACACACTAGTTCGTGGAAGATTAAAATTTAGAAGCATGCCTCTTGAGAAGAAAAGATGATTAACTTTAAGGAATTTTAGAGACTTTTTTTAAAGAATTACATCATGTTTGGCACAAGAATAATCAGAAGCTTAACACATTTTACTACCAACCTTGCACAAAAGCCATAGCCTACTTCTTGCATGAAATCAGCCAAAGAGCTCTCCATCATGGTTTTAGCTACCCCTCCGGAATCAGGCAGGATCCTGTCCATTAGAATGTCCCGTTTTTCAGGGTATAAAAGTGGTGCGAGCACCACGGGACAGCGTTCTTGGGGAAAATCTGAGAGAGGAAAAAGGTTACAACTGCTATACTAATTAAAAACAAACAATCCTCTTTTGCTCTATCCAAAATCCCCTCAAACCCAATTCTCTCACAAGTTCATATTCAAAGCCAAGCTTATTTCATTTTTCCAGCCTACTAGCCGAAGTTACGACTTTAACATCAATTCCAAAATTTGAATACTTTTATATCACAAAAAATGCTCATCAGTGTACCTTTAACATTTGACACTGGCATTCCATCTACTGACCAATTCGTACCCTAAATATTACTTTAAATTTGCACAATAGGGCTATCACTTCCCATACAAAGAAAGCATCAAAAACAAACAATTAGAATATCAGTCTATTTATTTCACTGGCAAGTGGAAAGTTTCCCATTAGTGAGAATGTTAATGTACATTAAAATTAAACTCTATAAACATTAAGAAGTAAATAAAAGTAACCATGAGAATGGATGTTAATCCACTATCAGATTTGTTGTGAAAAGAATTCTTATCTTTCTCAAACATGAAAGCTCAGAGGCAACAAAATAACTAGGATTTATCTTAACTTTACAATGCCGATATCCAAGGAGGTGAAGTGAGCACATCAAAAGTGACCGATTTTTTAAGCTAAAAATAGCATGTAAGGCTAGGTATGGTGTCATGCTCGCCTGATCTTCCCAAAGTGCTGGGATTATTGGCCTGAGCCACTGTGCCCAGCTGATGTTGTCTCTTTTTTAAAAAGAGAAAGAGGCGGAGGGGAGGGGAGGCGAGGGGAGGGGGAGGGGGGAGAGGTGTGGGGGTGGGGGAGGGGGAGGGGAGGGGAAGGGGAGGAGAGGGAGAGGGGAAGGGGAGGGGAGGGGGAGGGAGGGGGAGGGGAGGGCAGGGGGAGGGGGAGGGAGGGCAGGGGAGGGAGGGGAGGGGAGGGCAGGGAGGAGGGGAGGGGAGGGCAGGGAGGAGGGGAGGGTGAGGGGAGGGGAGGGGGGAATGCTTTTGTGATGTGTCTGTGGTCATCCAAGAAAACCACCCACTGTAGGCTACAAAGACTCCCTTACCTCTGCGCAGCGTCTTAAGAAAAGCGTCTATCTGTTCTTGTCCAACTCCAAAGGCTCCCTTCTGCCCAAAGAGGAGATGGGAGAGGAGGAGGTGTAGGACCTCTATTGCTATATCTTGGAAGCCACCTTCTTGATTTCCACTGACGTCTGCGTCAATGTAAGAACGCAGAAGATCTGGAAGCTTCTGTTTGATAAACTGGGCAGCTAGAAGTCAGGTAAACCAAAAACCGCAAGTTACTTTTGCACCACAATGGGTTAAAAAGTCATATACCATCAAAATGCAGATAATCACCCTTCTCATTCACCAGTTCACCCATCTCTCTAATGCTTTCTCTAGCTGACAGGTATAAAGAAACCAATGGCCAGGGACTGGCAGTGGGGAGGGGAAAATAGAGAGTTGTTGATGGGCATAGTTCTGTTTGGCAAAATAAAGTTCCAGAGAGATGTTACACAACCTGAATACAATTATCCCTATGGAACTGTACACTTAAAGTGGTTATGAGGGTAACATTTATATTACATGTTTTTTACCACAGATAAAGAGAAATTAATTTCAGATTATCTTACTCTCTAAGTCTAAATCACAGAGCCTCATGATTAAAAACCCACGTATTTTAAAGTCTCACTTCGTGATATTTTTGGAAAAAGTAACTCACCGAAACCTCTAAGATCTGAGCTGGAAGAATTCAACAGGGCAAGGCCAAAAATTACCTGAAACAAGAAGGATTAGATTAACCAAAGAGTCAAATGGCTGTTTTTAATTCTAGTTTTGTCTACATCTCTTTTCATAAATCACTCACCTCTTGTACTTTGCTTAATTTGAGCACTTTACTCAGCTGGGCAAATAAGTGGGGTGCAGGCTTTAAACTCTGAAACAAACCAAATTTTAGTTTAAAATAAGAACTTACTTTTTCAAGAAGTTTTTAACAACCTATCTGTTTGCCCAAGGATGGCACTACATAGGAGTTGCTTAATTCTGTAGTGTTACTAGAAACATTACACTATGTCCTAAAACTGTGAAATGACAAACTTAAGCCTTCACATGATCTGGTTTTAGTAAGATTCTATTTATTATTAAATGAACTGCCTTGATTTTGTTACAAACTATAAAAGACACCCCAAAATAACAACCTGAAATTTTTATATTAAGACATCACATTATGAGATCAAGGCTTAGGGACTTTTTAGAAAGCCTAAGGAGAGATCACACTCTTAAAGATAATAGTAATACCAACCTTCTGATAGTGCAATGGATTATCAATGGCATAGGACAGCGTCGAGATAAAATTTGGCTTTGTAATCAGCAACGCACACTCCTGAATCAGAAACTGAGTCTTTAAAAATAAAAAATGATTTTCATTAGCACTAATCATCATCTAAGAACAAACAGAAGCTGAGGTACTCAGAACATTAAAATGTGATCTAACACTATATACTGTTATATATTATCAAAATCGGCTCTTTAAAAATCTCGCCAGGTGCGGTGGTTGACAACCGTAATCCCAGCACTTTGAGAGGCCAATGCAGGTGGATCACCTGAGGCCAGGAGTTCAACACCTGCCTGGCCAACATGGTAAAACCCTCTCTCTACTAAAAATACAAAAATTAGCCAGGCCTGGTGCCAGATGCCTATAATCTCAGCTACTTGGGAGGCTGAGGCAGGAGAATCGCTTGAACCCAGGAGGCAGAGGTTACAGTGAGCCACCACACTCCAGCCTGGGTGACGAGAGAGAGACTCTGTCTCAAAAACACCCAAGGTAAAAGGAACCAGGAAATAAAAAAAGATGTAAAGAAAGTTATAAAAATAGAGTTTTTTAAAAAAAAAACTCATTACACTACTCAAAGTCTATTAGCAGCAAAACTTCCAGAAAATAAGAGCTCATTGACAAGATTACTGTAAGAAACAGTATTATGACAAACTCTTGCCAGATGGGGAATAAAGCTAGAGATTCAATCCAGGACATGAGATCTCCTCTGCCTTACTAACTTTTCAGGCAGGGAACCCTCACATTCCTGCTTCCTTCAGGCAGGTCTGATCCCTACCTCTCTAAACCTGAACTAGGTAGCTGTTATAGTCTACAGCCAGGCAGAAGGGACGCACAGAAAAAAAAGGAAAAATCTAACACCTTTTCACCATCCAGCTACAATCACTTCCGGATGCTATTTTGTACGTGTCATATGCTACATACACTATGCCCAAAATTCATTTAACAATTACAGCTAAGTGGACATGAACTCTGTAAGCCCCAAATACCTGATGGAAATCTTTGCCACTGCTTTTACCATCGCCACTGAAATCCACATGCGAAAATAGGCAGCGTAATAAATGCCTGTCTGCCTCAGGACCGTGCCGATTCACAATCTAAAATGACCAAAAATAACATGTTTAATAAGGGAAGATAAAACAAAAAAAAAAAGTAAGGTTTCAAAAAAGAAAATCAACCTCCAAGGCAAAATTCCAATTTACATTAGTTACTCATTTTTGAATTAAAGTTAAAGGAATTATTGATGGAAGTGCCCATAATTTATAACTCAATTTTTTTTTTAGAGAGGGTCCATATTGCCCAGGCTGATCTCCAACTCCTGGACTCACAGCGTCTTCTCGCTTCATCCTTCTGAGTAGCTAAGATCACAGGCATACACCACTGCTTCCAGCTGTAATTCAATATTATAAAAATGTTTCCTGGGCCGGGTGCAGTGGCTCACGCCTGTAATCCCAGCACTTTGGGAGGCCGAGGCTGATGGATCACCTGAGGTCAGGAGTTCAAGACCAGCCTGGTCAACATGGTGAAACCCCGTCTCTACTAAATATACAAAAATTAGCCAAGCATGGTGATGGGTGCCTGTAACCCCAGCTACTCGCGAGGCTGAGGCAGGAAATCACTTGAACCCGGGAGACAGAGGTTGCAGTGAGCTGAGATCGTGCCATTGTGGTCCAGCCTGACCAACAAGAGTGAAACGTCGTCTCAAAAAAAGAAAAAAAAATTGTTTCCTATAGTCAGTCACTGGCAGGAAGAGAAGAAAAACTACAGTAATTTTACCATGCAACTCTGTACTTTGCTCAACATCTACACCAAAAACACCACATGGCATTGATCAAATGTGTAACAAAAGGTTTTTTTTTAAGGCAACAATTTTACGTAACTCAAATTCTCTCTGCTAACACAGCTGTAATGCTACGTGGCACAGCCTTAAATGAAGCTGCCATAAGATCCGACTTCAGTGATTTAGATGCTGCCCTTGAGCTCAGTTTCCTGCCCTTCCTCAAATTTACCCATGTTTGTTTCTATTTGTTATTCTTTCTAAATGAAAAACTCCAGATGGCTATACATGGTTTGTTCTTTCACTTCATTTAGGTTTCTACTCTAAAGTCACCTTATCAGTGAGGTCTTATTACCATTCCTAAAACAGAAATATGACCTGCCCCAGCATCACTCCTTATTCTGCTTTACTTTTTCTCCATAGCATTTACCACTACCTGCTAATTTGTTTATTGAAATTTTGTATAGCTGTGTTCACTTCTGCACATCTAGTCTAGAAAATAATTGAGCACAGTGTATGTGCAGAGTAATCACGTTTGCTAAGAGCCACATACTACCTACACGTTGGGCTACATATTGCACTGAGCTTTCCTGGCTTAATCTTCAAAAACTGCTAAAATTTACCACCATCTATCCCCACGGATAAGGGGTTGACATATTTAAAACAGACTCCTTGAGCCTAAAATCCAAGTCTATGAGTTGAAGAATCTGGATTTATAGTCCAACTTCAAAGCCTATGATCTTCCCACTATATCATGATAATAACATGAAAGCTGTCTAAGTTCTTAGCTTATTTCAGTTTCCCTTCTCTTCATTCAGAAAATATGGAAGTTAAGAAAGACCATCTCTACCAAAAAAAATAGCTAGGCATGGTGATATACACCTATAATTTCCAGCTACTTGAGAGGCTGATGTATGAGAATCGCTTGAACCCAGGAGGCGGAGGTTGCAGTGAGCAGAGATTGCACCACTGCACTCCATCCTGGATGAGGGAGTGAGACTCTGTCTCCAAAAAAAAAAAAATAGAACAGAGTCTGGGTGCAGTGGCTTACACCTGTAATCCAAACACCTTGGGAGGCTGAGGCAGGAGGATCACATGAGCCCAGGAGTTCAAGGTTACAGTGAGCTATGATGGTGCCACTGCACTCCCACCTTGTGGGGACAAAGCAGCACCCTGTCTCAATAAAAAATAAAACAAAAAAGAACAGAATTAACTATGATCCAATTAACCAGATCTCTCACCCTTGAAAAAATACAATAATCTGGTTCAACCTACACTTGCTGAGTATATGCTACGTACTAGTCTAGGTGTAAACACAGCAGCAGAGACTAATAGGTTCCAAATTCTCACAAAGTCAATTTTTGTGGGAGAAGTACAGGCAAAGAATTTCTGACAACATTATCTGTTAACAAAAAGAAAGTAAAACAGAGCTTGCTAACATTGATGCAGGCGGTTACCTCAGAGAAGCCTTCTAAGGTGAGACCTGTGAGCTGAGACAACCATAGATACAGGTGAAGAAAGAACAATCCAGGGAGAAGGAAAAACCTAGAGTGCAAAAGCACAGAGACAGAAAAGAACTCTGAAGATCAGAAAAAGGGTCAGAGGGAATCAGAGGGCCAGATCATGGTTAATGAATACACTGACTTGTCTGAGACTGTGTTATCAACCTAAAAAAATAGAAGGCACATTTCATCACACAGTCAATGGCCAAAGAATAAAAAAGTTTCAAGTTTTTGTTTCACTAGGATCAGCAAAGATTTACTAAAATCCCGTTATCCTTACATTTGTTTCTGTAACTCTTAATTTTTTTCCCATGCAGATTATACAATAAAAACCTGCAATGAATATTTTTAAGAGGCAGAATATGTTTTCAAATTTAACTATGCGCCGGACTCGGAGGCTCATGCCTGTAATCCCAGCAGTTTGTGGGGCTGAACTGGGCGGATCACCTGAGGTCAGGAGTTCGAGACCAGCCTGACCAACATGGTGAAACCCCATCTCTACTAAAAATACAAAAATTAGCCGGACGTGGCGGCATGCTCCTGTAATCCCAGCTACTCAGGAGGCTGAGGCTGGAGAATCGCTTGAACCCAGGAGGCAGAGGTTGCAGTAAGCCAAGATCATACCATTGCACTCCAGCCTGGGCGACAAGAGCAAAACTCCGTCTCGAAAAAAAAAAAAAAGTTAACTATGGGATACTCCATTATTCGTGTGGCACATAGGTTTGATACACTCTAAGTCTTAATCCTCCCTCATGTCTTCTTTAGGTCAAATAGTGCCTACCATTCCATATGATTTTTTTTCAACCATTCCATATAATTTTCGAAATCTCTGACATCATAGACTTATTTGCTAATGTCCCTCCTAATATGTGGCTCCTAGATCACAATGTTTTACTACAGCCATAAATCGAAACATTATAGAAATATTGCCAAAAGCCCTTGATATACTTAATTTTTCATATATTAAGATTTTGCTACCAGATTTTAAGCTGTTTAATACAATTTTTTAATTATTTTACTCGTCTCCCCTTCCCAACTGGTAGAATGGTTTCTATTTTAAGCAAAAAAGTGTAGGGCTTAATTTTAGAGGATAAATATAATCTTAACATCTTTGTAACCCAAGATTTTGTTTATAAAATAGTTTTAGAAGAAACAGTTGCTCCTGGTGAGGAGCAGACAGCATGGCAGCATAGAAGAAACATTCCATTC
Organism: Homo sapiens; assembly: GCF_000001405.40. NCBI lineage: Eukaryota > Metazoa > Chordata > Mammalia > Primates > Hominidae > Homo > Homo sapiens. The sequence continues at coordinate 58,592,298 of NC_000016.10, forward strand.
ACAGCCATAAAATGTTTGTCTTTAATTACTGCAAAACTGACTTAAAAAAAAAAATCTTCCCTATTAACACGGTATTAAAAATACTGAGTGGCTGTAAAAGCAATTGTTAAATTAGAAAGTTATTATATAAACAAGCTGGGTGTGGTGGAGCACAGCTATAGTCCTAACTACTGGGGAGGGTGAGGCAGGATGATCACTTGAGGCCAGGAGCTGGAGGTTGCAGCGTGCCATGAATGTGTCTGTGAACAGCCACTGCATTCCAGGCTGGTCAACACACCAAGACTCCATCTCCCTAAAACAAACAAAGTAGTCCAGAGAGGTCCTTCTTACCACCTCTAAAAATGGGCCAAATTCAGATTTCTCTTTGAAACTGATAAATTCAGAAATTAAAATGTTTAGGACCGACAAATGCCCCAAAACATACAAATATCCTCTGTTCAAGTGATGAATCTGCAACACCAATGAGCCATGAAAGAAAAAAGTTGTCCATTTAGAGACCCACATCAGCCCACAGAAATAGCAGAATGGTCAAGAGTATAGAGCTGAGGGAAGAATCAAGATCAAGATATCATTTAAATATCTGTGATTAACCATCTAGCCAAAGGAGTGTGCCGGAAAAGCAGAATGCAGAAGAGGAGGCGGCAACCATTACCAAAGCTGAAAACAGAAAGGGGAGACTACCCTCAACATACTCCTCACCCTCAAGCATGCCCAAGATTGTTGATGTGAATAAATAATTGGGTCAATTCAAAAGTAAAAACACAAAGAATCAGGATGGAACCTATTTTAAGAAACTGTAAAACAAACAGCAAAAACAAAACACAGGTTAAGAATACATATTTCGGCCAGGCGCGGTGGCTGATGCCTGTAATCCCAACACTTTGAGAGGCTGAGGAGGGCGGGATCTCTCGAGGTTAGGATTTTGAGACCAGCCTGGCCAACATAGTGAAACCCAGTTCCTACTAAAAATACAAAAAATTGGCCGGGCGCAGTGGCTCACACCTGTAATCCCAGCACTTTGGGAGGCCAAGGCAGGCAGATCACCTGAGGTCGGGAGTTCGAGACCGGCCTGACCAACATGGAGAAACCTCGTCTCTACTAAAAATACAGTATTAGCTAGGCATAGTGGCACATGCCTGTAATCCCAGCTACTTGGGAGGCTGAGACAGGAGAATCGCTTGAATCTGGGAGGTGGAGGTTGCAGCGAGCGGAGATCGTGCCATTGTACTTACTCCAACCTGGGCAACAAGAGCGAAACTCCGTCTCAAGGGAAAAAAAAAAAAAAAGTTAGCCAGGCATGGTAGCACATGCCTGTAGTCCTAACTACTCAGGAGGCTGAGGCAGAAGAACTGCTTTAGCCCAGGAGTTTGAGGAGATGATGATCTTGCCACTGCATTCCAACCTAGGCAACAGAGTGAGACTCTGTCTCAAAAAGTAAGTGAGGAAAAGTTAAATTAAACAAATGTTGATAGCAACCATATTCACAGTAGCCAAAGAAAGCAGAAGCAAAACTAAATATCCATCAACTGATGATACAGATACACAAAATATGAAATATCTATATAGTAGAATATTATTTAGCCATAAAAAGAAATGAAGTACTGATACATGCTACAATACAGATGAATCCTACTTGAAAACATTATATTAAATGAAAAAAGGCAAGGCCAGGCATGGTGGCTCACGCCTGTAATCCCAGCACTTTGGGAGGCCAAGGCGGGCAGATCACCTGAGGTCGGGAGTTCAAAACCAGCCTGACCAATATGGAGAAACCCCGTCTCTACTAAAAATACAAAATTAGCTGGGTGTGGTGGCGCAGGCCTGTAATCCCAGCTACTCAGGAGGCTGAGGCAAGAGAATCGCTTGAACCCGGGAGGCGGAGGTTGCAGTGAGTGGAGATCATGCCACTGTACTCCAGCCTGGGCAACAAGAGCGAAACTCCATCTCAAAACAAAAAAACAAAAACAAAAAACAAAAAAAGAAAGCCAGACACAGAAGGCCACATACAGTACGATTCCATTAAATACGCAAATGCACCAAGGCAGAAATAGAATAGTGGTCACTAAGGGCTAGACAGAGAAGGAAAAGGAAAGTGACCGCAAATGAACCCAGGCATTTCTTCTGGAGGTAATGAAAATGTTCTGAAATTAGATAGTGGTTATGGTTGCACAACTTTGTGAATCTGAAAAACTACCAAATTATATATTTTAAAAGGGTGAAATCTGGCCAGGCGTGGGGGCTCACGTCTGTAATCCCAGAATTTTGGGAGGCTGAGGCGGGTAGATCACATGATGCCAGAAGTTTGAGACCAACCTGACCTACATGGTGAAACCCCACCTCTCTTAAAAACAAAAATAAGCCAGATGTGGTGGTGCACGCCTGTAATCCCAGCTACTGGGGAGGGAGAGGCTTGGAAATCACTTGAACCCAGGAGGCGGGGATTGCAGTCAGCTGAGATTATGCCACTGCACTCCAGCCTGGGAAACAGACCAATACTGTCTCATTAAAAAAAAAAAAGAAAAAGAAAAAGAAAAAAAGGCTAGGTACAGTGGCTCACGCCTGTAATCCCAGCACTTTGGGAGGCTGAGGCAGGTGGATCATGAGGTAAGGAGTTCAAGACCGGCCTGGCCAAGATGGTGAAACCGTCTCTACTAAAAATACAAAAAAATTACCCGGGCATGGTGGCAGGCACCTGCAATCTCAGCTACTTGGGAGGCTGAGGCAGAGAACTGCTTGAACCCGGGAGGCGGAGGTTACAGTGAGCCGAGATCACGCCACTGCACTCTAGCCTGGGTGACAGAGTGAGACTCCGTCAAAAAAAAAAACAAAAAAGGTGAATTTTACAACCTATGGATATTTCATTTTTTTAATGTGAAAAATAAAGGAACCAAAAAAGAAAAAAAAGAGGAACCAGACCAAAACAAGTCAGATCACATTTTATAATTTTAGAGACAAGTCACAGCATTTTGTTCAAGTTAATCCATTTCATTCAATAATCTACCATATTGTTCCCCGCACCACTATTACTGTCACTATTTCTCTTTGGAGATGACCAGGTTTTTAAAAATCTGGCTTGAATTTCCATAATGCCTAACTCTATGATCAAAACTATTTTTCCATCTCAAAAAAAAAAAAAAAAAAAAACTCCATCTAAAAAACAAAACAAAAAAATTCCTTACCAAAAAGCAACCCCTTAATCACAAGACAGACAGAGGGAAAGATTAAGATATATTTGCATAAATTTATCTTCACTAGAAACAATTCATAGTCCACAACCATTCAGGGTTGTGTTTACTTGGGGACTTTATTTTGGGGAGGGGGTTCTCATAAATGTTTGCTTAATAAAAATAACCTGCCCCACTGTATCATGGAAGGGAAATGAGGACTAGTCCCCAGAGAAAAAGCAGGCCATCCTCCAGGGAAGGGGCCCTAATGACTCCTAGGGGTGACAGAGTCAGTGATCCTGCCTCTCTAACCCATCACCAGTAATAAAGTATAACCAGGTGAATGGGAGAGGCAGTAACTAGCCAGACAACCCATGGGCCAGAATTTCTAAAACAGGAATGCTTTTGTGTTTAAGTCAGAGGTGGAAAGATACTTTTGAAGAAAGTTACGGAGAATAAAAAAGTGTAAAAAGGATAAAGGTTTTTCACCAGGGAATCCACAGAAAGGTATCAAAGGCAGTCTTGTGCTTTTCTTTTGGGATGAAGGTACCGCAAATGGGTTGTACAATTTTCACATAAAAACTGGAATGATACTGAACAAGTGAAATTGAAATCAGTTTCCCTCCTTTGTTCAATAAACACTGACAGCACCTGTGTGCAAGGCAGTGGGACAAGTGCTGAAGGGAAAAGTAAAGCTGTCTAAGATGTGGCCCTGAGCTGAAGGAGCAATCTAGCAGTGCCATCAGACCCCTGCACACTACAGAGCATGGTGTCAGGGGCCAAATGGAGGGAAGGACCACTTCTGGCTGCAGCATCCAGGAGGCACTCTGCAGTCCTTCCTTCTAGGTTCTCGGCATATGCTCCATGCCTGTGTGACTGCTCAGCCTGCCCTGTTCCGGACACTTGCTCATCTTCCTTATCTTTCTCTGTAGCATGAGAAATGTAAGTTTGAAAGGACAAAATTCTGCCTCACAGGTACCTAACAGAAGTGTGTGGAATTGATGTACGATGGAGTGTCACTTTATCTCGTTCCAGCAAGGTAGGAAAAAAAATTGGGAAAAGACAGGTAAACAGTGGTGGTGAGGGCAAGGTGTTTTCATCAGAAGGTGGGGGCAAAGGTATACATACTAAAAAGTCAATTTACCGCTGGGCACAGTGGCTCATGCCTGTAATCCCAGCACTTTGGGAGGCCAAGGCGGGCGGATCACAAGGTCAGGAGATTGAGACCATCCTGGCTAACACGATGAAACCCCGTCTCTACTAAAAATACAAAAAAATTAGCCGGGTGTGGTGGCGAGCGACTGTAGTCCCAGCTACTCGGGAGGCTGAGGCAGGAGAATGGCGTGAACCTAGGAGGTGGAGCTTGCAGTGAGCCAAGATCGCGCCACTGCACTCCAGCCTGGGCGACAAAGTGAGACTCCGTCTCAAAAAAAAAAAAAAAAAAAAAAAAAAAAAACAAAAGTCAATTTAATATGTGGCTTACCCCAGAGGACACAAGGGTCCTGACAGTCAAGGACCATAAGAAGGTAGCTGGAAGTCCTCTTGCCAAACAGGACTGAACAGCTAAAATCTTTAAATCTTTTTCTATTTCTTTTTTATCAACTGGTCTATTCAAGCTCAACCAGGGCATTTAAAAAGAAAAAAAAAAAAAAGGACTAAGTAGCTTAAATAGCTTTGAAGGACAATTTCTAGAAAGTAGAAAGATCAGCCAGGCGTGATGGCTCATGCCTGTAATCACAGCACTTTGGGAGCCTGTAATCACAGCACTTTGGGAAGCCGAGGCGGGCACATGGCCTGAGGTCAGGAGTTCGAGACCAGCGTGGCCAACATGGTGACACTCCATCTGTACTAAAAATACAAAAAATTAGCTGGGTGTGGTGGTGGAAGCCTGTAATCCCAGCTACTCGGGAGGCTGAGATAGGAAGATTGCTTGAACCCAGGAAAAGGAGGTTGCAGTGAGCTGAGATCGCGCCACGGTATGCCAGCCTGAGTGACAGAGTGAAACTCTGTCTCAAAAAAAAAAGAAAGAAAGTAGGAAGATCACTGAATAAACACTGCACCACCCTCCTCAACACAAAAAAAAGTTGAGAATGAATGTAAAAGTGTAAAGAAAACTTTCAGCTATCTTCAGGTTTGTGTTTGGCACTTTGATCTGTAAGCAATCAACATGGAGAGATGCTATGCCAAAGAGGAAAGTCTGCAGGAACCATACAAGGACTCTCCCACATGACTCAGCCAGGCAAGCCAATACCCACTGCACAGGAGGGTGTGATGGTGGCCCACCAAGTACTGAGTGAAGGAGTCCAGGGGCCCAAGGCTCTGATAAAGGATACTCCAAGGCCAAAAGACAACCCATGTGAAGCAGTCGAGCCCCAGGACCATGACCAGCAAGGGCAAGGGTCTGGCTGGACAGAAGTAGGTGGCAGCTGCACTGCTGGCTTCCAACTTCACTATCATGAAAAACCCAGACATGAAGTTCGTTGGGGAGCCATCCCCAACCCTGTTTAAGAAAAGCCTGGGAGCTAGGCGCAAGAGCTCACGCCTATAATCCCAGCACCTTGGGAGGCCAAGGCGGGCAGATCACCTGAGGTCAGGAGTTCAAGACCAGCCTGGCCAACATGGTGAAACCCCATCTCTACTAAAAATAAAAAAATTTGCCGGGCGCAGTGGCTCACACCTGTAATCCTAGCACTTTGGGAGGCCGAGGCAGGCAGATCACCTGAGGTCAGGAGTTCAAGACCAGCCTGGCCAACATGGTTAAACCTCATCTCTACTAAAATACAAAAATTAGCCGAGCATGATGGTGTGTGCCTATAATCCCAGCTACTCGGAAGGTTAAGACAGGAGAATCGCTTGAACCTGGGAGATGGTGGTTGCAGTGAGCTGAGATTGTGCCACTGCACTCCAGCCTAGGCAGCTGAGCAAGACTCCATCTCAAAAAAAAAAAAAAAAAAAAAATTAGCTGGGTGTGGTGGTGGGCGCCTGTAGTCCCAGCTACTAGGGAGGCTGAGGCACGAGAATCACTTGAACCCAGGACAAGGAGGTTGCAGTGAGCTGAGATCGCGTCACTGCACTCCAGCCTGAGCGACAGAGCTCAGGCTCCTCCAGGAGGCAGAGATTGCAGTAAGACAAAATTGCACCACTGCACACGAGCCTGGGCGACTCTGTCTCAAATAAAAAAAAAAAAGTAAAGAAAGGAAAATCCTAGCTAGCAGGTTTCTCAGGGCCCTGAGCACCAGCCCAAAGCCAGGTCAGACCTATTTTATAATTTCTATGGAAAATAAAAAGCTGTGAAAAATCTTTTTAAAAAAAAGATTGGGCTGGGCGTGGTGGCTCACGCCTGTAATCCCAGAACTTTTCGAGGCCAAGGCGGATCACTTGAGGTTGGGAGTTTTAGACCAGACTGACCAACATGGTGAAACCCCGTCTCTACTAAAAATACAGCCGGGCATGGTGGCACATGCCTGTAATCCCAGCTACTCGGGAGGCTGAGGCAGGAGAACTGCTTGAAACCAGGAGGCAGAGGATGCAGTGAGCCGAGATCATGCCACTGCACTCCAGCCTGGACGACAGAGTAAGACTCTGTCTCAAAAAAAAAAAAAAAAAAAAGATTGGGCTAAGAGCTCTTTTACAGATGATGATGACAGAAATCACTTGAATTAAGGGGCAAAAGTTAGTTACCTTTCATGCAACATGCCCACATAAATGTGTGGTTTTCTTTCCACTGTCTACTCATTCCTTTAATGGCACTTGTTTTCTGGCTAGTTTACTTACATGCTGTATTTCCTGCTGGCTGGCTCGGTAATTTTTCTTGGTTAAATTGTCCACCAGGTAGCTGATTTGAGACAAGGCCAGCGAGAGCGAGTCAAGATTCATTGCTGGTTGGGGCGGAAGCAGGCGGCCGAGCCCGGCGCAAAATCACCATTATTCCCCTTTAGTCACCTCAGAGGCAGGTTAATGCTTTCTTTGTAATTAGGCTATATCTGGTATCTGTATAATATCTTCAGTTCTTCTTTACCAGGGGTCTTACTCTGTTCTGAAACATGGCACCTGTTTAAAAAAACACACACACACAAATCCAGATTTTTAAATTAAAAGGAAAAAGGAGGCTGGTCCAGGCGCAGTGGTGTTTACAACTAATTGATCACAACTAGTTGCAAATTAATAATTAGAAGAGAATAGGGTTAAACTACCATCGTCTCTGTGTTAGTACCTAAAATGTTACTAATGACTCTAAAAAGATAGTAAGGTAGCTCAACCACTGTTGATAAGAAATGCCAGGTTTCTCAATTAGGCAGGGCAAGTATAAAAAGAAAATACATGGCTGGGTGTGACGGCTCACACCTGTAACCCCAGCACTTTGCGAGGCCGAGGCAGGCAGATCACAAGGGCAGGAGTTCGAGACCAGCCCGGCCAACATGGTGAAACCCGTCTCTACTGAAAATACAAAAATTAGCCAGGCATGGTGGTGCACGCCTGTAATCCCAGCTACCCAGGAGGCTGAGGCAGGAGGACCGCTTGAAACTAGGAGGCAGAGGGTGCAGTCAGCTGAGATCGCGCCATTGCACTCCAGCTCTGGGCAACAGAGCAAGACTCCAACTTGGGGGAAAAAAAAATATGCCTGTAATCCCAGCACTTTGGGAGGCCAAGGCGGGTGTGGATTGTCTGAGATCAGGAGTTCGTGACCAGTCTGGCCAACATGGTGAAACCCCGTCTCTACTCAGAATACAAAAAAATTTGGCCAGGCATGGTGGCGAGTGCCTGTAATCCTAACTACTCGGGAGGCTGAGGCAGGGGAATTGCTTGAACCAGGTGAGCCGAGATCATGCCACTGCATTCCAGCCTGGGTGAGAAAGTGGTACTCGGTCTCAAAAAAAGAAAATACTCATCCAAAGAGTTTCATTTTAGTAAGACAACTTGTAACACTTAAGATTTCTATTTTACCTATTTCAAAATAATTTCTACTATACCCTTTGGAAGCAGCAAGTGGAAACTTACTTAAAATTAAGGTTTGTGGAAGGAACATTCATCTCTCATTTTCAGACTCTCTTTCCATGGTATCTGCGACCTATTTATAAGACACTATGTATTCACTTTATTCTTTATGTTACTGCTTCAGAATCAGGTAGTTTGGTCTTATACCTTGGGATGTATGTTTTAGGTATTTGAATGGCTGTACAGGTAAGGAACTCCAGAAGCCAAATTGCTTCCTGCATTGCTGAAACTGTTCCCTGGGAGAATTCAGAAAGGGAAGCCCAAAGCAGCAGTACAGCTAAAATGACAGGATTATTATCAGTTTAACTCCAACCACCTGCTGAGTGAGAACTATTCTGTATAGAAAAGACAAATGTGGCTGTGCAGTGGCTCATGCCAAAGTGTTGTAATCCCAACACTTTGGGAGGATGAGGTGGGAGATGGGAGGATTGCTTGAGGCCAGGAGTCTGAGAAAAGCCTAAGCAACATAGTGAGATCCCATCTCTATTCTGTTGTTGTTGCTGTTGTTGTTGTTTTTGAGACAGTTTCACTCTTGTTGCCGAGGCTGGAGTTTAATGGCACGGTCTCAGCTCACTGCAACCTCAGCCACCTGGGTTCAACTGATCCTCCTGTCTCAGCCTCCCAAGTAGCTGGAATTACAGGCAACAGCCACCATGCCCAGCTAATTTGTTGTGTTTTTAGTAAAGAAGGGGTTTCGCCATGTTGGCCTGGCTGGTCTTGAACTCCTGACCTCAGGCGATCCACCTGCTTCGGCCTTCCAAAATGCTGGGATTACAAGCATGAGCCATGGAGCCCACATCCTGGCTAGTTTTTGTATTTTTAGTAGAGACAGGGTTTTGCCATGATGGCCAGGCTGGTCTCTTAACTCCTGAGCTTGTGATCCGCCCGCCTCGGCCTCCCAAAGTGCTGGGATTACAGGCGTGAGCCACTGCGTCCAGCCACAACACCCATTTTTTAAGAAATTCACCAAGAACCACTGAAACACAAAAATCTCTGAAGGAAAGGAGCTGAGCTTATCCACAGCTTCCTGTTCTGAAGTCCGCTTGTAATTTCATTACAATCAAAACTCACCATGTAAGATGCAGGAAACTCAGGAAGATTAAAACCCCTTTAAAAGGCCATTTAAAACCTTTATCTCTAACAGTTTCTTAATGTATAAAGGTTACACACTTTTATCAAGACAAAGCAAAGTTAACAGCTTCTTAATGTATAAAGGATACATAGTTTTATGTACACAAATCAAAGGTTCTACATATGCTAGTGCTCCATACCCACCTTAAAAAAAAAAAAAAAAAAAAGCCTGTGCACGGTGGCAAACACCTGTAATCCCAGCACTTTGGGAGGCTGAGGCAGGAGGATCGCTTGAACCCAGGAGTTTGAGGCCAGCCTGGGCAATATGGCGAGACCCTGTCTATTAAAAAAAAAAAAAAGTAAAATATTTTTAAGTAAATAATAAAAAGATGATGGATACACTTATTTTGTTCCTAATATGGCATTTTACTGGTCTCTCTAGTCTACTCTGATGACTTTTGGCTTCACAATATTGGAGTCCTTGAACTTTTCTTCTCTAGATTCACTTTCTTAGTAATCTACTTCAGTCCTTTTATTTTTTTTATTTTTTATTTTTTTGAGACAGAGTTTCGCTCTTGTTTCCCAGGCTGGAGTGAAATGGCACAATCTTGGCTCACTGCAACCTCCACCTCCCAGGTTCACACGATTCTCCTGCCTCAGCCTCCCAGGTAGCTGGGATTACTGGCATGTGCCACCACGACTGGCTAATTTTGTATTTTTTCTAGTAGAGATGGGGTTTCTCCATGATGGTGAGGCTGGTCTCGAACTCCCGACCTCAGGTGATCCACCCACCTCAGCCTCCCAAAGTGTTGGGATTATAAGAGTGAGCCACCGCATCTGGCCTACTAACAGTCTCATGGCTTAAAAAACCATCTGTAGGCCGGGTGTGGTGGTGCACACCTATAATCCCAGCTACTTGGGAGGTCGAGACAGGAGAATTGCCTAAACCTGAGAGGCGGAGGTTGCAGTGAGCCAAGATCACACCACTGCACTCTGGCCTGGGCAACAGAGCAAGACTCTGTCTCCAAAAAAAAAAAAAAAAAAAAAAAACCCATCCATAAATTAGCCAGGTGTAAATCTGTAATCCCAGCTACCCAGGAGGTTGAGGCAGGAGAATCACTTAAACCCAGGAGGTGGAGGTTGTAGTGAGCTGAGATCATGCCACCTCACTCCAGCCTGGGCAACAGAGTGAGACTCTGTCTCAAAAAAATAAAATAAAATAATAAAAAAAATTTTTTTAAAAAGAAAAAACCATCTATACCAATAACTCTCTCAAAAGTTCTATCTTCAGCCCAAACCTCTCTCATAGTGTCCAAATTTGTATAATATAATCTCTACTTCACATCTCAAATGTTTCATATTCAAAAAAAAGCTCCTTGTCTTCCCCCCACTTAATGATGTCACACCCTGCAAAGCACTCCCCATCTCAGTTGATGCTAGTTTCATCCTTAAACTTACTCAGGCCAAAATCTTGGAGCCAATACCTATAGCCAAAACCTATAGCCAATCTGACAGGAAATTATTTTGGCTCCGCCTATAAAATATAACCAGAATCCAACCATTTCTCACAATATCCAAGCTATGATAAGGATCATCATATCTCTCACCTGGATTACTATGCTAGCCCTCTAACTTCATCTCCCTGCTACACTTGCTTCCTATGGTCTATTCTCAACATAATGTCCAGAGAAAAATAATTTTCAATCATAAAAAACTCAAAACCCAGGCATGGTGGCTCACACTTGCAGTCCCAGCTACTTGTGATGCTGAGGCAGGAGGACTGCTTGAACGCGGGAGTTCAACACTGCAGTTAGCTATGATCACACCACTTGCATTCCAGCCTGGGATAACATACCTAGACCCTATCTCTACAATTTAAAAGTGTGTGTGTGTGTGTGTGTGTGTGTGTGTGTGTGTGTGTGTGTGTGTGTGTGTCTAAAACTCAGATATGTCATCCTGTTCTCAAAACCCTCCGCTGACTCAGAGTAGAAAGAAGCCGAAGTCTTTAAAATGTCCAATAAACAAACAATGGTTAGGTTAAGGGACCTAACCACTGATACTCTTCCAGCTTCCTCTTATACTCTTCTTCCCCTACTCAGTTCTCTCTGGCCACAGTGGCCTCCTTGTTGCTTCTCAGGTACACTCTCACCTTAATGCCTCTGCACCAAACTGATACCTTAGTCTGGAATGCCCTTCTTGTGGACAGCAATATGGCTAACTACCTCTCTTTAAGTCTTTACTCAAACATCACCTTCTCAGTGAAGACACTCTGACTATCCTATGCAAAACTGTAATCCCCACACCCCTGCCCCATGCATTTTTCCACATCATATAAACTAACACATATCATACTTATATTTTTAGTCTCCTCGTATTAGGATGTAAGTTACATAACAAACAAGTAATTGTTTACTCTGCACCAATTTATTATACATACTTCATGTCCCATAGTAAGAACTCACTAAATATTTGCTCAATGAATAGATATAAATTGAAGCTTAGGATTTTGTAACCTGTATTTTTACTCTACCAAAAAAACACGAAAATCCACTGAAATACTGCTAGTCATATACAACAATTACATGAGAATAGACAATAAGTGATTTAGCCTTAGTAGTGCATACTACACACAGCTGTAAACAGCCTTCCAATAAACCTCTAGCACTATAATGTGTATACAGAGTTTGGGTCACCATGTCATTATTTATAGGCCATTTTTAAATACTGTAACACAAAGCTATAGTCACTTTCCAACAAGTTCATCACAAAAATATTTATTTAGAGAATTAATTATTTTAAGATCATTAAAGTTGAGATTCCAAGATATTCATTCACTATAAGGGATTTGTAGCGCTGGATCATTCTATTTGTATACGCGTTGTCTACTATTGGCTCTTTACATGCCAGGGACTCAGATAGTTTTAATGATTAACTTCATATCCAGGCCAAAACCTTAAAAAAACACTGCAAAAGGCTGGGCGCGGTGGCTCATGCCTGTAATCCCAGCACTTTGGGAGGCCAAGGCGGGTGAATCACCTGAGGTCGGGAGTTGGAGACCAGCCTGACCAACATGGAGAAACCCCATCTCTGCTATAAAAAAAAAAAAAAAAAAATACAAAATTAGCCGGGCGTGGTGGTGCCTGCCTGTAATCCCAGCTACTTGGGAGGCTGAGGCAGAATAATTGCTTGAACCCGGGAGGCAGAGGTTGCGGTGGGCCAAGATCGTGCCATTGCACTCCAGCCTGCGCAACAAGAGCGAAACTCCGTCTAAAAAAAAAAAACAAAAAACAAAAAAAAAATTAAAAAAAAAAAAAAAAACCACACCAAAGCCGGGTGTGGTGGCTCATGCCTGTAATCCCAGCACTTTGCGAGGCCGAGGCAGGTGGATCACAAGGTCAGGAGATCGAGACCATCCTGCCTAACACGGTGAAACCCCATCTCTACTAAAAATACAAAAAAGTAGCTGGGCGTGGTGGTGGGCGCCTGTAGTCCCAGCTGCTCGGGAGGCTGAGGCAGGAGAATGGCATGAACCTGGGAGGCGGAGATTGCAGTGAGCCGAGATCGCGCCACTGCACTGCAGCGTAGGCGACAGAGCAAGACTCCGTCTCAAAACAAAAACAAAAACAAACAAACACACCAAAAATGGCTACCATTTCAACAAATCTCCCAATCTTCATTATTAAAAACACATATTGCTGGGCGTGGTGGCTCCCACCTGTAATCCCAGCACTTTGGGAGGCTGAGGCGGGTGGATCACCTGAGGTCAGGAGTTCAAGACCAGCCTGGCCAACATGGTGAAACCCTACCTCTACTAAAAATACAAAAATTGGCCGGGTGTGGTGGTGCACACCTGTAATCCCGGCTACTCAGGAGGCTGAGGCAGGAGAATCACTTGAACCCAGGAGGCGGAGGCTGAAGTGAGCTGAGATTATGCCACCACTGCACTCCAGCCTAGGCGACAGAGCAAGACTCTGTCTCAAAATAAAATAAAATAAAAACACATAAATACATCCCTCCAAAACTCCAGAGGACTTGTCATTATCATGCCACTGGTATTTCAACATGGGAAACAACTATAATTCTAAGGAAAAAGAAGCAATCATACAATAAAAATGCTAAATCCTTTCCAAGCAATAAATTACCTCTTTATTTTCCTTTTGAGACAGGGTCTCTGTCACCCAGGCTGGAGGGCAGTGGCACAATCACGGCTTACCGCAGCCTCCCTGACTCAGATGATCCTCCTACCTCAGCTTCCTGAGTAGCTAGGACTACAAGCGCCCGCTGCCACACGGCTAATTTTTGTATTTTTTGTAGAGATGGGGTTTTGCCATGTTTCCCAGGCTGGTCTCAAACTCTGGGGCTCAGCGATCCCTCTGCCTAGGCCTCCCAAAGTGCTAGGATTATAGGCATGAGCCACGGTACCCAGCCAAATTACCTTGTTTCCCTAGTCTTCTCACAGCACTTCTCAATTAAACGATGCACAGTGCAAATGAAAGGTCACTGACATTTGACAATAATATACTACAAGTCAACTGTTACCTGAACAATGATATCAAAAAATTTACCAACAATATGGTTATGATAATATAAAGTAGCCAAGCATGGTGGTTCACACCTGTAATCCTAGCACTTTGGGAGGCCAAGGCAGGAAGATCACTTGAACTCCAGAGTTCAAGACCAGACTGAGCAACATAGTGAGACAGTGTCTCTGTAATTAAAATATAAGAAATAAAAAGTAAAATAATGGCTGGGTGAGGTGGCACACACTGGTAGTCCCTGCTACTCAGGAAGCTCAGGTAAAAAGATCGCCTGAGCCCAGGAGTTTGAGGCCAGCCTGTGCAATACAGTGAGACCCCGTCCCTTAAAAAAACAAAAAATAAGTAAAACAGCAACTGAGGGGAACAAAGATTGTACAAGGCCATTCTCAGTACTTTTCCTAATACTAAAATACTACAAATCACCCAAAAATAAATGAGTGTAAAGATTATCTTCAGGCCAGGCGCACCGGCTCACGCCTGTAATCCCAGCACTTTAGGAGGCCGAGACGGGAGGATCACCTGAGGTCAGGAGTTCAAGGTCAGCCTGGCCAACATGGCAAAACCCTGTCTCTACTAAATATACAAAAACTAGCCAGGTGTGGTGGCAGGCACCTGTAATCCCAGCTACTAGGGAGGCTGAGGCAGGGAGAATCGCTTGAACATGGGAGACGGAGGTTGCAGTGAGCTGAGATCAAACCATTGCACTCTAGCCTGGGCAGCAGAGCAAGACACCGTATCAAAAAAAAAGAAAAAAAAAAGATTATCTTCATACATGCAATATGACACCCACCCAATATGATTAATATCCAATTAAAATATAGTTTTGCCATACATAAACCACTACCTACTGCAGAGCTGGGGGGGGGAAAGGATTATAAAATGGCATTCGCATTTTCACTAGAGAACACTATACAATATTACTAATTGTCTATTGAACATTCAATCTAAACAGAACCAAGAGTAGCTGTGGTATATAGTTTGTTAAATGTCAACAAAAGTATACTCATGACACTAAGTGACTAAGTGAAAAGCTGCAGAACTCTTGAATAGCATGATCCCAAATAAGGTCTCGATCAATAGCAGTTACATAGGAGCTTTCACTTAAAATCCCACTAAAAAAGTCCAGAAATCTACACACCTCCAAAAGTGTAACATATGGATAGTATTATTTACCGCAGCAGTATATGTCAGAGCATGAAAGATGGCTGGCCAGGACTAGGTGATTGGTGAATAAACATCCTGGACCGTGTATATAGTCATCTGTCTTTTGTTTAAGCACTTGTATATATACTACCTTTTGTTTGTATATATGCTCACATATATATAGTTGCTTTTTTGTGAAAATACTCACAATAAACAAGCCAATGAAAATGGCTATCTAGGCTGGGCAAGGTGGCCACGGCTGCAATCCCAGCACTTCGGGAGGCCAAGGCAGGCATTCACCTGAGGTCAGAAGTTCGAGACCAGCCTGGCCAACATGGAGAAACCCCATCACTACTAAAAATACAAAATTAGCTGGACCTAGTGGCATATGCTTGTAATCCCAGCTACTTAGGAGGCTGAGGCAGGAAAATCACTTGAATCCAGGAGGCAGAGGGTTGCAGTGAGCGGAGATCATGCTATTGTACTCCAGCCTGGGCAACAACAGCAAAACTCAAAAAAAAAAAAAAAAAGAAAGAAAGAAAGAAAAGGGCTATCTAAATGGGTGAGAAAAAAGGAGAAGAGATAGAAGTCAGAACAAAAATTCACTGATTACATCTTTTATTTTTGGTTTTGATTTCTGAGCCACGTAAATATATTGCATGATTGAAAATTTTAAGAAAAGGCCAGGCGCGGTGACTCACACCTGTAAACCCAGCACTTTGGGAGGGTGAGGCGGGCAGATCACCTGAGGCCAGGAGTTTGAGACCAGCTTGGCCAACATAGTAAAACCCTGTCTCTACTAAAAAATACAGAAAAAATTAGCCAGGTGTGGTAGCTAGCACCTGTAGTCCCACCTACTCAGGAGGATAAGGCATGAGAATCGCTTGAACTCAGGCCGTGGAGGTTGCAAGGAGCCGAGATTATGCCATTTCACTCCAGCCAGGGTGACAGAGCTAGACTCTTGTCTCAATTTAAAAAAAAAGAAAAAGAACATTTTAAGAAAAATAAACTAAAACACAAACAAACCTGAATGTCCAATTTGTATTACAAAACACAGTGAAACCAGGCCAGGCACAGTGGCTCACAACGTAATCCCAGTACTATGGGAGACCAAAGAAGGCAGATAACTTTAGGTCATGAGTTCGAGACACCCTGGCCAACATAGTGAAACCCTGCCTCTACTAAAAATACAAAAAATTAGCCAGGCATAGTGGCTCGTGCCTGTAATACCAGCTACTCGGGAAGCTGAGGCAGGAGAATTGTTGAGCCTGGGAGGCTGAGGCTGCAGCGAGCTGAGATCGCATCACTGCACTCCAGCCTGGGTGACGTAGTGAGACTCTGTCTCAAAAAAAAAAAAAAAAGAACTAAAAGTAGAACTATCATTTGATCCAGCAATCCCACCTACTGGGTATCTGTCCAGAAGAAAAGAAATTATTATACAAAAAAGATACTTGCACACGTTTACAGCAGCACAATTCGCAATTGCAAAACATGGAACCAATCCAAATGCCCATCCATCAACGAGTGGATAAACAAACTGTGGTATATATATACACAACGGAATAGTACTCAGCCATAAAAAGGAATGAATTAATGGCATTCGCAGCGACCTGGATGAGACTAGAGACTATTATTCTAAGCAAAGTCAATCAGGAATGGAAAACCAAACATCATATGTTCTCACTCATAAGTGGGAGCTAAGCTATGAGGATGCAAAGGCGTAAGAATGACACAATAGACCTTGGGGATTCAGGAGGATTGGGGATTCAGGAGGAAAGTGTGGGAAGGGGATGAGGAATAAAAGACTACAAAGTGGGTACAGTGTATACTGCTCAGGTGATGGGTTCACCAAATTCTCACAGATCACCACTAAAGAACTTACTCGCCAGGGGCAGTGGCTCATGCCTGTAATCCCAGCACTTGGGGAGGCCGAGGCAGGTGGATCACGAGGTCAGGAGTTCGAGACCAGCCTGACCAACATGGTGAAACTCCACCTCTACTAAAACTACAAAAATTAGCCAGGTGTGGTGGCACACACCTATAATCCCAGCTACTTGGGAGGCTGAGGCAGGAGAATCACTTGAACCTGGGAGGCGGAGGTTGCAGTGAGCCAAGCTCTTGCCATTGCACTCCAGCCTAGGTGACAGAGGGAGACTCTGTCTCAAAAAAAAACACAACAAAATACAAACAAACAAAAAAACAAAACTTACTCATGTAACCCACACCACCTGTCCCCCAATAACCTATAGAAATAAAAATTTTGGAGGGGTGGGAGAGACAGTTTCGAGCTTGTCGCCCAGGCTGGAGTGCAATGGCATGATCATGGCTGATGCAGCCTTGATCTCTTAGGCTCAAGTGATCCTCCCGCCTTAGCCTCCCAAGTACCTGGGACTACAGACACATGCCACCATGCCTGGCTACTTATTTTATTTTTTGTAGACACCGGGTCTCACTTTGTTGCCCAAGCTGGTCTGGAACTCCTGAGCTCAAGTAATCCTCCCACCTCAGCCACCCAAGGTGTTGGGATTATAGCCATGAACTATGTGGCCAGAAAACATTTTTAATTGGAAAATTTTACTATTCTCATTCCTTCTTTTATCATGAAGGAATATCCTTCTGGGATCACTTAGGGTGATATATATATATATCATATTATATATAATAATACATTAACATATATAATAATACATTAACATGTTACTAACATATACATTATCTACTAAAGTTGGCATTCCTATCAACTCAAACATTTGAGCCCTAACTATACACCATGTACTCACTTCAGGTATTATAGAAAACACAAAAGGAAACATTGACCAAGAGGCTTAATGTAATAAATACAGACTTTACTATAACACTATGCAACTAAGGCAGCTGTGTGTAAGAATTGGAAAGGGGAGAGAGGGCTATTTAAAATGCTGATTCCTGGCTGGGCAAGGCGGCTCATGCCTATAATCCCAACACTTCAGGAGGCCGAGGTGGGTGAATCACTTGAAGCCAGGAGTTCAAAACCAGCCTTGCCAACATGGCAAAACCCCATCTCTACTAAAAATACAAAAAACTAGCCAGGCATGGTGGTAGACACCTGTAATCCCAGCTACTCAGAGAATCGCTTAAACGCAGGAGGTGGAGGGTTGCAGTGAGCTGAGATCACACCAATGCACGCCAGCCTGGGCAACAGAGCAAGACTCTGCCTCAATAAAGAAATAAATAGGCCAGGCGCGGTAGCTCATGCCTGTAATCCCAGCACTTTGGGAGACCGAGGCAGGTGGATCACTTGAGGTCGGGAGATCGAAATCATCCTCACTAACATGGTGAAATTCCGTCTCTACTAAAAATACAAAAAATTAAAAGGCGGGGCGCGGTGGCTCACACCTGTAATCCCAGCACTTTGGGAGGCCAAGGAGGGCGGATCACAAGGTCAGGAGATCGAAACCATCCTGGCTAACACAGTGAAACCCTGTCTTTACAAAAATACAAAAAAATTACCCAGACGTGGTGGCAGGTGCCTGTAGTCCCAGCTATTCGGGAGGCTGAGGCAGGAGAATGGCGTGAACCCAGGAGGTGGAGCTTGCAGTGAGCCGAGGTCGCACCACTGCACTCCAGCCTGGGCAACAGAGTGAGACTCCGTCTCAAAAAAACATAAAACAAACAAAACAAAACAAAAAATACAAAAAAATCAGCCGGGCGTGGTGGCAGGCACCTGTAGCCCCAGCTACTTGGGAGGCTGAGGCAGGAGAATCGCTTAAACCCAGGAGGTGGAGGTTGCAGTGAGCCGAGAGCACACCACTGCGCTCCAGCCTGGGTGACAGAGCTAGACTTGGTCTCTAAATAAATAAATTTAAAAAATGCTGATTCCTAAGCACCACCCAAGACCAAGAGAGTCAACACTGCTAGAGAAAAGGAGTACAGGCTGTCTATTTTAAACTCCCCAGTCAGGCTGAGTGCGGTGGCTCATGCCTGTAATCCTACCACTTTGGGAGGCTGAGGCGGGTGGACTGCCTGAGCTCAGGAGTTCAAGACCAGCCTGGGCAATACGGTGAAACCCTGTCTCTGCTAAAATACAAAAAATTAGCCGGGCGTGACAGTGTGCACCTGTAGTCCCAGATACTCGGGAGGCTGAGGCAGGGGAATTGCTTGATCCCGGGAAGCAGAGGTTACAGGGAGCCGAGACCACGCCACTGTACTCCAGTCTGAGCGACAGAGCGAGACTCCATCTCCAAAAAAAATAAATAAAATAAATAAACTCCCCAGTCAATTACTGAGAACCACTGACCTAAGGAGCAGTGTCAGGTTATTCCTTGCTAACAGGTATTAGAAATATTTAAGAAGCCGGGAACAGTGGCTCACGCCTGTAATCCCAACACTTTGGGAGGCCAAGGAAGGAGGATCACCTAAGGTCAGAAGTTCGAGACCAGCCTGGCCAACATGGTGAAACCTTGTCTCTACTAAAAATACAAAAATTAGCTGGGTGTGGTGGCAGGCATCTGCAGTCCCAGCTACTCAGGAGGCTGAGGCAGGAGAATGGCATGAACCCGTGAAGCAGAGCTTGCAGTGAGCCGAGATCACGCCACTGCACTCCAGCCTGGAAGACAGAACGAGACTCTGTCTCAAAAAAAAAAAAAAAAGAAATATTTAAGAAAAGGATACTGTACTTTGATGCAATCTCTTCTTTGAGGACAAGGAATGCCCCTCACACCTACTTCTTTTTCTCCCCTTAACTCCTTCCAACTGGACCAAAGACATCTGTTTGCTCGTTTGTTTTTTCCTTTAACAGAAGGGGTCTTGCTCTGTTATCCAGGCTGGAGTCTAGTGGTGTGACCACACCTCGCGGCCAACCTCAAAACACTCCTGGACTCAAGTGATCCTCCCACCTGAGCCTCCCAAGTAGTTGGACCTACAAGAATGTGCCACATGCCAGGCTGCAAAGACATCGATCTAAAGGCAGTTTGGTTTCCCACAGCACTGATGCCAGCAATGTTCTACCAGCTACCTTGCTCTAAATTTAAATATCAGGCACCTTAAGAAGACAAGTAGGCAAGACCCAACGCTATCAGTTTATTGAACTGCCAACTTCCAATACTAAAAAAATACTAAATACTAAATACAGAATACTTACACCAACTGATAACCAAGTTTGACCTTGAAAATTATTTATTTCCCAAGTAGCATTCTGACCTAAAAAAGGTCAATCTGAGCCTTGTCTTTTTTTCACTCTCTTTCTGCAATTATGAAAATGTTCTACATCAGACTGGCGCCGTGGCTCACACCTGTAATCCCAGCACTTTGGGAGGCCAAGGTGTGTGGATCACCTGAGGTCAGGAGTTCAAGACCAGCCTGGTCAATATGGCAAAACCCCATCTCTACTAAAAGTACAAAAATTGGCCAGGCATGGTGGCATGCACCTGTAATCCCAGCTACTCAGGAGGCTGAGGCAGGAGAATAGCTTGAACCCAGGAGGGGGATGTTGCAGTGAGCCGAGATCCTGCCACTGCACTCCAGCCTGGGCGACAAGAGCAAAACTTCTATGGAAGGCTGATTATACACTTACTAATATTAACTACTTCTCCAAGAGGCAAAGATTCTAGATTTATGGGGCAGTTCCAAAAGGTTGGTTCACTTATTAAAATCTTAGTTATAACTATTGTGTACATAATAGAATAACTTATGCAAGTATAATAAACACTAAGTAGAATTGGTCTAAGCACTTTACATGTTTCTTTAATCCTCACAACTCAAGGGTGATATTATTACCCCAACTTTACAGATAAGGAATAGTTTAACTTTCAGATAGTAAGTAGCATAATTTTGAAGATACTGAGCAGTAGAGGTTTTTTGTTTGTTTTTCAGACTCGCTCTGTCACCTAGGCTGGAGTGCAGTGGCATGACCTTGGCTCACTGTAACCTCCCCCTCCCAGGTTCAAGCGATTCTCCTGCCTCGGGATCCTAAGTAGCTGGGATTACAGGCATGCGCCAACACGCCCAGCTAATTTTTTTTTATTTTTAGTAGAGATGGGGTTTCATCATGTTGGCCAGGCTGGTCTTGAACTCCTGACCTCGTGATCTGCCCACCTCAGGCTCCCAAAGTGCTGGGATTACAGGCTTGAGTCACCACGCCTGGCTTAGAGGTTAAGTCTAAAACAAGCAAAAATCCTTTCAAAATCGATTTGTACAAGTCTAAATAATTGTTTTAATACCAATTCTTGGTATCAATAAGCATCTCCACTCTCACAGAAGTTTTAGGCCCCTAAACCATCTGCATTATACCTCTGCACTGAATACTTAGGAGTCACCTTTTAATTCATTACTTTTTCTCCAGGCAATGACCAATTCTTTAAAAACTATCAACTGAAAGCCTAAATATCCATCAAAAGGGCACTGATTAAGTAAATCATAAAGTGGCAAACCATGTAATAACTAAAAAAAGGACCCATAAATAATAGAAATTATCTATTGAGGGGAAAAAAACAGTCACGTAACAGTGGTCTATTTAGATTATGTTCTTATAGATACAAAGTATCTAATAAGAATAACTCTTTTGAAAAGTTACATAAAATAGTTGAGAAAGGAACTGAAGTTTTTTTTCAAAGTAGAAAATTGGTCGCCGTGGTGGCTCACGCCTGTAATCCCAGCACTTTGGGAGGCCGAGGCGGGTGGATCACGAGGTCAGGAGATAGGGACCATCCTGGCTAACATGGTGAAACCCCGTCTCTACTAAAAATACAAAAAAAAAATTAGCCGGGCGTGGTGGCGGGCACCTGTAGTCCCAGCTACTCAGGAGGCTGAGGCAGGAGAATGGCGTGAACCCGGGAGGCGGAGCTTGCAGTGAGCCAAGATCGCGCCACTGCACTCCAGCCTGGGCGACAGGGCGAGACACTGTCTCAAAAAAAAAAAAAAAGAAAAGAAAATTACTCTCAAAACCAAAAAATATTATGCCAGTAGCTTTGCATATTCCAAGACTCTCTATGCAAAATCCCAACCTATGGAAGCCATTCACCTCACTCACTGTAGAAGAGAGGTAACATAGATGGCCCGAGCCTGCTGTCCTTAGAAAGGCTTGCACAGTTGGCCCTTGGCTGGTCTCTGATAACTTTCGGAAGAGTTCTCACCATCCCCAGGGCTACTAAGAGTGACTCATTCGGCATAAACTGCACAAACCAAATGTGGTTTATGATGAACACCGGCTTTCTATCTAGATGAATACCAGCTTTCTGTCTAGGAGCCTAAAATTTTAATATGTGGTAGGCAGAGGGTGCCTACAGGAACAGGCCCCACCAATAATAACAATAGGCACTGAGTTTCTAGCAAAAGCTTCCCTGCTAGGCAACATTTCACATACACGTGCTGTCGCAACTCCATGCTGGAGGAATTGTGTCCTGTGTGACTCCACTGGGAGAGGACACTTGGGAGCATGAGCCTAGTTTCCTCCCGGATTCACCCCATTCACCATCTCCCCTTGCTGATTTTGCTTTGTATACTTTGCTATAGAAAAACACTTTTTATTGTATTTTATTTTTTTGAGACGGGGTCTCACTCTGTCGCCCAGGATGGAGCGCAGTGGCCTGAGCTGGGCTCACTGCAGCCTCTACCTCCCAGGCTCAAGCGATCCTCCTGCCTCAGCTTCTGGAGTAGCTGGGACCACAGGCATATGCCACTACGTCTAATTTTTTGTACTTTTATTAGAGACAGGGTTTCACCATGTTGGCCAGGCTGGTCTTGGAACGCCTGGCCTCAACTGATCTGCCCGCCACGGTCTCCTGACGTGCTGGGATTACAGGCATCAGCCACAGCACTGGGCCTGTATCCTTTGCTATTTAAAAAAAAAAAAAAATCAGCCCTGGGCTTTTCTCCTAGTGAATTACTGAACCTGCAGGTGGACTTGGGAACTGTCCCCAACACGCTTGCCCAGCAGAGATGAAATATCTTCTAGAGGTAAGTGGGACCCAAATTGTGGATTTCCTGTCTAGCACATGGAGAATCCATTTCAGAATTTTGAATCTTATCACAAAGATGATCTGGGAAGCTACTTTGATTGGTTTGGGTCTGTTTTAGTAAACAGGGAGATGCAGAGATGGGCTAGATGCTCACCAAACTGCTTCCTCTTCCCAGCTAAAGAATTAGAATACAATTCTCAGCTTCTCTTGCATTGGTTTGGCTGTAAGACTTAGTTCCTAACCCACAAAGTATACAGCAAATATGGTATGTGGCACTTTCAGACCTAGCTCACAAAACC
This sequence comes from Homo sapiens, assembly GCF_000001405.40. Lineage (NCBI taxonomy): Eukaryota > Metazoa > Chordata > Mammalia > Primates > Hominidae > Homo > Homo sapiens. Next base: position 58,615,442 of record NC_000016.10, read on the forward strand.
TCACTCATGATTCTCTGTTTTTGACTATCTGCCCGATGAATAAACCCCCAAGACCTAGAGGAGGATGATGTCATGAGATGACAGACGAAGGGAGACTTCTTGAATTATTGCACAGGATCCTCAATGAAACATCCTCAATGAAAATTATTTGAGGAAGAAATACATTTTTACTCTGTTAAGCCGCTGTTATCTTGGATTTGTTTTAGGCCTGTTTTGCCTAATAACAGACAAAATGATCAAATGAACATTTTTAGAAGTTACTCTTGATGATGGGAAATACCAAGAAAGGAAAGATAAGGTCACAGGAAAGCCATGAACATGTAAGGAAAAGAGAAGCGAATGTACTCAAGAAACAGCAGGCCAGACACAGTAGCTCGCACCTCTAATCCCAGCACTTTGGGAGGCCAAGAAGGGAGGATGGCTTGGGACCAGGAGTTCAAGACCAGCCTAGGCAACATAGAATAACCCCATCTCTACTTTTTTTTTTTTTTTTTAATTAGCAAGGTGCAGTGGCAAATGCCTTTGGCCCTAGCTACTAGAGAGGCTGAAGGGGGAGGACTGTCTGAGCCCAAGTGAGCTATGATCAGGCCATTGTCCTGCAGCCTGGATGACAGGGCAAGACACTGACTCTACCAAAAAAATAAAAAGTAAGAAATTGCAATAACTCTTTTTGTTAGTTTTTTCAGACGGAGTCTCGCTCTGTTGCCCAGGCTGGAGTGCAGTGTCATGATCTCGGCTCACTGCAACCTCCGCCTCCCGGGTTCAAGCAATTCTCTGCCTCAGCCTCCCAAGTAGCTGGGATTATAGGCGCCTGCCACCACGCCCGGCTAATTTTTACATTTTTAGTGGAAACAGGGTTTCACCATCTTGGCCAGGCTGGTCTTGAACTCCTGACCTCAGGTGATCCACCTGCCTCGGCCTCCCAAAGTGCTGGGATTACAGGCGTGAGCCACCACGCCCGGCCTACAAGGACTTTGTTTTTATTTTTTATTTTTAGTACAGATGGGGTCTTGCTATATTGCCCAGGCTGGTCTCAAACTCCTGAGCTCAAGCAGTCCTCCCACCTCAGCCTCCCAAAGTGCTGGGATTACAGGTGTGAGCCACAGCATCCAGCTGGTTTTTTCGTTTTTTGTTTTTAAAGGAAAACAAGATATAGTCAAAGTTTGGGAAATTCCTTCTGCCTTCACTACCCATCATAGTGCTTATTTTTCATAATCTTATTTCAGGTTGGTTTGCTTTCGTGAGAATGACATGATTATTTTATATATTACTACTAGATTATTTGGCAGCATTTTTTTCAATAATACAGTGTATGCCAATTTTAGAGATTTTAAAGTATGGAAATTTTGTGTTAGAATCAGTGAAATATGTTATTTCCTTTCCCCCATGTAGTCTTCTGTTACATGTGCCATTGTAAAACTAAAATAATTTTAAGTGTCTTGTGATTTATACCAAGAATAAGTAAATCTAAAGTGAACAAAATAAACCTAATGAGAAATCTGAACCTCAAGAAGGCATCTATGGAAAAAAAACACTGAAGAGCAGTAGTATCTCCAAAAGCATTTTGAAATGTTTAGGTGTCAGAAGAGTTACTGGCATTCAGTGAGAATTAAGGATGAAATTAAACATCTTGCAAGAGGCCAGGTGCAGGGCTCACGGCTGTAATGCCAGCATTTTGGGAGGCTGAGGCAGGAGGATCACTTGAACCTGGAGTTTGAGACCCATCTGGGGAACAGTGAGACCATCTCAACAAATAAATACATAAACAAGCAAGCAGGGCATGGTGGCATGCACCTGTAGCCCTGGCTACTTAGAAGGCTGAGGTAGGAGGATCACTTAAGCCTGAGAGGTTGAGGCTACAGTGAGCCATGATTGCACCACTGCACTCCAACCCGGGCAACAGAGCAAGAGTGTCTCAAAAAAATTTTTTTAATTAAAAAAAAAAATAACAAACCACATCTTACAAGGGGACAATACAGGCTGAGCATCCCAAATTTGAAAATCCAAAGTTCGAAAGACTCCAAAATCCAAAATGTTTTGAGCACAAACATGACACTCAAAAGAATACTCATTGGTGCATATTGGTAAGTACAAGAATTTTCCAAAATCTGAAATGAGAAACATGTCTAGTCTCAAGCATTTAAGATAAGCGATATTCAACCTCTATCGCCAACAAAGAACTACGCTGCCCAAATGCCAACAGTGCCCTTGTTGAGAAAATGGCTGATATAGCCACCTTCTATAGGATGGGCCCTCAATGTAAACACCTCAAAATTAACTTTTGGCTGGTGCAGTGGCTCATGCCTGTAATCTCAGGACTTTGGGAGGCTGAGTCAGGAGGACCACTTGAAACCAGGAGCTCAAGACCAGCTTGGGCAACATAGCAAGACCCTGTCTCTACAACTACAACAATAAAAATTAGCTGGGTGTGGCACTGTGTGCCTATAGTCTTAGCTACTTGGGCTGCTGTGGGAGGATGGCTTGAGCCCAGGAGTCTGTGATTTTAACGAGCTATCACAGCACTACTGCACTAGAGCGTGGGTAACAGAGCAAGACCCTGCCTCTATAAAATTAAAGAAAAAATTGACTTTCCACATTAACACAAAGCCAAGCAGAGCTTAAATCCAGAAGATGGTAAGAAATGGTATGCAGCTTACATAAAGTGGCTAACACAAGTTATTAGAAAAACAGTTTATGCATAACTATTTTGTGGTGGATTGTGTACTTGCACCTGCAATCCCAGCCAGCTACTCAGGAGGGTGAGGTGGGAAGACTGACTGAGCCCAGGAGTTCAAGGCTGCATTGAGCTGTGGTCGAGCTACTTTGTCTCTAAAAAAAAAAAATTAATTAAAAAGAGTTTGGCCGGGCACGGCAGCTCACACCTGTAATCCCAGTACTTTGGGAGGCTGAAGTGGATGGATCACGAGGTCAGGAGTTCGAGACCAGCCTGGCCAACATGGTAAACCCCGTGTCTACTAAAGATACAAAAAATTAGCAGGACATGGTGGTGCACATCTGTAATCCCAGCTACTTGGGAGGCTGAGGCAGGAGAATCAGCTTGAACCCAGGAGGCAGATGTTGCAGCGAGCTAAGATCGCACCATTGCACTCCAGGCTGGGCGACAGGGCGAGACTCCATTTCAAAGAAAAAAATTAGCAGGGCATGTTGGCGCACACTCCAGCCTGGGCGACACAGAGAAACCCTGTCTCAAAAAAAAAAAAGAAAAAGAGTTGACCCTTCCGTAGTTCATAAGCATGATGACTGGGTGTTCACATGCATGCGTGAGATATGGCAACCTCAAACGGCACATTACCTGTCTGACATGAAAAAAAGAGTTGACTTGCTTTTTATATACACATATTAATCAAGCAATTTATTTCACTCAATGCTACAGTGCCTTCAATAACTTGTAACATTTAACAGCCTTGTGTATGTGCCTTAAATATTTTACAAGAATTAATCTAATCCACGCCAGGCATGGTGGCTCCCGCCTGTAATCCCAGCACTTTGGGAGGCTAAGGTGGGAGGATTTTTTGAGGCTGGGAGTGCAAGGCCAGGCTGAGCAACATAGTGAGACCCCCATCACTATAAAAAAACTTTTTTTAATTAGCTGGACGTAGTGGTGCACACCTGTAGTCCCAGCCACTGACTGGGGAGACTGAGGTGGGAGGATGGCTTGAACTCAGGAGGTCATGGTTGCAGTGAGCCATGATCGTGCCACTGCACTCCAGCCTGGGCAACAGAGACCCTGTCTCAAAAAACAAAATAACAGAGAGTAGCCTTCTTGAAGCTATTTTATTTTAAAAAGAACTACACCAAGAGAAAACTCTCAAATCTCAGAATTCAATTTACGATGCTAAAGAACTTGTTAAAACTCAAGTCCCTTCATCTTTAGGCAGTCTCAGCAGAACTGCAAATTTATTATTATTACACTGACCATTAATTGTAAAAGAGCATCTTTTGGTCACACTAGAGTTTTGCATTTTCTTTCTTTTTTTTTTTTTGAGACAGCGTCTCGCTCTGTCACCCAGGCTGAAGTGCAGTGGCGCGATCTCAGCTCACTGCAACCTCCGCCTCCCAGGTTCAAGCAATTCTCCTGCCTCAGCCTCCCAAGTAGCTGGGACTAGCCGCCCGCCACCACACCTGGCTAATTTTTGTATTTTTAGTAGAGACGGGGTTTCACCATATTGACCAGGCTGGTCTTGAACTCCTGACTTTGTGATCTGCCCACCTCGGCCTCCCAAAGTGCTGGGATTACAGGCGTGAGCCACCGCGCGTAGCCAAGTTTTGCATTTTCATAGTGAGGAAATGAAAAATTCAAATCTTGTTTCTAGTCGTCCAAAAAACTGCTGGGAAAAAAACCTTATTTGCTTTGGTCACAACTAAGAAAACTCTATCCAAATAAAAGGTTGGGGGTAAAGAAAGATCTCCCTAATTAATTCAAGAAATTGCCAAGATGTAAATAGTTTAACTCTGTAGATTACTAGAGATAGTCATGATATTCTAAAATCCAATGCACAAATGAAACTAAAATCCTGACCTACATAATGAACCACCACCGATAGATCTTTTCCTCTGAAATGTTACTTGCTCATTCAAGCAGTATGAAAAAAAGAAAAACCAGAGTATCGATTTCCAAGAATGCTATATTCTATCAATTTACCCAACTGTAATAAATGAAGCACTATTCAATTACAGTTCAACTGTATATATGCACTGGGGAAAGAGACTCCTTACTCACTATGGGACAGAAAACTTAAAAGGCATTGTAGGGTGCACTTAAGTGAAACTGGCCAAGGATGGCAAAAAATCAATTTTGCTTAAGGAAATTAGGTATTTATAGACAGTACACCTGAGTTTGGACTAGAATGATAAAGTTTTGGTAGAGATGACATTCCAGATGTAAAAAGACGAAGAGGCTGGGTGCGGTGGCTCAAACCTGTAATCCCAACACTTTGGGAGGCCGAGGTGGGCAGATCACCTGAGGTCAGGGGTTCAGGACCAGCCTGGCCAACATGAGGAAACCCCATCTCTACTAAAAATGCAAAAATTAGCCGGGCGTGGTGTGGCAGGCACCTGTAATCCCAGCTACTCGGCGGGGATAAGGCAGGAGAATCGCTTGAACCCGGAAGGAGGTGGTTGTATTGCAGTGAGCCAAGCTCGCGACACTACATTCCAGCCTGGGTGACACAGCGAAGACTCTGTCTCATTTAAAAAAAAAAAAAAAAAAAAAAAAGAGGACAAAGATATATTTGGGTACCACTGCTTAACAGTCTTTTGACTATAATACAACACAGTAGTACCACAGGGAAGGAGGAATCAACACTTATAATTCCAGATGAAGGTATTAGAATGACTTCTGAACAAAGAAAGGATATTTCCAAAGCAATGATTTAAGTGGCATTTTGGCAGAAATATAAAAAATTAACTGCAGTCCTAGAATCTTTTACAATCACAATATCCACATATTATTTGTGAAATAAACCCAAAAACCAATGATAAAGAAACTATAATGGAGATTAGTTAGAAAGTTATTTCAAAAAAGACAAGAGCCTGAAACTAGACAAAAAGATAACTTTTTTTTTTTCTTTTTTTTGAGACAGAGTCTGTCACCCAGGCTGGAGTGCAATGATCACAGCCCACTGCAGCCTCGACCTCCCCAGGCTCAGGTGATCCTCCCACCTCAAGTTTTGTATTTTTAGCAGAGATGGGGTTTCATCATATTGCCCAGGGTGGTCTGAAACTCCTCGGCTTAAGTGATTTGTACACCTCTGCCTCCCAAAAGTGTTAGGATTGCAGGCGTGAGCCACTGCGCTGGCCCAGCTAACTATTCTTTCTTTTTCTTTTTTGAGACAGAGTTTTGCTCTTGTTGCCTAGGCTGGAGTGCAATGGTGCAATCTCGGCTCACCGCAACCTCCACCTCCCAGGGTCCAGCGATTCTCCTGCCTCAGCCTCCCAAGTAGCTGAGATTACAGGCACGCGCCACCACGCCCAACTAATTTTGTATTTTCAGTGGATACGGGGTTTCTCCATGTTGGTCAAGCTGGTCTCAAACTCCCGACCTCAGGTGATCCGCCCGCCTCGGCCTCCCAAAGTGCTAGGATTACAGGCATGAGCCACCACGCCTGGCAACTATTCTTGTTAGCAAAACCAGGCCTTATAGTTTGTCCAAATCCACAGAATATACACCACCATGGCCGGGCATGGTGGCTCACACCTGTAATCCCAGCACTTTGGGAGGCCGAGGCGGGCAGATCACGAGGTCAGGAGATCGAGACCATCCTGGCTAACACGGTGAAACCCCGTCTCTACCAAAAAATACAAAAAACAAATTAGCCGGGTGCCTGTAGTCCCAGCTATTCAGGAGGCTGAGGCAGGAGAATGGCATGAACCCGGGAGGCGGAGCTTGCAGTGAGCCGACATCGCACCACTGCACTCCAGCCTGGGCGACGGAAAGAGACTCCGTCTCAAAAAAAAAAAAAAAAAAAAAAAAGAAGATACACCACCAAGAGTGAATTCTAATGTAAACCAGAGAATTTGGATGATGATGATCTATCAGCGTAGATTCATCAATTGTAAGAAATGTACAGGCTGGGCTCGGTGGCTCACACCTGTAATCCCAGCACTTTGGGAGGCCGAGGCGGGTGGATCACGAGGTCAGGAGATCGAGACCATCCTGGCTAACACGGTGAAACCCCGTCTCTACTAAAAAACTATAAAAAATTAGCCAGGCGTGGTGGTGGGCGCCTGTAGTCCCAGTTACTAGGGATGCTGAGGCAGGAGAATGGCGTGAACCCGGGTAGCACAGCTTGCAGTGAGCCGAGATGGCGCCACTGCACTCCAGCCTGGGTGACAGAGCGAGACTGTATCTCAAAAAATGTACCACTCTAGTGGGGGGGGGGGGGGGGGCGGGCGTGGACAATGGGCAAGGCAAAGCATGTATTGGGGCAGGAGATAATACAGGAAACCTCTGTACTTTCTCATCAATTTTACTGTGATCCCAAAACTGCTCTAAAAAATAAAATCAATTAAGAAAAAAACGCAAAACCTAGAAGCTATAAATCTAAGGGAACAAACGTTTAATTATCTGACTCGGAAACTGCTGAGTTCTGAATATAAAGCTTAAGAATATTATAGGCTCACGCCTATAATCCCAACACTTTGGGAGGCTGAGGTGGGTGGATCACCTGAGGTCAGGAGTTTGAGACCAGCCTGGCGAACATGGTGAAACCCTGTCTCTACTAAAAATACAAAAATTAGCCAGATGTGGTGGTGGGCACCTATAATCCCACCTACTCGGGAGGCTGAGGCAGGATCGTCTCTTGAAACCTGGAGGCAGAGGTTGCAGTGAGCTGAGATCGCACCACTGCACTCTAACCCAGGCGCCAAGAGTGAAACTCTTGACCCAAAAAAAAAAAAAAGAAAGAAAGAAAAAGAAAAAAGAATGTTAGATAGCGTCTTTGAAAATCCTTTTGGCTGGGTGCAGTGGCTCACGCCTGAAATCCCAGCACTTAGGGAGGCCAAGGCAGGCAGATCACCTGAGGTCAGGAGTTCGAGACCAGCCTGACCAATATGGCAAAACCCCGTCTCTACTAAAAATACAAAAATTAGCCAAGCGTGGTGGCAGGCGCCTGTAATCCCAGCTACTCAGGAGGCTGAGGCAGGAGAATCGCTTGAACCCAGGAAGGAGAGGTTGCAGTGAGCCGATATCGCGCTCCAGCCTGGGGGATACAGCGAGACTCTGCCTCCAAAAAAAAAAAGAAAAGAAAATACTTCCATCCCACTTTTATATTTCAAATAATTACTTCAACATTACTGTAATATTTATTGTGAGATATACATTTGGTCTTCATCCCATTTCCTGGCATACAACTTCTAAGATCCTTAGAATGGTAAGTTTCTTTTTGTATGCTGAGTTGACTGATAGCTTGGCAACTTCTAGGTAGTTTCTGCATGGGTGCTGGTCACCTGAAAGATCAAGGCAAGATGAGAGGATTAGGACTTTTAGCCCCACCTCCTCCAAACTCCAGGGAGGGAAAAGGTGCTAAGGGTTAAGGTGACCACCAAAGGTCAATGATTTAACCAACTGTGCCTCTGTAATGAAGCCTCCATAAAAGCCCATAAATGACTGGGTTCAGAGAGCTTCCAGATAGCTGAGGCACAGTGTAGCCAGGGGAGGGCATGGAAGCTCCGCGGCCCTTACTTCTCCTACGCACCTCCTCATCCATATCCTTTATAATAAACTCTTGAACCTAAGTGTTGGCCGGGTACAGTGGCTCATGCCTGTCTGTAATCCCAGCACTTTGGGAGGCTGAGGTGGGTCGATCGCTTGAAGTCAAGAATTCGAGACCAGCCTGACCAACATGATGAAACCCCATCTCTACCAAAAATATAAAAAATTAGCCAGGTGTGGTGGCGCATGCCTATAATCCCAGCTACTTGGGAGGCCGAGGCAGAAGAATCGCTTGAACCAGAGCGATAGAGGTTGCAGCAAGCCTAGATCGTGCCACTGCACTCCAGCCTGGGTGACAGAGCCAAGACTCCGGCTCCAAAAAAAAAAAACCCTAAGTATTTCCGAGAGTTCTACATAAGCCACTCTAGCAAGTTAACTGAACAAAAGAAGGGGGTATTAGGAACTCAATTTATAGTCAGTTGGTCAGAAACACAGGTAAAACCACCTGGGACTTGAGATTAGCATTGGAAGTGGGGGACTGTCTATGGGACTTGAGCTTTCAACCTGTGGGATCTGATGCTATCTTCAGGTACACCGTGTCAGAATAATACTGAATTAGAGGATACCCATGTGGTGTCCACTGCTGAATAGCTTGCTTGATGCGCAGGGGAAAACCCCACACATCTGGTGGTGTGAGAATATACTGGAAGAAAGTTTATGTTCTCAGAATCAACAAAAAATTATCCTACATGGTTGCAACGTATTCAACATTTCAGGAATTTCCCTGTAACAACTGTAACACAGTTAAGCAACAGGTATGCTGGAGGTTAGTTAATGCTGTGTTTTCCAGAATTAAAGATATAAATGCATTTCTCAAATATATACACTACATTCCTTTAAATCACTGTGGGTGCGACGGCTTACGCCTATAATCCCAGCACTTTGGGAGGCTGAGATGAGTGGATCACAAGGTCAGGAGTTCGAGACCAGCCTGACCAACATGGTGAACCAGATCTCTACTAAAAAGACAAAAATTACCCAGCCGTGGTGGCACGCGCCTGTAATCCCAGCTACTCGGGAGGCTGAGGGAGGAGAATCACTTGAACCTGGGAGGCGGACGTTGCAGTGAGCCGAGATCACACCACTGCTCTCAAGCCTGGGCAACAGAGCAAGACTCCATCTTAAAAAACAAACAAACAAACGAAAAAACTCAACAAATGGCTTCATATTAAGTCTACACCTCTAATTACTGCCTTCTCAAACTACGCTTTCCAGTGAACAATGCTTTATTTGGTTTGCTACATTCTTGCAAATTTGAGTGAAAAGTACACTTAAAAAAAAAAAGTATCATAGGCCAGTATGGTGGCTCACATCTGTAATCACGGCACTCTGGGAGGTCTTGGTGGACAGATCGCTTGAGCCCAGGAGTTCCAGACCAGCCTGGGAAACACAGTGAAACCTCACCTCTACCAAAAAAATACAAAAATTAGGCCAGGCGCAGTGGCTCACACCTGTAATCCCAGAACTTTGGGAAGCTGAGGCAGGTAGATCACTTGAGGTCAGGAGTTCAAGACCAGATGGCCAACATGGTAAAACCCCATCTCTACTAAAAATACAGGCCTGGGCAGTGGCTCACGCCTGTAATCACAGCACTTTGGGAGGCCGAGGCAGGTGGATCACCTGAGGTCAGGAGTTCGAGACCAGCCTGACTAACGTGGTGAAACCCTGTCTCTACTAAATACAAAAAATTAGCCGGGCATGGCGGCGTGCGCCTGTAATCCCAGCTATTCAGGAGGCTGAGGCAGGAGAATCACTTGAACCCAGGAGCCGGAGGTTGCACTGAGCAGAGATCACACTATTGCACTCCAGCCTGGGCAACAAGAGCAAAACCCTGTTTTAAAAAAACATATATATATAAAATTAGCCAGGCATGATGGCGCGCACCTGTAATCCCAGCTACTTGGGAAGCTGAGGCAGGAGAATCACTTGAACCCGGGAGGCAGAAGTTGCAGCAAGCCAAGATCATACCACTGCACTCCAGCCTGAGGGAGAAGAGCAAAACTCTCTCTCAAAAAAAAAAGAAAAAAAACAATTTTTGACACGTGTGGTTAGCATGCACCTGTAGTCCCAGCTACTCAGGGGCTGAGGTGAGAGACTGACCTGAGACCAGAATATCAAGGCTGCAGTGAGCAGGGATTGTGCCGCTGCACTCCAGCCTAGGCATTGAAGTGAAACCCTGTCTCAAAAAAAAAAAAAAAAAAAACTATTGTATACACTGGGGGGCAGAAGGTGTTGAGCCCCTTTTAACTTTCAAAGATTCATCTTTAAAATTGTGAGCAAACAGAAAAGGAATTGCTAGATTCTTCTATATATAGAGTCACTCAATGGGATGCCATTTTGAAACTTCACAGCAGGAAGTTTTAGTTTGGTCAGAGGGTCATTAAAGAAATGCCTCAGTTAATATATATGACTTGAAAGTCTTTTCTTTTATAAAAGTATATACCAAGTTCAGGCCGGGTGCTATGGCTCACGCCTGTAATCCCAGCACTTCGGGAGACTGAGGCAGGCAGATCACCTGAGGTCAGGAATTCGAGACCAGCCTGGCCAATACGTTGAAACCTCTTCTCTACTAAAAATACAAAAACTAGCTGGCTGTGGTGGCAGGCACCTGTAATCCAGCTACTCAGAAGGCTGAGGCAGAAGAATCGCTTGAACCTGCGAGGCAGGGGTTGCAGTGAGCCAAGATTCCACCATTGCACTCCAGCCTGGGCAACAGAGCGAGACTGCGTCTCAAAAAAAAAAAAAAAAAAAAAAAAAGATATACCAAGTTCATAAAATACAGCATTTCAAAATGGCAGACTACTAGGCTGGGCACGGTCACTCATGCCTGTAATCCCAGCACTTTGGGAGGCCGACGCGGGTGGATCACGAGGTCAAGAGTTCGAGACCAGCCTGACCAACATAGTGAAACCCCGTCTCTACCAAAAATACAAAAATTAGCTGGGTGCAGTGGTGCGCGCCTGTAATCCCAGCTACTTGGGAGGCTGGGGCAGGAGAATCGCTTGAACCCAGGAGGCGGAGGTTGTAGTGAGCTGAGATCGCACCACTGCATTCCAGCCTGGGCAACAGGGTGAGACTCCGTCTCAAAAAAAAAAAGGCAGACTACTATTTTTGTTAATGTGGGACAAAATACTCATAACAAATATTTTGCAAAATTTTTTTTTAATTTAATTTTCTTTTTTGTAAAGACAGGGTCTCACCATGTTGCCCAGGCTGGTCTCTAACTCCTAGTCTCAAGCATCCTCCTCCCTCATCCTCCCAAAAAGCTAGGATACAGGCTTGAGCCACTTGCCTGGGCCAAAAAAATTAGTCCCAAAATATGACAGCACTCAATTAGAATTATTGTGGACAAATTCCATTCTCTGGTATTGGGTACCAAAGACGTGTTTGTTATTACACAGAAAGAAATAATCAAGTTCATAAATTCAAACTGGTTAAAAAGAAAGCTTCTCGGCTGGGCACCGTGGCTCACGTCTGTAATCCCAGCACTTTGGGAGGGTGAGGCGGGTGGATCATGAAGTTAAGAGTTCGAGACCATCCTGGCCAACATGGTGAAACCCTGTCTCTATTAAAATACAAAAATTAGCTGGGTGTGGTGGCGGGCACCTGTAGTCCCAGCTACTCGAGGGGCTGAGGCAGAATTGCTTGAACCCTGGAGGCAAAGGTTGCAGTGAACCGAGATTGTGTGCTGCTGCACTCCAGCCTGGTGACAGAGCGAGACTCCATCTCAAAAAAAAAAAAAAAAAAAAAGTTTCTCATAACCAGATCAGAATCTATCCTAAAACATACTCAGAAAAAGTAACATGCAAGGTAATTTGAAATCAGACTTTAAAGCATGTTTTGAAAAGATGGCAAGCATTTCCATTTGTTTTCATAGCTTTTTTTAATGACTTGACTCCAAATAAGAAGGATGTCTTATTATTTAGCTTGACAACATCTATGTTAAAGAGACTAGGATCTAAACCCCGAAGAGAAATTCAGAAACTAGAAAAAAAGAAAATGAACCCGGGGTGTTAAGCTGGGAACCAAAAAGAGCACATTTCAATTCTTTTCCACCGTAATGCCACAAAACCGTACCTTAAAACTTCTAAGATTACAATCTTAGGTAAGAAAAGGAAATATTTTCAGTTACAAATAGACATGTCTTTGCGCCTTCATTCTAGACTTTTTTTTGAGACGGAGTCTCCCCGTCCCCCAGGCTGGAGTGCAGTAGCTCTATCTCGGCTCACTGCAACCTCCGCCTCCCGGGTTCAAGCAATTCTCCTGCCTCAGCCTCCCAAGTAGCTGGGATTACAGGCACCTGCCACCACGCCCGGCTAATTTTTGTATTTTTAGTAGAGACGCGGTTGTGACATGTTGGCCAGGCTGGTCTCGAACTCCTGACCTCTGGTGATTCACCTACCTTGGCCTCCCTAAGTGCTGGGATTACAGGCGTGAGCCACCGCGCCCAGTCGATTCTAGACTTGTTTCCACTAAGACTTGGGGAACCCACACTTGTTGAAAAGGAACTAACTCTCCAAACTAGTTTTATCAACATGCTATCATTTCAGTCAAAGCACAGCTAGCCACCTAAAACCATGTATCATCAATGCATATTCTCCTTAGACAAGGTAACAATTTGCAGTATCCTAAAACATAATTATTTAAACTGTTACCACATGTCTTCTTAATAGCTAAAATACTCTGCTGCCAATCTTTAAAAGGGTAGGAATACCAACCGGGACCACAGATCACTTAAGTATTAAACCCAAGTACCTATAGAAAAAAATTGTTCTTAATCTGTTTGACCTTCCTCCTAATATTTTACTTGCCTTCCCTCATTTTTTTAATCCATGTATTCCCTATTCCTATCAAAGGGGCTGTCATAAGGAAAACGTTCGGCATTGTTTCAAACAGTATAATTATATTCACTCAATCACTGACTTAAAAAAAAAAAAAAACCCAAGTAGTCACAGGCTATCGAATTGTAGAGAAATCGGCAGGGTAGGTTAAGCATTGTTACTCAGTTTTCAGGAAGAAAACAGACTTTATTAGAGTCCTAAGAAATGTGACATTTGATTAACTTCATGGGAAAAGTTTGTCATAAAGTTTATTTTAAATACAACATTTTCAAACGCACAGATGTCAAGCATTCTTTTTTAATCTACAAAGCTTACTCCTCGGGGAGTTAGTATCTGTGAGCCCTCTTGGGTGAATTCTGCAAAGGAGGTGGTACTGAAAAAGTATTATTTGTGTTTGGCCTTAAGTACCTCTACAAGACCTGCCGTGGATCTTATCAGCCTTGAGGCCTACAAGTGCTCAGCTCACTAGCGGGACACTTGTCCTGGGTGAGCAGGACCGCCACTACTGCAGACACCGGACCGAGTAGGTGGGGGCCAACTTCAAAGAAAGTGTGAGCGCCCAGGCGCGCGAGTGGAACAAAACCTGTAGCAAGTAATAAGGAAGTGCTTGCTCCCGCCCGCCCTTCCCATCCGGGGACACCCGAAACCTGGGGGGCTTTGACAACGTGCTGGGGGCGTAAGACGGGGAGAGTGGCAGCTCCGAGTACACGGAGAAGAACTGGAAACATGCAAAAACTCCAAACACGGTCCCCCCCGCCAGAAGCCCTAGGCCTCGGAAGCCGATGCCCACTGCAACCATCAGGGAGCAGAGACAGAAACAGTAGTTAAGGAGGTCGTGGAGGTCTCAGAGGGGTGCAACCCGCGCGAAGCCAGGCCCAGCGACACGAACTGCCGCCGCTGCCGCCCCCTGAGCCTCCAGGCCCGGGACAGAGACCACCATGGGTCTCACCCCGCGCTCTACCCTCCGCTTCCTGGAGCCTTCTCGCTGGCCTCTCATCTTCAGAGCGCGAAGCCTCCGAGAGCCGTGTGGAGAAGAGTCCGCCCTCTCCCGCCTCGTCCCACTTCCCCGTCCCGGCTGCCTCTCACTCCCTAGAGCTCCGGGAAACGCTTCCAGTGGCCCCAGGTCCACCCCTGTTCCTCCTCCCACCGGCTCTCGCGTTCCCAAGCTGACACCGCCACCCTACCCTAGCCCCTGACGCCAACCCGCCTCACCTCAGGCGGCTCCGGCAGCGCTGGACACAGGAAACTCCTGGGTCCCCGACTCCGGCTCTCCTCGACCCCCTCTTCGGTTAACTCCGCTTGTTTCTCTACAAAATGGCGCCGGAGGTCGCGCGCTCACGTCGCGGCCTTTCCCCTCCCCGTTCCCATTTCATCATTCGCTGCCCGCCCGAGGAGGGATGGCCCCAGAGCCAGCCAATGGCCGCGCCCCGCCTGTGGCTTCTACCCAATCACCGACAGGTGCCCGCGGATTTAAACCAATCACACTCTATCACTTGCAGAAGTCGAGGAAGAAATCAGGCTCCTGCTAGCAACTACCAATCCGGCCTCCTACTTCGCGGACTTTGGCCAATTGCCGCTCACCAGGCCCAGGGGACCGGAGTCAGAGCCCTCGCGCCTGCGCTCGAGGCGAGGGCCAATAGGGAGAGGCTGATAACTTCGATTTGGGGCTTCACGTACTTCCCACCTGCCCTGGAGGGCTGCGACCAGTGGGGCTTGGCATTGCCTTTGAGGAACAATAAATTATGGAAGGGGCCCATAACTCCTCGCCACCCTGCGCGGGAACTACTTTGAATTACAGTGAAACAGCTTTCCTCCACTTTCCTTCCTCTTTCGAAATGTCACGGTCCAGTAGACTTCGGGGATTCCCAACCGAAACAATCCCCTCCCCTAGTGTCCCTTTGGCGGGGAACGCCAGCCAGAAAGCAAGCCAGGTTGTGACTAGAGTTGGGGCGCTTTGCATCCTGGGATGTGTAGTCGCGCTCCTCTACCCCGTTCCCATCGCAGAAGTAATGCGTCTTCGTTCGTCGCTGCGCCCTAGAAGGAGCAGTGCATGCTGGGGGTTGTAGTCACCCAGGTGGCCACCTTGTCCTCGCTTGCTTCGCTTTGGTCAAGGGAACTTTCTGTTTTAGTTCTGTCTATTGAAGAAGGGACACCTTCCAGAGACGCCTTCCAGAGACGTAGGAGACGCAAGTTCTCTTCCTGGCTTAAGTCCTAGAAGCCGTCTAAGAAAGGATACCCATGTCCTTTGCTCTCAAGAGAAAAAGCATAGAAACATATTTTGCTATGGTTTGTTTGTTAACTATGATAGTTGGTAAGATTTTATACTCACCTGTACCCAAAAGAGAAAGGATTGGGAAGGAAGTGTTGACTGGTTAGCTCTATTACCTTTTGAAATTAAGGCCGGGCGCGGTGGCTCACGCTTGTAATACCAGCTCTTTGGGAGGCTGAGGCGGGTGGATCACGACGTCAGGTGATCGAGACCATCCTGGCTAACACGGTGAAACCCCATCTCTACTAAGATACAAAAAATTAGCCGGGCGTGGTGGCGCACACCTGTAATCCCAGCTACTTAGGAGGCTGAGGCAGGAGAATCGCTTGAACCCGGGAGGCGTGGGTTGCAGTGAGCAGAGATCGCGCCACTGCACTCCAGCCTGAGCGACAGAGCAAAACTCTGTCTCAAAAAAAAAAAAAAAAAAAAAAAGGCAGGGCGCTGCGGATCACGCCTGCAATCCCAGCACTTTGGGAGGCCGAGGCGGGCGGATCACGAGGTCAGGAGATGGAGACCATTCCGGCTAACACGGTGAAACCCCGTCTCTACTAAAAATACAGAAAAATTAACCGGGCGTAGTGGCGGGCGCCTGTAGTCCCAGCTACTCGGGAGGCTGAGGCAGGAGAATGGCGTGAACCCGGGAGGCAGAGGTCGCAGTGAGCCGAGATCGCGCCGCTTGACTCCAGCCTGGGCGACTGAGCGAGACTCCGTCTCCAAAAAAAAAAAAGAAAAGAAAAAGAAATTCAAACCTATCCCTGTGCTCACCCCTGTCCTCAGACTAGGCTCAGTAGGTGGTCTTCTGGCCATCTCTCTCATATTACCTCTCGTGCCCAAAAAAATACTTAAAAAAAATTATGGTAAGAAACACATGAAATTTACCATCTTAATCATTTTTAAGTGTAGAATACAGTAGTGTTAACTATATGCATATTGTTGTACAACAGATCTCTAGAACTTTTTCATCTTGCAAAACTGAAACTACATCTGTTGTTTAACACCTTCCATTTCCCCCTCCCCCTAGTCCCTGACAATCACTATTCTTCTTTATGTTCCTGAGTTTGATTACTTTAGATACCTCATATAAGTGGAATCATGCAGTATTTGTCTTTTTGTGACTGGCCTAGTTAACTGAGCATATGTCCTAAAAACACATCTTTTTTTTTTTTTTTTTTTTTTTTTTTTTTTTTTTTTTTGAGACGGAGTTTTGCTCTTGTTGCCCAGGCTGGAGTGCAATGGTGCAATCTCAGCTCACTGCAACCTCCGGCCTCCCCAGTTCAAGCAAGACTCCTGCCTCAGCCTCCCAGGTACCTGAGATTGCAGGCACGTGCCACCACACCCAGCTAATTTTTGTATTTTTAGTAGACACAGGGTTTCACCATGTTGGTCAGGCTGGTATTGAACTCCTGACCTCAGGTAATCCACCCGCCTCAGCCTCCCAAAGTGCTGGGATTACAGGCATGAGCCACCAAGCCCAGCCTAAAAATACTTTTCGACACCTCCCTTTCCTTAGTTGGAGGCCAGGTCTTTCAGCCTACATTTACTGAGTCCCTTGTGCTTTCAAGCAACTGTGCAAGAGCAGAACTGTGCAAGAGCCAGGGACCCCACATATAGTAAGAAGAAGGATCACTTCCGTCTTGTTCACAGCTGTATTCTCAGCACCTAGTATTGTGTCTGGCACATGGTAGGCATATGTGCAAATAGGCCTTGCAGGGTACTAAAGGGAGAAATCGACTTACAACATTGTAATCTTAGAAGTAAAAGGCCCCCTAAACAGAACAAGGATGAGGAATAAGGCCCTTCCCTGCACGGTTGCTAGTAAAAGTTACCAAAACCCCTATGTAGAGCAGCATTTTGGCCGAGTTTATCAAAAGTGAAAATGCCGACCCCACTGACCCAGTAATTCCATGTCTAAGAATTTACTCCACAGATGAACATTGCAAATGTGTGCAGAGTGCATACAGATATACATGGAAGCGTTGTTTATGGGGACCCAAAAGATTGGAAACAATAATAAAATGTATGGTACTTTGGGCCAGACCCCATCTCTACTAAAAATACAAAAATTAGCCAGGTGTGGTGGCAGGCGCCTGTAATCCCAGCTATTCGGGAGGCTGAGGCAAGAGAATCACTTGAACCCGGGAGACAGAAGTTGCAGTGAGCGTAGATCGCACCACTACACTCAAGCCTGGGTGACAGAGTGAGACTGTGACTCAAAAATAAATAAATAAATAAATAAATAAATAAATATCGTACTTTTTAATGAAATATTATGAATTTTTTTTTAGACGGAGTCTCACTCTGTCACCCAGGCTGGAGTGCAGTGGCATGATCTTGGCTCACTGCAAGCTCTGCCTGCCGGGTTCGTGCCATTCTCCTGCCTCAGCCTCCCAAGTAGCTGGGACTACAGGCGCCCGCCACCACGCCTGGCTAATTTTTTGTATTTTTAGTAGAGACGGGGTTTCTCTGTGTTAGCCAGAATGGTCTCAATCTCCTGACCTCGTGATCTGCCCACCTCGGCCTCCCAAAGTGATGGGATTACAGGCATCAGCCACCATGCCCAGCCTCTTTTTTTTTTTTAAATGAGGTAAGTTGGCCGGGTACAGTGGCTCACACTTGTAATCCCAGCACTTTGGGAGGCCGAAGCGGGTGGATCGCCTGAGGTCTGGAGTTCGAGAGCAGCCTGGCCAGCATGGTGAAACCCTGTCTCTAAAATACAAAAATACAAAAATCAGTCTAAAAAAATAATAATAATTTAAAAATGAGGTAAGTCTACATTTGCTTATATGGAATGGTTCTAAGATTTATTGCTAAATTAGAAAGTTAGATGAAGGAAAGAAAAAATATATAATCATTATGTTACCATTTGTGTGGAAGAAAATAACTATATCTATATTTATATATAACTAAATGCATCAAAACATTTGAAAAGATATACTTCTCCCCCCCAACTAACACCAATGTTTGTCTGTAGGGAGAGGAGTGGGAATGAGGAAGGGTAAAAGGAAACTTGGGCTTTTTATTCTATAGACTACTTTTTTTTTCTTTTTTTCTTTTTTTTTTCTTTTCTTTTTTTGCCCAAGCTGGAGTACAATGGCATGGTCTTGACTCACTACAACCTCTGCCTCCCAGTTACAAGCGATTCTCCTGCCTCAGCCACCCGAGCAGCTGGGATTACAGGTACCTGCCATCATGCCTAGCTAATTTTTTGTATTTTTAGTAGAGACGGGGTTTTACCATGTTGGCCAGGCTGGTCTTGAACTCCTGACCTCAGGCGATCCACGTGCCTCGGCCTCCCAAAGTGCTGGGATTATAGGCGTGAGCCACTGCACCTGCCCACTATTTGAACATTTTACAAAGAGTATGTATTTATGTTTTATTTGTATAATTTTAAATACTTTTTTAAATGAATTAAAAACTCTTTTTGTAGAGATGAGATCTCACTCAGTCTGGTCTCCAACTCCTGGCCTCAAGTGATTCCCCACACCTAGGCATCCCAAAGTGCTGGGGTTACAGGTGTGAACCACCACACCCCACCTTAAGATTTTTTTTTTTTTTAAAGACAGTAGGTGATACCCACAGAGGTCAGCTATCTAAGGTCAACTCTGTAATTCTACAGCTAGTTCTGGTCTCAAACATAGATCTCCAAAAATAAAGATAAGGTAAAATAAAGCCGAATTGCCTTTTTCTACTTCCACCTGTCTTTGCCGGGAAAATGGTTTGCTGCTTTCAACTGAGACTGCTCCAGGAGACCCTTGTGCCCACTGCCAACCCCTCCCCTGGAGTTACAACACCACTTCTAGGATTTGACTTGTCATGGAGCCTGAGCTAAGTACCTGCAAGATTTGCACAATGGCCTAGAGATCAAAGTCCTTCAACCGTCTGTCAGAATCCTAGGTGGCTTCTATCCTTACTAAAAAGCTGAAAGACTCACAGGAAATTTACAAACTGGAAGGGGTACTGTAGGTTACTTGATACACATTTGAATTTTTATCAAAAGACATAATTGGAAATCAAGCCCAGACAAACTATTTTACTAGACACCTTCACAAAGGATTAACTGAATCACCTTATAACTCAGCAACCCACTGTATTTAGAAACAGGATATTTTAGCTAGCTGTTAATTACTTTCCTGGCCTCTTTCCTTAGCCTTCTTCCGGTCTTTCACTTCTCCCCAATTAACTGCATCCCAGGCTCTGGAAGAATTTTACAAAACTCTCGGCCGGGCGCAGTGGCTCATGCCTATAATCCCAGCACTTTGGGACGCCGGGGTAGGCAGATCACAAGGTCAGGAGATCGAGACCATCCTGGCCAACATGGTGAAACCCCTGTCTCTACTAAAATACAAAAACTTAGCCGGGCATGGTGGCGCACGCCTGTGGTCCCAGCTACTCGGGAGGCTGAGGCGGGGGAATTGCTTGAACCCGGAAGGCAGAGTTGCAGTGAGCCAAGATCGCGCCACTGCACTCCAGCCTGGCTAGAGAGCGAGACTCTGATTTTACAAAACTCTTTTCACTGTTTCCCAAAATAGCCCAGAGAGGGAAATGTAAGTACTGGAAACAAAAGCCTTATTTAATTAGGTTAGGAAGGGGAACAAAAAATACTTAGAAGACAAAGAATTTTGAGGCTTTGAGATCTGTGCAAACTATATTATAATATATTTCAAAGTGCTTGGAAGAAAGGTGAATGGAAAATACAAGGCCTTTGGGCATGGTGGCTCACGCCTGTAATCCCAGCACTTTGGGAGGCCGAGGTGGGAGGACTGCTTGAGCCCAGGAGTTAAAGACCAGCCTGGGAAACGCAGCAAGATTCTACAAAAAAGAAAAAGAAAAATTAGCCAGGCATGGTGCTGCATACCTGTAGTTGCAGCTACTTAGGAGGCTGAGGTGGGAGGATCCCCTGAGGCCAGAAGGTCAAGGCTGCAGTGAGCCGTGATTGCACCAGCACACTCCAGTCTGGGCAACAGACTGAGACCTTGTCTCAAAAAATAAAGAAATACATAAAAAAGAATGCAAGAAATACAAAGCCTTATTATTTCATGTTCCTGTTTTTCAGTCTCATTTTTCAAGTTAGTCAGTAACTTCAATTTACAGTAGTTTTAACTACCTTAGGATTCTCTGTCTTACCCAGAGCTGCCCATTGACAGCCTAACTCTAAATCCAGCCCATTACCACTGCCCTGCCCCAATCCCTCTGATTCCCTGGGCACTCAAGCTCTAGTAAGACATTGGTAGCTCTACCCTGGGAGGATGTCCAGGGAGGCACACTGCAAAAAGCCCACTGAGAAATTCAGAAACCTGCAGCCATAAAAAGTAAATGAGATCATGTCCTTTGCAGGGACCTGGATGAAGCTGGAAGCCATCATCCTCAGCAAACTAACACAGGAACAGAAAACCGAACCCCACATGTTCTCACTCATAAGCAGGAGTTGAACAATGAGAACACATGGGCACAGGGAGGGGAACATCACACACTGGGGCCTGTCAGGGGGTGGGGGCAAGGGGAGGCAGAGCATTAGGACAAATAGCTAATACATGCAGGGCTTAAAACTGAGATGACAGGTTGATAGGTGCAGCAAACCACCATGGCACACGTATACCTGTGTAACAAACCTACACATTCTGCTCTTGTATCCCAGCACTTAAAGTACAATAAAAAATGTAATATATATATTTAAAAAATTAAAAACCTGGCTGGGCGTGGAGTAGGAGTTACAGAGGAAGAGTGGCGGGGAGGGGGTTACATTCCAGCAAAGAGCTAGGCCTCCCAGAGAGGATACAGCATCTTTGGGCATCTGTGAGGAGCTGAAAGACCAGGAAGGCTGGAACCCAGAGAGGTAGCCAGAAGCCCATCTAGGGCTGCTGTGTCAGCCCTTTATCCTAAGAGCTCTGGGAAGCCTTTGAAGGGTTGGGTGGAGCAGCTGACAGGCTTATATTTGCATTTTTTTTTAAGGTCACACTGGCTGTGATGTGGAAGAAGGGCTGGGAAACTAACCAGGAAACTACTGTAAGAGTCCAGGGGAGATAGTGCGGTGGGAATGGGGAGAACTGGGACCACAAGAGATGTGGGAAGTGAAATTGTCGGGCTTTGGTAATTGATAGTGTGAAAGATAAGAGAAAAGAAATGAAGGGGCTGGGCACAGTGGCTCATGCCTGTAATCCCAGCACTTTGGGAGGCTGAGGTGGGCAGATCACCTGAGGTCAGGAGTTCGAGACCAGCCTGGCCAACATGAAGAAACCCCGTCTCTACTAAAAATACAAAAAATTAGCCAGGTGTGGTGGTGGGCACCTGTAATCCCAGATACTTGGGAGGCTGAGGAAGTAGAATCACTTGAACCAGGGAGGCAGAGGTTGCGGTGAGCCGAGACTGCAGGACTGCACTCCAGCCTGGGCAACAGAACAAGACTCTGACTCAAAATAAATAAATAAATAAATAAATAAATAAATAAATAAATAAATAAAGAGATGAGGTCTCACTATGTTGACCAGGCTGGTCTCGAACTCCTGGCCTCACGCGATCCTCCCAACTTGGCCTCTCAAAGTGTTAGGATTACAGGTGTGAGCCACCATGCCCTGATATTAATAGTTTAATTTGAAAGCAAGGATGATAATTGTCCTTCCTTAAAACTAACCCCCTCTAGGCTGTGCATGGTGGCTCACACCTGTAATCCCAGCACTTCAGGAGGCTGAGGTGGGTGGATCACCTGAGGTCAGAAAGTTGAGACCAGCCTGGCCAACATGGTGAAACCTTGTCTCTACTAAAAATACAAAAATGAGCCGGGCATAGTGGTGCCTGCCTGTAACCCCAGCTACTTGGGAGGCAGGGGTTGCAGTGAGCAGAGATCACGCCACTGCACTCCAACCTGGTTGACAGAGTGAAACTCCATCTCAAAAAAAAAAAAAAGAAAGAAATTTTTTAAATAAAAAATTAGCCATATGTGGTGGTGCACTCCTATAGTCCCAGCTACTTGGGAGGCTGAGGTGGGAAGATGGTTTGAGGCCGTGAGCTGTGATTATGCCATTGCACTTCAGCCTAGATGACAGAGCAGAACTTTGTCTCAAAAAAACATAAAAAAAACACAAAAAGCAAAAAAGGACTAATGAAAGGCCACAAGATTAGGAGTATGGGAAGGGCCAGAATTCTGCTAAATGTCAGCATAGTTTCTATAATCCCTTATGCTCAGCAGTCATGTGGCCAGAGGCCACAGGATTTGTGACTTCCTCTTGCTCCTATAGATAACATCACTTGTAAAATTTAAGATTTGTCTTTTGAGATTTTTTTTTTTTTTGAGATGGAGTCTCCCTCTGTCGCCCAGGCTAGAGTGCAGTGGCGCGATCTCGGCTCACTGCAACCTCCACCTCCCGGGTTCAAGAGATTCTCCTGCCTCAGCCTCCTGAGTAGCTGGGATTATAAGAGTGTAACAGCGTGCCACCATGCCTGGCTAATTTTTGTATTTTTAGTAGAGACAGGGTTTCTCCATGTTGGTCAGGCTGTTCTCAAACTCCTGACCTCGTGATCCGCCCGCCTCATTCCAAAGTGCTGGGTTACAGGCGTGAGCCTGTAACTGATTTTTTTTTTTTCCAGATTTTCTGGCAACTGGCTGATCCTGCCCCAACCTGTGACTCATGCCTCAACCAGTCCTGTGGCCCCATCTGGAGGCCGACTCTGTGCAGGAGGACCATTTTCCACACCTCTATGATACCATCTCCAACCCATTCCCTGCCCCCTGCCCACCAACTTGTTCATAAAAAGCCTAGCCTCGGACTTCTCAGAGACACTGATTTGAGTAATAACTCCAACTACTGCATGGCCAGCCTTGAGTTAATAAAACTCTCTCCTGCAATATCACAGTCTCAGTGAACTGATTTTGTCTGTGCAACAGGCAGGAAGAACCCACGATGAGGCAATTACACCTTTGTTCATGCCCTTCCCATATAGAGTAAGTGTTTCTTCCTCTCTAGGTCTCAGAATCTTTCTGTAAAACAGAAGAATTGGCTAGGATGATCTCTAAGTCCTTTCCACTTGGAACTGTTCTGAGTCACAGTAGCCCCTGGTCCACACTGTACTCCAAATGAGGTTTCTCAGGGACAGTAACCCAGGAAAGGTGAGGTGGAAAGAGGAGAGGCAGCCAGGCCCTTCTGCATGCCTTCCTCTCTGCCTCCATTGCCATCCAATATTCCTAAGAGGTAGGGCCCAGGGTGTACCTGCCCTGGATAGGGGATGCTGGGGAAGTGCTGCCTGTCCCTCATTTTCACCACCTGAGCATCTCACCCCACCTTGATCCCTTTCGGGTTCAAGACTGTGCTGTCCCCAGTCCAAGACTGCCTCAGCACAGAAAGCACCCAGCAGAACACTGGCCCTGAGGATGCTTCCAGGGAGGCCAGAATGAGGTACGTTGAGTACTGCAGTCTGAGCTCAGGAGTCAGACTTCTAATTAGCTGGGCATAGTAGTGTATGCCTGTAGTCCCAGCAACTCGGGAGGCTGGGGCAGGAGGATCCCTTGAGCCCACGAGTTTTGAGGCTGCAGTGAGCTATGATGGCACCACTGCACTCCAACCTGGGCAACAGAGTGAGACCCTGCCTCTTAAAAAAAAAAAAAAAAAAAAAGAGGCTGGGTGCAGTGTGCAGTGGGTCATGTCTGTAATCCCAGCACCCAGCACTTTGGGAGGCTGCGGCAGGAAGATTACTTGAGCTCAGGAATTCCAGACCAGCCTGGGCAACATAGCGAGACCCCAGCTTAAAAAAAAATTCAAAATAAATTAATAAATAATAAAGGAGTCAGCCTCCTGAGGTTCATATTCCAGCTCTACCCTAGGTAACCATGCACTAGGACACTGCCTCTCTGAGCTTCAGGTCCTTCATCTGTGAAATGGGATGACAGCGGTACATAGGGTAGAGGATCTTCATGAGGGTTAAATGAGATAAAGTATGTAAAATACTCAATGTCTAGTGTAAAGGAAGATTTTGTTGTTGTTGTTGTTTTGAGACAAAGTCTCGCTCTGGCCCCCAGTCTGGGGTGCAGTGGCGTGATCTCAGGTCACTGCAACCTCCACCTCCCGGGTTCAAGTGATTCTCCCGTCTCAGTCTCACGAGTAGCTGGGATTACAGGTATGCGCCACCACGCCTGACTAATTTTTGTATTTTTGGTAGAGAAGGGGTTTCACCATGTTGGCCAGGCTGGTTTCAAATTCCTGACCTCAGATGATCTGCTGGTCTTGGCCTCTCAAAGTGTTGAGATTACAGGTGTGAGCCACCGTGCCTGGCCCGTAGAGGAAGTTTATGTATTGAGTCATTCATTCAACAAAAAGGTGTTAAGTGCCTCCTATGTGCCAAGTATTGGGAATTACAGCAACAAAACTGAGTTCATTGATCTTGCATTTAAACAAGGCGGTGGAGGGGGGAGGTGGAATAAACAAGAATAAATAAATAATGCCAGGCAGTAAAATTGCTACAAAAACATGATGCAGGAGAATAGGTGCTGGAGTAACAGAAAGAAGTGAGAGGGCAGGGGAGGTAGGCAGCAGACCCCTCTGATAGAGGAGTTCAGCAGAGACCTAAAGGAAGTGAGAAAAGAAGCCATGTAGATATCTGGTGGCAGGGGGTTTCAAGCAGGGGACCAGAAAGTGCCAAGGCCCCGAGGTTGAGGTTTGGCAAGACTGCAGGTGAGGCTGAAGCAGGACAGTGATAGCAATGAGGAGGAGAGGGGTGGAATATGTAGTCAGAGAGGAGCTAGAACATGTGGGGCCCTGTAGGCCATGAGAACATAGGCTTCTATGGCTCCTCAACATGGTGAAACCCCATCTCTACCAAAAATACAAAAATTAGCCCGGTGTGGTGGTGCATACCTGTAATCCCAGCTACTTGGGAGGCTGAGATAGGAGAATCACTTGAACCCAGGAGGCAGAGGTTGCAGTGAGCCAAGATCGTGCCACTGCACTCCAGCCTGGGAGACACAGTGAGACTATGTCTCAGAAAAAAAAAATAGAAATAAAGAAATAAATAAAGGCTGCTGCAAGAGGAAAAGACTATAGGAGAACAAGGGTGGAATCAGGAATCTCCAAATTAGAGGTAGATTGTAATGGTCCAGGCGAGAGATGATGGTGGACTGGACTAGCTGCAAAGGTAGAGAGAAGCATTATCTATAATAATTATCGCAGCCTTCACCATCCCACATCCCACCTCACCAACCACTTACCCAGGTGGCCACGTTGAACTGGTATCTTCGGAAAAGGTTGCTCATGTCAGCAGTGTAATGCCCCTGGTAGCCACGTGCCTCCCACCAGGGTGAGTAGCGGTGGTAAATGTTGAGGCCAATGCCCTGAATCATGCCATAAGCTTCTAGGACCTGCAGAGAAGAATCAATCCAAAGTCCTTCCGGGGTTGAGGGTGAAACACAACTTGCTATACTTCCTGGCCAACACCAATTGACACCAAGGTCCCAATTCCTCTGATGTCCCACATGATAGAAGCTGCCAGCAGAGCATATGGGACCTGAGCTTCTGTCCTGTGGCTTCCTAGAGGGAAGGGCAGTCTTGGAGCTGACTCCAGGAGACACATCCATGCCATACCACAGGGAGCTGGGAGACACTGCAGCCCTCCACCACCCAGGAGAGAGCCACTAAGTATCAACTAGCATCACCAAGGCAGTGGGCTGGATTATGCTGTACGGGCCAGGGCTCACAATTTTTCTTTCTTTCTTTCTTTCTTTTTTTTTTTTTTTAGAGACTGGGTCTCACTCTGTTGCCCAGGCTGGAGTACAGTGGCACAGTCATAGCTTACTGCCACCTCAAACTCCTGGGCTCAATCGATCCTCCTGCCTCAGCCTCCAAAGCAGCTAGGACTACAGACATGGGCCAACATGCCCAGCCAATTAAAAAAAAATTTTTTTTTTTGGCCGGGCACGGTGTCTCACGCCTGTAATCCCAGCACTTTGGGAGGCTGAGGCGGGTGGATCATGAGGTCAGGAGATTGAGACCATCCTAGCTAACACAGTGAAACCCTATCTCTACTAAAAATACAAAAAATTAGCCGGGCGTGGTGGTGGGTGCCTGAAGACCCAGCTACTCTGGAGGCTGAGGCAGGAGAATGGCGTGAACCCTAGAGGCGGAGCTTGCAGTGAGCCAAGATCGTGCCACTGCACTCCAGCCTGGGCGACAGAGCCAGACTCCACATCAAAAAATAAATAAATAAATAAATAAAATTTTTTTAGAGATAGGGTCTTGCTTTGTTGCCCAGGCTGGTCTCAAATCCTGGGCTCAAGCGACCCTCCTGCTAGGCCAATGTGCCTGGCCCCACAATTCTATTTAATTGGCCTATTTAGGTAGGGCCAAAGACTCTATGGTCCTGTCATCTCACCCATTGTCACTCTTAATAGTAGTAAAACTGTCTCCACTTGGGCATACACGGCAGAAAGTTTGCAAGGCTACATGGCAGCCAAACTTCTTGGCAGAAATCTGACGGTGCCCAGTAAACACTCCTAAAATGCTAATTCTTATTCGAAAACCAAATTTTGGTGGCCTGTAATGACTCCCCATGCACAATAATCTTTTGTCAAGGGTCAAATGGAAATCCAAGGCACTTGGAATATCTGGATTCCAGCAATGGATAATTAGAACTTGAGGGCCCAGCAGCAGGCAGGGAGCAGAGTTGAAATCACTGCTCTAGGGCAGTCTCCTCTAAATTGTCACCATTCCTTGTGAGACCTCCTGCTGCTTTTTTTTTTAATTTTTTGTTTTTGTTTTTGTTTTTGAGACAGTCTTGCTCTGTCGCCCAGGCTGGAGTGCAATGGCACAATCTTGGCTCACTGCAAACTCTGCCTCTGGGATTCAAGCGATTCTCCTGCCTTAGCCTCCCAAGTAGCTGGGATTACAGGCGCCTGCCACTGAGCCTGGCTAATTTTTGTATTTTTAGTAGAGACAGGGTTTCACCATGTTGGCCAGGCTGGTCTTGAATTCCTGGCCTCAGGTAATCCACCTACCTTAGCCTCCCAGAGTGCTGGGATTACAGGTGTGAGCCACTTCGCTGGCCTATTTATTTTTTAATTAATTAATTTATTTTTTTTGAGACAGTCTGGCTCTGTTGCCCAGTCTGGAGTGTAGTGGCATGATCTCTGCTCACTGCAACCTCTGCCTCCCGGGTCCCGGTTCAAGCAACTCTCTTGCCTCAGCCTCCAGAGTAGCTGCGATTACAGGCACGTGCCACCATGCCCAGCTAATTTTTTTTTTTTTTGTATTTTTAGTAGAGACAGGATTTCACCATGTTGGTCAGGCTGGTCTTGAACTCCTGACCTCGTGATCCGCCTGCCTTGGCCTCCCCAAGTGCTGGGATTACAGGTGTGAGCCACTGTGCCCTGCCTATATTTAATTTTTTTATAGAGACAGAGCCTCACTATGTTGACCAGGCAGGCTGGTCCCACCTCGGCCTCCCGAACTGTTGGGATTACAGGCATGAGCCACCATGCCTGGCCAGTAATACAATTTTTTTTTTATGGATTTTTGTTATTGTCATCCAGGCTGGAGTGCAATGGCGTGATCTCGGCTCACTGTAACCTCTGCATCCCTGGTTCAAGCAATTAACCTGCCTTAGCCTCCTGAGTAGCTGGGATTACAGGCACATGCCACCACGCCCAACTAATTTTTGTATTATTAGTAGAGACGGGGTTGCAACATGTTGGCCAGGCTGGTCTCAAACTCCTGACCTCAGGTGATCCACCCGCCTTGGCCTCCCAAAGTGCTGGTGTTACAGGCATGAACCACCATGCCCAGCCCAGAAATATAAAACTTTTTTTTTTGAGACAGAGTTTCACTCTTGTTGTCCAGGCTGGAGTGCAATTGTGAAATCTTGGCTCACCACAACCTCCACCTCCTGGGTTCAAGCAATTGTCCTGCCTCAGTCTCCCGAGTAGCTGGGATTACAGGTGTGTGCCATCACGCACGGCTAATTTTGTAATTTTAGTAGAGACAGGGTTTCACCATGTTGTCCAGGCTGGTTTTGAACTCTTGACCTCAGGTGATTCGCCTGCCTTGGCCTCACAAAGTGCTGGGATTACAGGCGTGAGCCACTGGGCCTGGCCTAGGAACATGATTTTTTTTTTGTTCTTGTTCTTTTTTTTTTTTTTGAGACGGAGTCTTGCTCTGTCACCCAGGCTGGAGTGCAGTGGCATGATCTTAGCTCACTGCAAGCTCTGCCTCCCAGGTTCATGCCATTCTCGTGCATCAGCCTCCCGAGCAGCTGGGACTACAGACGCCCGCCACCATGCCCGGCTAATTTTTTTTTGTATTTTTAGTAGAGACAGGGTTTCACTGTGTTAGCCAGGATGGTCTCGATCTCCTGACTTCGTGATCTGCCTGCCTCGGACTCCCAAAGTGCTGGGATTACAGGCATCAGCCACCACGCCCGGCTGGAACATGATTTTTTAAAACAACACTGTGGGCCCAACCAATCTGCCTGCTTCACAGTGTTGCTGTATGGTGCAAAGGAGGAAATGTCATGCTTTGTAAACTATGAATTGGAAGAGTGTGTGTGTATTTGTGTGTGTGTGCATGTGTGTGTGTGTGTGCATGTGTGCGTGTGTGTGTGTGTGTGTGTACAGCACTATGCACTGGGGTTCTGAGCTCCTCTTTTTCTTTTGCTCTTCTGACACCTGAGCAAGAAAGAGACACCCTGGCCAAGTGCAATAGCTCATGCCTGTAGTCCCAGCACTTTGGGAGGCCAAAGTGGGAGGATTGCTTGAGCCCAGCAGTTCCAGACCAGCCTGGGCAACATAGCGGAGACCCTGTCTCATTTTAATATTTTTGAGATGGAGTTTCACTCTTGTTGCCCAGGCTAGAGTGCAATGGCACGATCTTGGCTTACCGCAACCTCCGCCTCACGGGTTCAAGCAATTCACCCGCCTTAGCCTCCTGAGAAGCTGGAATTACAAGCATACACCACCACACCTGGCTAATTTTGTATTTTTAGTAGAGATGGGGTTTCTCCATGTTGGCCAGGCTGGTCTTGAACTCCTGACCTCAGGTGACCCGCCCGCCTCAGTCCCCCAAAGTGCTGAGATTACAGGTGTGAGCCACTGCTCTCGGCCGAGACTCCCTCATTCTAACCTTCCTGTGACTCTGAGGAGAGGGGGTGACTCACCGCTCTCAGGCAGTGGTTCTCTGTGTTGCTGAAGTTGCAGGTGCCCTCAGAGCAGCAGTAGATGTGAGGAATGGCCAGAGGCTATGGACAAAAGTCTGGAAAGTCAGACAGTGACAGCAGGGGGCCACTGGACCCACCTCCATTCCCATGGAAGTCACCCCATTTCCTGCCATTTCTAAATTGGCCTGCATGGCGGCATCACCTGTCTCTGACTTAAGGATGGCAGAGAGCCACCTGCCTTACAGGTAGATGTACCACAAGGTGCCAAAGATAAGGACTGGAAGGAGACAGAACTTATTCTTTGCCAACGAGGCCATTGTAACCAAATTCCATCAGTGTCATTGGCTTAAAACCAGGAGGGACAAGTAAATGCCTCTACTTGATCATGACAGTGATAATGACTCACCTTGACTGAGTGCTCGCTGTGTGCCACACTCTACCTTGAGTCCTTTATTTTAATTGTCTTCTTTATTTACTGTAACCCTGTGAAGCAGGTACTACTCTGTGCATTACCATTTTTTTTTTTTTTTTTGAGACAGAGCCTCACTCCATTGCCTAGGCTGGAGTGCAGTGGCACGATCTCGGTTCACTGCAACCTCCGCCTCCCAGGTTTAAGCGAGTCTCCTGCCTCAGCATCCCAAGTAGCTGGGATTACAGACATGCATCACCATGACTGGCTAATTTTTGTATTTTTAGTAGAGACAGGGTTTCACCATGTTGGCCAGGCTGGTCTCAAACTCCTGGACTCAGGTGATCCACCTGCCTCAGCCTCCCAAAGTGCTGGGATTACAAGCATGAACCACCATGCCTGGCCTGTCAATCCCATTTTGCAGACAAGGAAATTGAGGTAAACGGATGGTAAAGAGCTTGCTCAAGGCCACAGTCAGTCAGAGGCAGTGCCAGGATTCAAACCCAGGTTGGTGTGATGTCCAGACCTAACACTTGTAGCCATTTGGCTATATTGCCTCCTGCAGGGTTAACACAGAGCCATACTCAGAACCTCAGAGCAGCTGACACCTTTCAGATTGCAGTAGAGGGGAATGAGGATCAAGGTCAGAGATTGATCACTATCCTCTGAATATATCCCCACTCTTCCCATTGATCTCTGTCTCCCATGTTCTCATTCTCTAGTCCATGTGTTGCTGTCATCTCTGCCTGGACCACAGCAGGCCCTGACTGGTCTCCATCTCTGTACTCTGCCCTGCTCCTCCATAAACTATCCTCCTGCTAAAATCCTTCTAATGGCTCCCTATAGAGTCTTTGCATGGCTTACAAGGCCCCCACCTGCCACAAGAGCCTCTTTCTTACTGTCCATCCCCAACTTGAGGTGGGTCTCATTCTGTCACCCAGGCTGGAGTGCAGCGGCATGATCACTGCTCACTGCAGCCTTCACCTCCCCAGGCTCAGGTAATCCTCCCCTTCAGCCTCCTGAGTAGCTGGGACTACAGGTGTGCACCACCACACCCGGCTAATATTTGTATTTTTTGTATTTTTTTATTTTTTGAGACTGAGTCTCACTCTGTCACCAAGCTGGAGTGCAGTGGCGGGATCTTGGCTCACTGCAACCTCCGACTCCCTGGTTCAAGCAATTCTCCTGCCTCACCCTCCCAAGTAGCTGAGATTACAGCCACGCGCCACCACGCCCAGCTAATTTTTGTATTTTTAGTAGAGATGGGGTTTCACCATGTTGGCCAGGATGGTCTCGATCTCCTGACCTCGTGATCCACCCAACTCGACCTCCCAAAGTCCTGGGATTACAGGCATGAGCCACCACACTCAGCCAATTTTTTTTGTTTTTTTTTTTTTGGCAGAGTTTTGCTCTGTTGCCCAGGCTTGAGTGCAGTGTTGTGATCTTGGCTCACTGCAACCTCTGCCCCCCCAGGTTCAAGTGATTCTCCTGCCTCAGCCTCTTTAGTAGCTGGGATTATAGGTGCCCGCCACCACACCCGGCTGTTTTTTTTTTTTTTTTGTATTTTTAGTAAAGACGGGGTTTTGCCATATTGGCGAGGCTGGTCTCGAACTCCTGACCTCAGGTGATCCACCTGCCTCGGCCTCCCAAAGTGTTGGGATTACAGGTGTGAGCCACTGCGCCTGGCCCTTGCCTTGCTTTTCATAGCAACCTTGGAGGTAAGTCCTCATTATTATTCTTATTTCTCAGATGAGGAAACTGAAGCTCAGACAGGTTTGTTTGCTCAAGGTCACATAGCTATATGTGACCATATATATGCTATATGCCATATGCTATATGGGCTCTGCTATATGTCAGAGCCCAAATTTGAACTAATCAGTCTGTTTCCGGGGCACATATTATGCTAAACTTCTTTCCCTACATGATGTAAATCCTCACAACACTAAGTTTATTGTTGCCCATTTCATAGATGAGGAAACTAAGGCCGGCAGAGGTTAAGGAACAGCTGGGAGGTGTTGGAGATGAGACTTGTATGGCCTCTGGCTCATCCAGGCGTGTGAACTGACTGCAGCTTTTAGTATGCTCAGGATGGTTTCCTTTCCATGGGATTTTACTCATATGATCTGAAATTAAGGTCCACGAGGCAATGGATTGGTGAAAACACTGGGACCCAGAGATGGGGAGTGACTGGCCAAGGTGATATCAACTAAGACCCAGCTCTGTCGCCTAGGCTGGAATGCAGCGGCACGATCTCGGCTCACTGCAACCTCCTCCTCCCGGGTTCAAGCAATTCTCCTGCCTCAGCCTCCTGAGTAGCTGGGATTACAGGCGCACGCCACCTCGCCCGGCTAATTTTTATATTTTTTGTAGAGACGGGGTTTCACCGTGGGCATTTTTTTTAAAAGAGACAGGGACCTGGCTATGTTGCCTACGCTAGTCTTGAACTCCTGAGCTCAAGTGGTCTTCCCGCCTCGGCACCCCAAAGTGCTGGGACTACAGGCATGAGCCACCATATCTGGCCCAGGCTTTAGTTTTTTTCTTAATTTTTTACAAACTTGCCCCACTCTCTCTTCATTTTAAAGGGAACTTATGCTCCTGTTTGGCTGGGCTGGGCTGCTTTGATTAAATCTCATGCAGGGCTGCTCCCAGAAAGCAGAGATCCTCTCTAACGGGAGCTAAACCTAACTTCACATGGTTTAGTTAAGATGAGAGGAGTCTTAGCCAGGCACAGTGGCTCACACCTGTAATCCCAGCACTTTGGGAGGCTGAGGCAGGAGGATCACTTGAGGTCAGGAGTTCGAGACCAACCTGGCCAACATGACGAAACCCTGTCTCTACTAAAAATACAAAAATTAGCTGAGCGCAGTGGTGGGCCCCTGTAATCCTAGCTACTCAGGAGGCTGAGGCAGGAGAATCACTTGAACCCGGGAGGTGCAGGTTGCAGTGACCCGAGATCGTGCCATTGCACTCCAGCCTGGACGACAGAGCGAGACTGTCTCAAAACCAAACAAACAAACAAACAAAAAGATGAGAGAAGTCTTCCAAGGCCCAGCCCAGTGCTAAATGAACCCTCCTTCTTTTCACTGCTGGTCTGCCCTCAGCAGGATGTAGGCCATAAAGAAAGAACCACTTTTTTAAGCCTAAACATCTTCTTGCTGTGTAACTTCACAACACTTGCTTCCCTCTCTGGGTCTCAGGTTACCTTTTTCTGTAGTGGGAGGGTGGCAGCCAATGACTGCTGAGGTCTTTCTGACTAGGAAATCCTATGGCTGCAGTTGAAGCTTGCCACTAATGATCCTGCAGACACCACCATCCATAGCTGCCACCACAACCCATATGGCTGGCGGGGCTGAAGGCAGGCCAGGAACCAGCTGCAAGATCTGGGGGAGCATGAGTCCTCAGCGAGGACCCCAGAAAACAAAGGGAAGCCAATGTTCTCTTGCCAACACAGGGCTGCCTCCCAAGAGGCCCACTTCCAGGCAGCTGGGCAGCTTCCTGGCCACAGGACTGGCTGCATAATGTGCAGGGCCCTTGTTCAAGAGTTAGGAAGAATTTAGGCTGGGCTCGGTGGCTCATGCCTGTAATCCCAACACTTTGGGAGGCCGAGGCGGGCGGATCACTTGAGGTCAAGAGTTCGAGGCCAGCCTGGCCAACATGGCGAAACCTCATCTCTACTAAAAATACAAAAATTAACTGGGTGTGGTGGCTGGCGCCTATAATCCCAGCTACTCGGGAGGCTGAGGCAGGAGAATCGCTTGAACTCGGGAGGCCAGGGTTGCTATGAGCCAAGATTGGGTCAGTGAACTGTAGCCTGGGCGACAGAGCAAGACTCTGTCTCAAAAAAAAAAAAAAAAAAAAAAAAATTCAAGAGCATTAAACCAAGAGCAGGGACATTCTAAACAGAGGTCCCTGAGTGACTGCGTGGGTCACATACCCATGACATTTACCCTGCCTGGCCACCCCAAGACACAGTACCAAAGGATCACTTTCTTTCACTTTCACAGGTTTTTTGTTTGTTTGTTTTGTGACGGAGTCTCACTCTGTCGCCCAGGCTGGAGTGCAGTGGTGCCATCTCGGCTCACTGCAGGCTCCACCTCCTGGGTTCACGCCATTCTCCCGCGTCAGCCTCCCGAGTAGCTGGGACTACAGGAGTCCGCCACCACGCCCGGCTAATTTTTTGTATTTTTAGTAGAGACGGGGTTTCACCGTGTTAGCCAGGATGGTCTCGATCTCCTGACCTTGTGATTTGCCCGCCTCAGCCTCCCAAAGTGCTGGGATTACAGGCTTGAGCCACTGCGCCCGGCCGATCACTTTCACAGGTTTTTACAGTCCCGAGGGACTCTTCATTAAAGCCTCCGTGCTCTGGCTGAGTGGTGGTCCTGGCTGCAGCTCCACAGAGGAGGGAGAGAATTCTGGCTGGGAAATGGCCCTACTGGGTGAGGCAGGGTCTTCTTCTCAGGGATGAAGGTCATCTGGCCTACTTTTTCCTTCTTACAAGCCACAGCTATGCTGAAGGTCCCAAAGGAGCTCCGATTGACCTAGTGCCAGGCTGTAAAGGCTGCGGGCAAGGCAGACTCAGGACTCCAGAGCCAGAAACTCTGGAGGACGTTAGAAGAGCAAGCAGCTCAGTGTGGCAGAATGAGCCCAGCCCAGCCAAATAGGAGCATAAATTCCCTTTAAAATGAAGAAAGGGTGGGGCAAGATTGTAAACAATTAAGAAAAAAACTAAAACCTGGTCCAGGCATGGTGGCTAATGCCTTGCCTGTAGTCCTGGCAGTTTGGGATACCAAGGTGGGAGGATCACTTGAGCTCAGGAGTTCAAGACCAGCCTGGGCAACATAGCCAGACCCCTGTCTCTTTTATTTTTTTTTTTGAGACGGCGTCTCACTCTGTCGCCCAGGATGGAGTGCAGTGGCACCATCTCGGCTCACTGCAAGCTCCGCCTCCTCTGTTCACACCATTCTCTTGCCTCAGCCTCCTGAGTAGTTGGGACTACAGGCGCCTGCCACCACGCCCGGCTAATTTTTTGTGTATTTAGTAGAGACGGGGTTTCACCATGTTAGCCAGGATGATCTTGATCTTTTGACCTCGTGATCCGCCCGCCTCGGCCTCCCAAAGTGCTGGGATTACAGGCGTGAGCCACCGCACCCAGCCTAGACCCCTGTCTCTTAAAAAAAAAAAAAAAAAAATTGGCCAGACGCGGTGGCTCACACTTGTAATCTCAGCACTTTGGGAGGCTGAGGCAGGCAGATCACGAGGTCAGGAGTTTGAGACCAGCCTGACCAACATGGTGAAACCCCATCTCTACAAAAAATACAAAAATTAGCCAGGCGTGGTGGCCTGCACCTGTAATTCCAGCTACTCAGGAGCTATTCTACTGAGGCAGGAGAATCGCTTGAACCCGGGAGGTGGAGGTTGCAGTGAGCCAAGATCATGCCACTGCACTCCAGCCTAGGCAACAGAGTGAGACTCTGTCTCAAAAAAAAAAAAAGGCCAGGCGGGTGGCTCACGCTTGTAATCCCAGCACTTTGGGAGGCTGAGGCGGGCGGATCACCTGAGGTTATGAGTTCAAGACCAGCCTGACCAACATGGAGAAACCCCATCTCTACTAAAAATACAAAAAAATTAGCCGGGCATGGTGGCCCATGCTTGTAATCCCAGCTACTCAGGAGGCTGAGGCAGGAGAATCGCTTGAACTCAGGAGGTGGAGGTTGCAGTGAGCAGAGATTGCGCCATTGCACTCCAGCCTGGGCAACAAGAGTGAAACTCCATCTCAAAAAAAAAACACCAAAAAAAAAAATCAACAACCAAAACCTGATTACCCAGCAGAGCACCCTGGCAGGATGCACTTGATAGAGTGGTGTGTTCTGTGTTCTGGTGGCCACACCTGCAGTGCACACACCCTGGGCCAGCCCAAATGCTGAGGACGTTCCAACACTGAGCTCACTTAATTCACCCAACAAACTTGTCCGATGTTTATTTTTGTTTTCACCATGTAGAAGTAGAAATTTGGACTCAGAGAGGTAAAGTGTCTTTCCTGAGGTTTTTTATGCAATGCGTTTACAGCTCACTGATCAAATTATAATGCACAGGAAGTGTTATACACAGTGCTAAGTGCATACATAGTAAATGCTTGAGTAAGGTTAGTTATATAAGATCCTACTGACTGGAAATGGTAAAACCAGGATTCAAATTCAGACTTATCCAATTCCACCTCTGCTCTATTTCAAATATCAAGACTGTCCCAGTGTCCAAGCCCTGTTTGGTTAAACCTCAGTTAATTTGAACTCAGCTCTCTGGAGCTCACAATTATCTTGATTTTTTTTTCCCCATGGGCTTTCAATCCTTAGGAGAAAAAAAAACAAATCCTCAAGACACAAACTAGTATTCAGTACAAGCCAGAGCTTGTACTGAAGTGAAGGTCCCCAAGGAGCTCTAATCGACCTAGAGCCAGGAAGTTAGGGTTGGAAGCAAGGCATTCAAACTAGAATTAGTCTATAGGCTGGGCGTGGTGGCTCAAGCCTGTAAACCCAGCACTTTGGGAGACTCAGATGACTTGAGGTCAGGAGTTCGAGACCAGCCTGGCCAACATGGTGAAATCCCATCTTTACTAAAAATACAAAAATTAGCCAGACATGGTGATGTGTACCTGTAATCCCAGCTACTCAGGAGGCTGAGGCACAAGAATTGCTTGGACCCAGGAGGCAGAGGTTGCAGTGAGTCAAGATCACACACTGCATTCCAGCCTGGGAGACAGAGCAAGACTTTGTCTCAAAATAAAAACAAACACAAACTAGAATTAGTCTATGAAGGCAACTTCTCAGGAACGTTCTGTGGTTAGTACTCACTCTGGCCCATTGCCTGCACCTTCTCGGTTCTTGAGCCTAGACAGGGGTGACACGTCATAGGTGCTCAAAAACAACTTTTGCAGGAAAGGAAGCTCTTTTCCAGACCTTAAAGCAGCCAAGAAAGATTTGGTTTTATTCATGAGGTTTGTTCAAGAAGAAAAGATTTATTTCTTTTTTTAGAGATGGGTCTCACTGTGTTGTCCAGATTGGCCTCAAACTCCTGGGCTCAAGGGATCCTCCCGCCTCAGCCTCCTAAGTAGCTAGGACTACAGGTGCATGCCACCACACCTGGCTAGAAGAAAGGATTTCTAACACATGTTAAGATTATTTATTTTAAACATCAAGGAATATACAGGTTAGAAGACTAAACCCATATCAATCAGGAATTCAGTTACATACAGTGGTCATTAGGCTCTGGTTATTTGAGGTCCAGCTGTATTAGCGCACAACCCGGAAGCCTCCCTTATACTAATACTCATGGTGCCAGCCTCCCTTATACCAATATCTTGGGTGTGGCTGAAGAGAAGATAGAGTCAGCTTCTCCCTGGGCTTCTGTTAACCATGAGCAGCCAGACAAGTAAGGAGGATGTTGGGATTTGTGAACTGCTAAAGTTTGTGGTGAAGCTGAGAGGCTGCATCTGTCTCACCTCACTCCCTGCACAGCCCTTGGCTAGTGTTCCTGGTCAGTCCCATTCCCTTTGTCAGCCTGAGCTTCTGAGTAGAGGCTGATTGGACAGCTGGCTCTGACGCAAATCTCTGCTCAGCTACTGGCATTTCAGTGCCCCAGGGTGAACGCTAGGTTGCAGGGAAGCAAAGGGGTGGGATGGAATTGGCTGATTTGGTTCAAGGTCAATTGCAGCTCTTTAAAACCCAGATGTTCCCCGGGGGCAGGTAGGGCATATACATGAGAAAAGCTGCCAGGTTGGAATGGTAGTGAACTTGAGGGCAGGGGTCCATCCAACTCTAGCTCATGGTTTCTAAGCAGGAATGAGGACTAGGGTTGCTGGAAATTCCAATTTCTCAGAGAAGCCAGACATTCAGATACTTTTTTTTTTTTTTTTTGAGACAGTCTTGTTCTGTTGCCCAGGCTGGAGCACAGTGGCATGATCTCGGCTCACTGCAACCTCTACCTCCCAGGCTCAAGAAATTTTTGTACCTCAGCCTCTTGAGTAGCTGAAATTATAGGCACATGTCACTATGCCTGGCTAATTTTTGTATTTTTAGTAGAGATGGGGTTTCACCATGTTGGCCAGGCTGGTCTTGAACTCCTGGCCTCAAGTGATCCACCTGCCTTGGCCTCCCAAAGTGCTGGGATTACGGGCGTGAGCTACCACACCCAGCCTGGCTTAGTTTTGCTTTTTTGTTTTTTTCTGTCTTTTCCTTTTTTTGTTTTTTTTTTTGGGGGGGTGGGGATGGAGTTTCACTCTTGTGCCCAGGCTGGAGTGCAGTGGCACAATCTTGGCTCACTGCAACCTCCACCTCCCACATTCAAGTGATTCTCCTGCCTCAGCCTCCTGAGTAGCTGGGATTACAGGCACGTGCCATCATGCCTGGCTCATTTTGTATTTTTAGTAGAGATGGGGTTTCACCATGTTGGCCAGGCTAGTCTTGAACTCCTGACCTCAGCTGATCCACCTGCTTTGGCCTCCCAAAGTGCTGGGATTACAGTCATGAGCCACCGTGCCCAGTCCCGCTCTTAGTTTTGTTTTGTTTTGTTTTTTTAGACGGAGCCTCACTCTGTCGCCTGGGCTGGAGTGCAGTGGCGCGATTTCGGCTCACTGCAAGCTCTGCCTCCTGGGTTCACGCCATTCTCCTGCCTCAGTCTCCTGGGTAGCTGGGACTACAGGCGCCTGCCACCACGCCCGGCTAATTGTTTTTGCATTTTTAGTAGAGACGGGGTTTCACTGTGTTAGCCAGGATGGTCTTGATCTCCTGACCTCGTGATCTGCCCGCCTCAGCCTCCCAAAGTACTGGGATTACAGTCGTGAGCCGCCGTGCCCGGTCCCGCTCTTAGTTTTTAAATGCTTCTTCTTCTCCCCTTTCCCTACCTTCCTCTTCTTCC
Organism: Homo sapiens; assembly: GCF_000001405.40. NCBI lineage: Eukaryota > Metazoa > Chordata > Mammalia > Primates > Hominidae > Homo > Homo sapiens. Next base: position 58,654,231 of record NC_000016.10, read on the forward strand.
TCTTCTTTCTTTCTCCCTTCTTTCTTTTTTCTTAGTCTTTCTTCTCTTCCAGTTTATCTTTTTCCCCCAAAACATCAGCACACAACGGCTTCTATTTACAACCTCTGGGGAGAAGAAGGCTGAGGACAATTTAATCAGCCAGAGCTGGAAGGAACCACAGAATCTCACCATCTCACAAATGTGGGACCAGCGCAGAGGGACCTGCCCAAGGTCAGGTAGTGGTGAGTGCTGGAGCCAGCGCTGGAAGCCAGGGCCCAGGCTCCATCCAAAAGGAGGATTTCAGTCCCTGAGGCTGAATTAGAGGGGAGAGGTTTGCCGCAGAGAGACTGGAGTTAGTTGTAAAGAACTTCCCAGCAGCGAAGATGGGGGAACTGAGAGGCAGCGGGAAAAGCCATGCTCTCCCTCGGGCCAGGCTGGTGCTTTATTTCATGGAGATTGCACCAGCCCCGCAGACTTGGTCACTTGTCTGGTCTGCTGTCTGTCTTCCCATCTGCTATGTGCAGCATCTGCCTCATTTCTTAGAGTGTGCCTTGTACACACTGAGCATTTGCTTTGGGGGACCTTGCCCTTTTACTATTTTTAAAGTTTGCCCCCGTTTGGCCCTGTTCCCAGTGCAAAGAGTCCTGATGGGAGCTACAGAAAGCAAGTGCCTTTGTTCTATGGTGAATGGCTGTGTCTCAGCTAAGAAGATGAAAGGAAATAATCATTTGTCTACAAATGCTGGGAGCTGGGGTCCTCACAGAATGCAGTGTTTTCCTCTCACCTTAGCTTCTTTGGCTGCAGAGGGCCTCTAAGCTAAGATTCCATTCCAGGTGGGTCCCACCACAGTCTCTCCTGGCAGCTCCTCCTTGAGTCCTTTTCCCATGACCACAGCCCTACCTGCGGGGAGAGAGCTGGGGGAATAGAGGAGGAGTAGATACTGCAGACTCTACCCATGGGCAGCTAGCTGCCGTTTTGTGCTTTTTCTGAAATAGGTCACTGCTGAGTCTGTTCTTCTGAGGAAAAAGGACAGAGAAGGATCTCAGGGTTTTCACCTCATATCCACATCTTTCCATTCCCTGGATTGAGCATCAAGGACATAGGCGGAGACAGAGGCTCAGCCAGCTAAATATTAACCATTAGACTAGGAGGCTGGAGGCCTGGCTTCCAGGCTGCAATTAACTGCTGGTGACCTTGATAAGCCACCTTCCCTCACTGGGCCTCAGTTTTCTTCTCATTTTAATAAGAATGTTGGATTAGGGGCCGGGCACGGTGGCTCACGCCTGTAATCCCGGCACTTTGGAAGCCAAGGCGGGTGGATCACCTGAGATCGGGAGTTTGAGACCAGCCTGGCCGTCATGATGAAATCCCATCTCTACTAATAATACAAAAATTGGCTGGCAGTGGTGGCAGGTGCCTGTAATCCCAGCTACTAGGGAGGCTGCAGGCAGGAGAACTGCTTGAACCTGGGAGGTAGAGGTTACAGTGAGCCAAGATTGTGCCATTGCACTCCAGCCTGGGCAACAAGAGTGAAACTCCGTCTCCAAAAAAAAAAAAAAAAAAAAAAAAGAATGTTGGATTAAATCAGGTTCCCAGATTTGAGGCTTTCATGGATAAATAAAATCTCTATCCCCATCAAAAAAAGAAAAGGTTGAGATTTATTTATTTATTTTTTCTGAGACGGAGTTTCGCTCTGTTGCCCAGGCTGGAGTGCAATGGTGCGATCTCAGTTCACTGCAACCTCCTCCTCCCGGGTTCAAGCCACTCTCCTGCCTCAGTCTCCCGAATATCTGGGATTACAGGCATGTGCCACCACACCCGGATAATTTTTTACATTTTTCTTAAAGACGGGGATTCCCCATGTTGGCCAGTCTGGTCTCCAACTCCTGACCTCAAGTGATCCGTCCGCCTCAGTCTCCCAAAGTGTTGAAATTACAGGCATGAGCCACGGTGCCTGGCCATAATCAAAACTCTTGAATCAAAACTAGGACTAGGCCAGGCGTGATGGCTCATGCCTGTAATTCCAGCACTTTGGGAGGTCGAGGCGGGTGGATCACTTGAGGTCAGGAGTTCAAGCCAGCCTGGCTAACATGGTGAAACCCCATCTCTAATAAAAATACAAAAAATAATCAGGTGTAGTGGTGCATGCCTGTAATCCCAGCTGCTTGGGAGGCTGAGGCAGGAGAATCCCTTGAACTGGGGAGGCAATGGTTGCAGTGAGCCAAGATGATGCCACTGTACTCCAGCCTGGGCAACAGAGCAAGACTCCGTCTCAAAAAAAAAAAAGGCCTGGCACAGTGGCTCACGCCTGTAATCCTAGCATTTTGGGAGGCCGAGTTGGGCAGATCACGAGTTCAGGAGTTCAAGACCAGCCTGGTCAACATGGTGAAACCCCATCTCTACTAAAAATACAAAAATTAGCCGGACATGGTGGCACACCTGTTAATCCCAGCTACTCGGGAGGTTGAGACAGGAGAATAGCTTGAACCAGGGAGGGAGAGGTTTCAGTCAGCCAAGAGTGAACCGAGATTGTGCCACTGCACTCCAGCCTGGGGCACAGAGGAAGACTCCGTCTTGGGGCGGGGTGGGGGGCAGGAAATAAAGAAAGACACATGGATGAATGGATGAAGGACAGATGGATACATGAATGGATGCATGGATACATATGTGCATGAACTGGCTGAATGGAATCCAGGGTGACCCGGGAAGAGAAAAGTCAAGAGCTGGCCATAGGATCACCAACCCAAAGCACAGCCCATGAAATCTCAAAATGGGAATGCTGAAAGGTTGGAGAAGCTCCCGGCTTTCAGAGGAGGAGACTGTAGGACTTGCTCCTGGCTCAGAGGTCATTCATGAGGGAGCTAGGAAGGAGTTCAGAGTCCTCTGGCGTTCCTTATCTTTTTATTGACAGAGTGTAATTCTATGCTCCTTCTTTGCCCTTATATCACCCTTTTTTCTTCTTTTTTTTTTTTTTTTTAGACAGGGCCTCACTCTGGTCACCCAGGCTGGAGTGCAGTGGTGCAATCTTGGCCCGCTGCAGCCTTGACTTTCCAAGCTCAGGTGATCTTTCTACCTCAGACTCCCAAGTAGCTGGGACTACAGGCGTGTGCCACCATACCCAGCTAATTGTAGTTTTAGTAGAGATGAGGTTTCACCATGTTGCCCAGGTTAGTCTTGAACTCTTGGGCTCAAGTGACTCACCTACCTTGGCCTCCCAAAATGCTGGGATTACAGGTGTGAGCTGCTGTGCCAGGCCCTCTTGTATCATCTTAATCGTTTTATTTTAAACAAATGAATCCCCTTCCCTGTCTCCCATAATAAAATGCAGTTTATCGAGGATGAGGCTATGACTTGAAAACTTTTTTTTTTTTTTTTTTGAGATGGAGTCTTGCTCTGTCACCCAGGCTGGAGTGCAATGGTGCAATCTCAGGTCACTGCAACCGCCGCCTCCCAGATTCAAACGACTCTCGTGCCTTGGCCTCCCAAGTAGCTGGGATTACAGACGCGTGCCACCATGCCCAGCTGATTTTTGTATTTTTAGTAGAAATGGGGTTTCACCACGTTGCCCAGGCTGGTCTCAAACTCCTGGCCTCAAGTGATCCACCCACCTAGGCCTCCCAAAGTGTTAGGATTACAGGCATGAGCCACTGCGCCCCACCCCATTCTCATTTTTGACCAACAACCAAAGCCCAAGGGATGTCATTCAGTTTTAGCTGGTGGCTGGGAATCAGGTTCCTGGTCCAACCACTGACCCTCCAGGAGATGGAACTAGTCACATCCCCAGCAAGACCCTCTTTCTCCACGTTGGGCCTTCAGAAGAGACCTCACTGAGTGTGCAGGGTGCAACTGTAGTTAGTGGGATGTCAGTGAAATGACACATGACCCAGGTCCTCTTTTCCAGGAACTAGGGAAGCTTGCTATTTAGAGTGATGTGAGGTGAATCCTCTTATGTGAAGAATTCCATCCTGATTTACTTAAGGTACTCTTTGATGCCAAATGTAACCTTTTAAAAGAATAACAACAGTCAATGGTTTATTTATTTATTTTTTCATTTATTTCTTCAATCATCCCTCATTATGGGCAAGGTACTTTCTATGAATTCCATATAATTCTTGCAAAAACCCTTTGATCCAAGTATTTGTGTGTATTTTCCAGATTATGTGCTAGACAAAATGGCCACAAGTTCTTTGTCACTTCTCTCTTGAAGAGATGGGGTCTAGCTCCCCTCCACTTGAATCTTGCTGGGCTCTGTGACTCACTTGCCTGAGAGAATGCTACGCAAGTGGCATTCTGAGACTCCTGTAACTGAAGATGCTTCTCTCTGGGCCTCTTGAAATGCTCACTATTGGGCTGGGCATGGTGGCTCACACCTGTAACCCCAGCACTTTGGGAGACTGAGGTGGGCAGATTGCTTTGCACTCAGGAATCCAAGATCAGCCTGGGCAACATGGCGAGACCCCATCAAGAAAACACAAAAGACCCCTACAAAAAAAATACAAAAAATTAGCTGGGTGTGGTGGCATGCCCCTTGTAGTCCCAGCTACTCGGGAGGCTGGGGTGGGAGGATCAGGGAAGCAGAGGTTGCAGTGAGCCCAGATCACACCACTGTTGGGACTCTCCCAAGAATGCAGCCACCACACTATGAGAAGTTGAAACCACATGGAGAGATCATGTGCAGATGCTCCAGATAACAGCTCAGGCGAGTTCCCAGCCAGCAGTCAGCAAGTGAGTGCGCCATCTTGGACACTGTGCCCCAAGTAAGCCTCCACATGGCTGCAGCTCTAGCTCTAACTAACACTACACAGAAGAGAAGAACCACCCAGCTGATCCTGGTCAACCCACAGGATTGTTACGAAAGTAAACTTGTGTTTAAAGCCTCTAAGTTTTGGGGTGGTTTATTATGCAACAATAGAGAACTGGAGAGATGAGAAAGCTAAGCATCAGATTACTCCTGTTTTTGCAGCTGATGAAATTAAGATCCAGGGAAGTTAAATAACTTACTTGAGGTTACATAGCTAAGGAGCCAATGGAGGAATTAGTTGGGAGTCAGACTTTGATCTTTCGGTCTCCAAAGCCCAAGTTTTATGCATTCTGCTCAGCGGGCTTTTCTCCATATCTGACTCCCACACCAAGTGCTTACAAGTATGTGGGACATTAGGATGAGGATGTCATTTTTTGTTGTTGTTGTTGTTGTTGTTTAAATAATTTTCTTTTCTTTTCTTTTTTTTGAGACGGAGTCTCGCTCTGTCACCCAGGCTGGAGTGCAGTGGCGCGATCTCGGCTCACTGCAAGCTCCATCTCCCGGGTTTACGCCATTCTCCTGCCTCAGCCTCCCCAGCAGCTGGGACCACAGGCGCCTGCCACTACGCCCGGCTAATTTTCGTGTTTTTAGTAGAGATGGGGTTTCACCGTGTTAGCCAGGATGGTCTCCATCTCCTGACCTTGTGATCCACCTGCCTTGGCCTCCCAGAGTGCTGGGATTACAGGCATGAGCCACCGCACCCGGCTTTTTTTTTTTTTTTTGAGATGGAGTCTCACTCTGTCTCCAGGCTGGAGTGCAGTGGTGCGATCTCGGCTTACTGCAACCTCTGCCTCCCAGTTTTGAGCAATTCTCCTGCCTCAGCCTCCCAAGTAGCTGGGACTACAGGCATGTGCCACCATGTGCAGCTAATTTTTGTATTTTTAGTAGAGAAGGGGTTTCACAATGTTGGCCAGGATGGTCTTGATCTCTTCACCTCGTGATCTGCCTGCCTCGGCATCCCAAAGTGCTGGGATTACAGGCGTGAGCCTCCGCGCCCGGCAATTTGTATTATTTTCAACCACCCACCTGCTAGCCCCAAGCCTCACCTTTGCCTTCCATGTGCCTGAGCAGGGCCACCTGCATTGGACTGTGACGTCAGTGAGATATGAACGTTTATGGTGTTAAGCCACTGGGATTTTAGGATTTATCTGTAGCATCTCTTAACTAATGCATCTTTTTTTTTTTTTAGACACAGTCTTGCTCTGTCGCCCAGGCTGGCATGCAGTGGGGAGATCTTGACTCACTGCAACCTCCGCCTCCCAGGTTCAAGCGATTCTTGTGCCTCAGTCTCCAGAGTAGCTGGGACTACAGGTATGTACCACCACGCTGGGCTAATTTTTTCTTTTTTTTTGGAGATGGAATCTTACACTCGACCAGGCTGGAGTGCAGTGGTGCCGTCTCGACTCACTGCAACCTCCGCCTTCCAGGTTCAAGCGATTTTCCTGCCTCAGCCTCCCGAGTAGCTGGGACTACAGGCACACACCACCATGCCTGGCTAATTTATTTTGTATTTTTAGTAGAGACAGTGTTTCGCCATGTTGGCCAGGCCTCAAGTGATCTGCCCATCTCGGCCTCTCAAAGTGCTGGGATTAAAGGTGTGAGCCACTGCGCCCAGCCCAGTTTTTTTTTCTGTTTTTTTTTTTTTTTTTTTTTTTTTTTTTGAGACGGAGTCTCACTTTATCGCCCAGGCTGGAGTGCAGTGGTGCAGTCTTGGCTCACTGCAACCTCTGCCTCCCGGGTTCAAGCGATTTTCCTGCCTCAGCCTCCCAAGTAGCTGGGACTACAGGCATGTGCCATCACGCCCAGCTAAGTTTTTGTATTTTTAGTAGAGATGGGGTTTCACCATGTTGGCCAGGATGGTCTCGATCTATTGACCTCGTGATCCATCCGCCTTGGCCTCCCAAAGTGCTGGGATTACAGGCGTGAGCCACTGCGCCCGGCCCCCAATTTTGTTTTTAATGGGAGAAGGATCAAATGAATCAATCTTGTGTCTGTTTCCCTTAGGAAACTTGACAAGTTTGGAGGACAGGACGTCTACCTTCTTCCTGTCTGCAAAGTCTCTGGCCTTCCTCCACATCTACTGACATTTTTTAAATTGTATCATACCTAACATTCTTACCAAATTATTTCAGTACCAAATCTGGGTTTGTAATATCTGTATCTATATCTAGTGTATGTACCTATACAGTTAGCATCTGCGATTATTCAATTGGTCTGATTCCCCCATCAGGCTCTGGGCTGTGACTGAGAGTGGCCTTGCCTTAGTATACGGGTGTCACTCAGATGGACCAAGCAGCAGCCAAGTCTCCAGGAGCTCCAGTGACTCAGAGGCCTGGAGTCTCTTCTGTAGCTACAGGGTTCCCACTTTCATGAGCAGAGATTATGCAAAGGTGACCTCTACTGACCAAAGGAAGAAACGGCCGTTATACATTCCCTGTTCCTTCTAGTTCTGCAAAATGACTGACATAGTCACTGCTGTTGGCCAGGCACTTGACATGTATTATTATGCCATCATCCTTGCATTTGTAATGTCTACATCTACAAAGTGGGCATCATCACCCCGCTTTATAGATGAGGAAATGGAAGTTCAGGGAAGTGAAGTAACTCCCTGAGTTCTCACAGTATTAAGAGGCATCGCTAGGATTCAAGCCAGGTCTGTCTGATGCCAACGACTCCGCGCTGTCCACGAGGCACCTGCCACTCAAAAGTGTGGCTCAGGGATTACCAGAGCGTTGGCATCTTTGGGATTGTTAGCGATGCAGACCTCAGGCCCCACTCCAGACCTAGTGAATCAGAATTTATAGCCCAAGGAGAGCCACCAGGGGATTTGCGATAATTGTGTGCACTTGTATGCATGTTAAAGTCTTAGAAACAGGCTGGCCGCGGTGGCTCACGCCTGTAATCCCAGCACTTTGGGAGCCCAAGGTGGGCGGATCACGAGGTCAAGAGATCGAAATCATTCTGGCCAACATGGTGAAACCCTGTCTCTACTAAAAATATAAAAATCAGCTGGGCGTGGTGGCGTGTGCCTGTAGTCCCAGCTACTCAGGAGGCTGAGGCAGGAGAATTGCTTGAACCCGGAGACGGAGGTTGCAGTGAGCCAAGATCGCGCCACTGCACTCCAGCCTGGGCAACAGAGTGAGACTCCAGCTGAAAAAAAAAAAAACGTCTTAGAAACACCCTGACTCCCAGGAGGTGGCAGGGAAACCCCAACATGGGGCCTCTTGGGAAGAAGTTGAATTTGTACATTTCTTTTCTTTTTTGTTTTTTGAGACAGGATCTTGCAGTGTCATCCAGGCTGGAGTGCAGTGGCACAATCACAGCTCACTGTAACCTTAAAACTCCTAGGTTCAAGTGATTCTCCTGCCTCAGCCTCCTGAGTAGCTAGGACTACAGGTAAGCACTATATATATATGTTTTTGTTTTTTTTGAGGCTGAGTCTTGCTGTTGCTGAAGCTGGAGTGCAGTAGCACAATCTTGGCTCACTGCAACCTCTCTGCCTCCTCGGTTCAAGTGATTCTCCTGCCTTAGTCTCCTGAGTAGCTGCGATTACAGGCGCCCACCACCACGCCTAATTTTTGTATTTTTAGTAGAGACAGGGTTTCACCATGTTGGCCAGGCTGGTCTTGAACTTCTAACCTCAAGTGATCTGCCCGCCTCAGCCTCCCAAAGTGCTGGGATTATAGGTGTGAGCCACTGTGCCCAGCTTTTTTCATATTTTTTTTTTCAGAGATGGGTCTTACTATGTTGGCTGGCCTTGAACTCCTGGCCTTATGCAATCCACCTCCCAAAGCGCTGCAATTACAGACCTGAGCCACTGCACCTGGCCTGCTCACTTGTCTATTTATGCAAGTTAAAAGCACTGTCTGCCTCCAGTCTTACAACCTGTGGGACCATGGGCAAAATATTTAACTTCTCTTAGCTTTTGCTTCTTCATAGAAATGTAAAGACCACGATTGTGCAAGTAAAGTGTCAGCACAATATAAGAACTCAACAAACGCTGCTATTCATTCATTCATTCTTTCAGTAACTACTGAGCGCTTGTGCCAGGCACCGGTGGAGGCGCCTGGTGGGTAAAGAAGACATAAGCCTGCTCTCATAGAGCTTACAATCTAATGGGAGAGATGGACATTAACCAAGTGCTTACAAGTATTTGGGACATTAGGATGGGGATGTCTTTTTTCAAAAATCTGTAGGCTGGGCACAGTGGCTCACACGTGTAATCCCAGCATTTTGGGAGGCCGAGGCAGGTGGATCACCTGAAGTCAGGAGTTTGAGACCAGCCTGACCAACATGGTGAAACCCCATCTCTACTAAAAATACAAAAATTAGCCGGGCATGGTGGTGGGTGCCTGTAATCCCAGCTATTTGGGAGGCTGAGGTAGGAGAATCGCTTGAACCCAGGAGGTGGAGGTTGCAGTGAGCTGAGATTGCGCCATTGCACTCCAGCCTGGGCAATAAGACCACTCCAGCATGGGTGACAAGAGGGAAACTCTGTCTCAAAAAAAAAAAAAATTGTATACATTTTAGGGGTACACATACCATTTTGTTACGTGGCTATATTGCATATGGTGAAGTCTGGGATTTTAGTGTATCCATCACTGAAATAATGTACATTGTATCCATTAAGTAATTTCTCATTATCCACCCGTCACACCAGGATGAGGATGTCTTGAGTGAAGTGTATGAATGGATGAACTTGGCTGTTTGCACTGGAGTACGCCTGTGGCGTAGACGCATCCTTTCCTTCCTTCTGTTGAGAGACGGTTAAACTCAACCTCGTTATTCGCTCCCTAGTCAGGCCCAAAGCCCAAAGCCACCCTACCCTTCGAGCCTTTCTGAAGTATTTCTTCCTTGCAGGGTCAGTCCCCCACTTTTACTAGGAGTTGGAGCCTGACCTTCACTTGAGTGTGGCTGGAGCGGAGAGGGGAAGTGTGGTGAGAGATGAGTTGGTTAGACTTGACCCTAAAGGCAAGAGGGAGTCATTTAAGAACCTCCCAACACACAGTCAATGTCTGGCTACCTTGGCCACTTTTCAGTTCCTGAAGTCATGTTCCTCCCAGCTCAAGGCCTTCGCACATGCAGTTTCCATTGCTTGGCAAAGTCTCCCCACCTCTCTTTACTAATTCCTACTCATCAGTCACAGGCCAGCTCAAACATCACTTCCTCCAGGAAGTCTTCCTTGACTCCCCAGACAACTTTCCAGCCCCCAGACTAACACACTGTATTTTCCTTCCTTGGCACTTAACCACAATTTGGAAGTGTATATTTGTGTCATTGCTTGCTTAGCATCAGTCTTCCCACAACTAGGCTGAGAGCAGTACTGGAGTCTGTTTTGCTGGTTTTTTTTTTTTTTTTTTTTTTTTTTAAGATAGAGTTTCACTCTTGTTGCCCAGGCTGGAGTGCAATGGCGTGATCTCGGCTCACTGTAACCTCTGCCTCCTGGGTTCAAGCAATTATCCTGTCTTAGTCTCCCAAGTAGCTAGGATTACAGGCATGCGCCGCCATGCCCAGCTAATTTTTGTATTTTTAGTAGAGACAGGGTTTCAGCATGTTGGCCAGACTTGTCTCGCACTTCTGACCTCAGGTGATCTGCCCACCCTGTTCTCCCAAAGTGCTGGGATTACAGACGTGAGCCACTACACCTGGCCTTTGCTGGTTTTCTTGCCAGCACTGAGCGTGGTGACTGGTGGCTCCATAACCAAGACAGCTGGGACCTGCTCAACGCTCGCCTCTGAAAAGATGGGGGTGGATACTCAGGAGTTTAAAGCTCTTGCCAAGATCTGAAGTCAGGGGGACAGTCTGAGACCACAAAGGCACAGGAAAGACAGTGAGGGCTTAAGTGAAGGCAGAGGTCGCAGGATTGGAGACTGCGATACATTCCTAAGTCACTGGAGAAGGATAGGTAGAATGTGGAAGAAAGCAGGGGTGGCAAGAGCCACTTGCAGGTCCCTGCTTGGTAGAGGGAGCATGGCGGTGCCATTCCGGAGATAGGGGTCAGAGACAGTGACATGCCATCTACACCTCCTACCCCAGCCCTTCTTCCTCCTGGCAGTGGCCTGGACTCTGTCCCCAGGATCAGACACAGGGGACACGGCTCAGCAGCACAAATCCCTTTTATTAACCATCTTCCCTTTCTCGAGTATACACAAGTAGAAAAGAAACAGTGAAGTACCCCGATAGGGAGGGTGGGGAGAGGATGGGAGGGGGCTCCTGAGGTTAGGACAAGAGGCCAGATTCCAGCTCCTTCTCCTGACTGGTCTGTCTCTGTGCAATGACTCCACTTACATCCCTTGACCCCCGAAACACGGCACTGGGGGACTGCAGCCCTGCTGACCAGGCTGTCCTCCTAGCCCTGTCAGGGACTGGTGCTGGCAGAGCTTGGTGCTGTGCCACAGACTGACAGAAAACAGCACAGTGGGTCTGGCCCCGGGGGCAGAGAAGATCAGGCACCAAGAGGGGATGTGAGAAAAGGCAGTTTATCCATCTGGGGACTGGACAGAGGCCCAGCCAGCCTCCAACCAGCTTCTGCTTCTTAGATCGGACTGCCCTGAGTGGCGGGCGGCTCGGCAGGGGGTCCCTCTCGTACCCTTTACAGAGGTTTTGGGGAAGAGGGGACAAGGAAATGCTAGGGGCTCCAGGTGGAGGAGGAAGTCTGATTGGTGCCTGGGATTGGCCAAAGTGAGAGGGGGCAGCTGAGGGGCTGAGGTGGTCAAAACGGGAATATAGTGGGGAGTAGGGTGGGAGGTGGGGAGATAGCCTATCTCTTCGCCCTCTCTGGGGTAACAATTCCAGTGTGACATCAATGTGGCTGGCCACTGAGGCCAGGCCTGATGGACGTGCGTTGCTGAGGAGGCTGGTAAGAGAGCCCCCACTGTCCCCAATTATGTGCGTGGGAGAGACTGAGCTACACAGTGAAGTGAGATGGGAGGTGAAGAGGTAACGGGGTGAGGGGGAAGGAAGGAGCAGACAAAATCCAGACTGGAAGGGAAACTTCCAGGCCAGTGTGGCAGGCTCAAATGCTGCCCATCAGTGACAACCCAGCTGCCTTTTTGTTTGTTTCTGTTTTTTTGAGATGAAGTTTCACTCTTGTTGCCCAAGCTGGAGTGCAATGGCACGATCTCAGCTCATTGCAGTCTCTGCCTCCTGGGTTTAAGCGGCTCTGCTGCCTCAGCCTCCCAAGTAGCTGGGATTACAGGTGCCCGCCACCATGCCCGGTTAATTTTTTGTATTTTTAGTAGAGATGGGGTTTTGCCGTGTTGGCCAGGCTGGTCTCGAACTCCTGACCTCAAGTCATCTGCCCGCCTTGGCCTCCCAAAGTGCTGGGATTACAGGCGTGAGCCACTGCGCCCAGCCCTGCCTTTTTTTTTTTTTTTTTTTTTTGTCTCTGGGTAGTCACGCTAGGGCTGGCAGGGGAGGAGGCAGAGGAAAGGCAGGAAGAAGAGAAAACATCACTGAAAAAGAAGGTGTCGGGGAGGTACACCCTGATTCTGACCAGCCCAGCCCACACAGAGGGTCTGAAAGGTTCTCAGCCTTCTCCATCACCCACCCTGCGGCCTCTGAAAAGAGGGGCCCATCTCAGACACAAAAGCAGATACTCCCAACCTTATGGGGAAAGCTAACGGAGGAATACTCACAGCACCGTGGCACGGGACGGCCCTTGGCTTCAGAGCCGGGCTGGCACCGTTTGTAAACATTAGACCTGGTGATGTCTGGGGATGGAGGAGGAGAGGGATGCCCAGCCTGGACCATCAGGTTTGATGAAAGAGACAGGGTGGGGCCCCTCAAGGCCTGGGAAATGTCTATTAGCTATGGGAAAGAGGCTGACAGGTTCATGGTGGGGGTTGCCCAGGAAGGTGTGGACAAGGTCTGAATCTACCTGACTATGCATTTGCATGACTTCAGTGCTACCGTTGGAAGTGGCCAGGCTCCTGAGGAAGCTACCACTGGCCTGGGGTAATGAGCACAACCCCTACTCAGGACAGGGTGCTCTGTGGAGGATGGTGGCCTTCTGTCCATAGTCATTCTCCAGAGGGAAGTCAGACTGGATTCTTTCTTATGAGATCTACCGACTCTCTTCACCCGTGGATTCCAGGCATGGAGAAGTTGAGAACTGGGAGAGGAGGAGGGGTCCTCTATGATGTGAGACTTCCTGCCGCCATCCACGGCACTGCCAGGACTGGGGAGCAGGAAGGGGACTGGATTTGAGCTGTCCAGAGGTGTGGGGCCTGAGTTTGCCCCAGTCCCTGGAAGAGGATGTCCGGATGTCATCCCACCAGTTGGAATGATCGTGGACTAAGAATGGCCCCATAGCTCTAAGAGATGGGTTCCTGCGACCAATGGCAAAGGCCTTGTGTTCCCTGGGAGGCAGTGGTTATGCCAAGAGATCCACAAAGATGGCGTTGGCTGTGGTCTGGCCGAAGATGAAGGCTCCCAGGGTGACCAAGAGGACTCCGTAGCTGACCAGCACCCACCAGCTGTAGAACAGAGGGTGAGAGAGGTCTGATCAGTCATCCCATCCCATGACTGCAGACTTCAATATATATAACTGTTAATTACTGTAATTATCGCACTTCTCCTGTTGGTAGAGCACTTCCTACTTCCCAAAGACTTCAATACAAAGGTAGTGTGGGGCCAGGTGTATTGTCCCTAGTCCATAGGTAAGAAGACCAAGATCTAATGGGAGTAACTGATTGTTCACATCATGCCACGATTCGAATGTAGGCATCCTGATGGAAAGATGTTCAGAAAAAAGCACGTCACATGGAATGTGGTCTATTTCATTAAAAAAAGGAAACAAAAAGCAGACATCTGCAAATGTATGTACCAATTAACAGCAACAGGGATAAAACGGAATTGAAATAAAGGGTGATTTCCGGCCGGGTGTGGTGGCTCACACCTGTAATCCCAGCACTTTGGGAGGCCAAGGCGGGCAACCTGAGGTCAGGAGTTCGAGACCAGCCTGGGCAAGATGGCAAAACCCCATCTCTACTAAAAACAGAAAAATTAGGCTGGGTGCAGTGGCTCATGTCTGTAATTCCAGCACTTTGGGAGGCCGAGGCAGATGGATCACCTGAGGTCAGGAGTTCAAGACCAGCCTGGGCAAGATGGCGAAACCCCATCTCTACTAAAAATAGAAAAATTAGGCTGGGTGTGGTGGCTCATGTCTATAATCCCAGCACTTTGGGAGGCCAAGGCAGGTGGATCACCTGAGGTCAGGAGTTTGAGACCAGCCTGGCCAGCGTGGTGAAACCCCGTCTCTACTAAAAAAATACAAAAAATGGCTGGGTATGGTGGCTCACGCCTGTAATCCCAGAACTTTGGGAGGCCAAGGTGGGCGGATCACCTGAGGTCAGGAGTTCGAGATCAGCCTAGCCAACATGGTGAAACCCCGTCTCTACCAAAAATACAAAAATTAGCCAGGCATGGTGCTGCGCACCTGTAATCCCAGATACCCTGGAGGTTGCAGTGAGCCGAGATCATGCCACTGCACTCCAGCCTGGGTGACAGAGCGAGATTCCATCTCAAAACAACAACAACAAACCCAAAAAATTAGCTGGGTGTGGTGGTGGGCGCCTGTAATCCAAGCTACTCAGGAGGCTGAGGCAGGAGAATCGCTTGAACCCGGGAGGTGGAGGTTGTTGTAGTGAGCAGAGATCGCGCCATTGCACTCCAGCCTGGGCAACGAGTGAAACTCCATCTCAAAAAAAAAAAAAAAAAAAAAGACAAAAAAAAAAGAAATAAAGGGTGATTTTTTTTCTTCTTCTTCTTTTTCTTTTTTTGAGACAGAGTTTTGCTATCACCCAGGCTGGAGTGCAGTGGTGCGATCTCCACTTACTGCAACCTCCGCCTCCGGGGTTCAAGCAATTCTCCTACCTCAGCCTCCCGAGCTAGGACTACAGGCATGCGCCACCACAACCAGGTAATTTTTGTATTTTTAGTAAAGACGGGGTTTTGCCATGTTGGCCAGGCTGGTCTCGAACTCCTGACCTCAGGTGATCTGCCTGTCTTGGCCTCCCAAAGTGCTGGGATTACAGGCGTGAGTCACTGTGCCTGGCCAATTTTTTTTCTTTTTTAGACATGTTTGTATGGCTTTTTTTTTTTTTTTTTTTTTTTTTTTTTGAGACAGAGTTTCCCTCTTGTTGCCCAGGCTGGAGTGTAATGGTGTGATCTCGGCTCACTGCAACCTCCGCCTCCTGGGTTCAAGCAATTCTCCTGCCTCAGTCTCCCAAGTAGCTGGGATTACAGGCAGGTGCCACCATGCCCAGCTAATTTTGTATTTTTAGTAGAGATGGGGTTTCACCATGTTGGTCAGGCTGGTCTCGAACTCCTGACCTCGGGTGATCTGCCCATGTTGGCCTCCCAAAGTGCTGGGATTACAGGCATGAGCCAATGCACCTGGCTGAAACCACTTTTCATAAAACAAAACAAGAGCCCTGCATCTATGTATACATCTCCATAGCTATGTGTACACAGACACGCACACATGTACAGAAGTGGTTGAGGACACAGACCATACTGGTAACATGGAGCTATCTCAGAAAGGATGTGGGGGCGAGTGGGTTGTGGGGGAAGAGGGACTTCCATCTTTTTGTATTAAGCCCTTTATTAATGTTTAAATTGTTAACAACTAGCACACTACCGAATTTTTAAAAGTATTAAAAAAAAAACAACAACAACCTGGCTGGGTGTGGTGGCTCACGCCTGTAATGCCAGCACTTTGGGAGGCCGAGGAAGGAGGATCACCTAAGGTCAGGAGTTCGAGACCGGCCTGGCCAACATGGTGAAACCTCGTCTCTACTAAAAATACAAAAATTAGCTGGGTGTGGTGGCAGGCATCTGTAGTCCTAGCTACTCGGGAGGCTGAGGCACGAGAATGGTGTGAACCCAGGAGGCGGAGCTTGCAGTGAGCTGAGATCGTGCCACTGCACTCCAGGCTGGGCGACACAGCGAGACTCCGGCTCAAAAAAAAAAAAACAAAACAAAAACCCATGATTTCTAAGTACACAAGCCTCTGACTCCTATCTGTTTTAAGGCCCCCACAAAGCCACATTCCAATCCAGCACCTCCCTGAGAGGATCAAGGGCTGGGTCCTGCTTTACCTGGCTGGTTTGACCTCTTCCATCTCAGAGAGTTTGGCTTGAATGAGGCACAGCCCTGAAAGAGAAGAAGTGGCCCTGAGCATTTGTGAGGGGAGAGGGCTCCCTCCCTCCTAGCCACCTCCTTTCCCAAGAAGCAGTGCTGGATGGAGAAAGGCCCATGTTTACTCTTCTAGAAATTCCATCTCTGCCCCCACACCACATCCTGCTGGGGTCATCTGGCATCTGCTCTCCCATGACAGGCTGGCATCTGACAAGACCCCTTGGGCAGCATGCTAGACTCAGCTAAAGGGACAGCACTCAATGGTGACTCAGTGGTGGCCCAACCCCAGGGGTCTTCCTAGTACACTTCCCAGCAGATCTGGCTCCCCTGCTCCAAGCAAAGCAGCTGGGGCTTTCAGGGTGGCTTCCTGGATAGAGACAAGCTGGAAAAGGGTGGAACTCATGGCTGGGCAGACAGGACAGTTCTCCAGGGATCTGGCGGTAGATCTGTGTCTGGAACCCAGGTTCCCTGATGTCTGTGTCAGGGTGCCACCCCAGACCCCACTGCCCTCTGGGCTGTAATGGGCTGAACCAGCCAGATAGATCCCTCATAGTCAAGGA
This sequence comes from Homo sapiens, assembly GCF_000001405.40. Classification (NCBI taxonomy): domain Eukaryota; kingdom Metazoa; phylum Chordata; class Mammalia; order Primates; family Hominidae; genus Homo; species Homo sapiens. The sequence continues at coordinate 58,670,713 of NC_000016.10, forward strand.
GCAGCAGACACCTGAATGAATGGTTAAAAGAATAGACTCTGGACCCAGACAGCGTGGGATGGAAAAGGTTACTAGTTGAGTTTGTTAAGCTCTAGGCAAGTCTGTGACCCTTTCTGAGCCCCACGTGCCATCAGTAAACTGGAGATCACAACTATACCTTCTTTCCAGGAGATAATGCTTGGATAGGGGCTAGTACAGAGGCGAGACAGGTGATCAATTAGTGCTGGTGGTTACTCTCTCCTGCATGTTTTGAGCAAGTAGGGAGCTGAGGCTAGGCAGGCCCTGGGAGTCTGTGCTGTGGGGCTGTGAGATGGGGCGCCAGGGGTCCGCACCTGGGAAGACGAAGATGAAGCAGGCGGCCAGGCCTCCAATGACTGAGATCACCTTGCCGATGTCAGGGATGAAGAGCGCCAGCAGCAGGGTGAGCAGGAACCAGACCAGCGTCTGCAGCACTCGCCGCCGCCGCTCCCGCCCCACGTCCTCCTCCACTGGCACCCCCTGGTAGCGCAGCCACAGGCCTTCCACCACCGCCCTGCCCACATGGAGAAGGGCTTAGAGGTGCCCCTGCTGCTAGCAGCTCCCCACCTCTAGCTCACAGGAGCCAGACCCCTAACTGGGTAGACTGCGGGGAAAGCCCCATTCCTGACCCTCAGTTTCCTCTTCTGTAAAATGGGCCACCAGCACTCTGTTTACCACAGGGACTAGAGACGGTGAATGTCGAGAGCTTAGCACTTTGCTTTACATCACATGGAAACTGATATTGTTTTTTCCTTAAAAGGAACTGTCTGGGGCATCCAAAGGGGAGGGTGTCCATGTGAAAGCTCAGGAAAGGATCTGGATAGAGATTCTTTTGTTTTTTGTTTTTTTGAGACAGGGTCTGGCTCTCTCACCCAGGCTGGAGTGCAGTGGTGCAATCTTGGCTCACTGCAGCCTTGAACTCCTGGGCTCCAGCCATCCTTCTGCCTCAGCCTCCCAAGTGGCTGAGTAGCTGGGACCACAGGTGCATCCCACCACACCTGGCTATTTATTTTATTTTGTGTAGAGATGGGGTCTCACTAGGTTGCCCAGGTGGTCTTGAACTCCCAGGCTCAAGCGATCCTTCTGCCTCAGCCTCCCAAAGTGCTGGGTTTAGAGACGTGAGCCACCGTGCCATGCCATGGATAGAGATTCTTACAGGACTCACGGAATGTTCTGGTGACCCCAGGACAAAGGGCGCTTCTGACACCTGGCCTGGGATATGTAGGGACCCATCCTAGGCACCGACTCTTTTCTACAGGCTTCAGTTTCTCCTTCTACAGGATGGGGTCCACACAAGGCCAAAGGACCATGTTGGAAGCGCTCACAGGGGCTAGGAGGGGCCCTGGGGAGTGGAAGGGGGCTCACCGCCCACAGAAGTGCAGGATAGGGTAGGAGGTGAGCACGCTCAGGATGATGAAGGCTCGGGCAACGGCCACGGCCATGTCCTCCGAGGGATAGGACAGGAGCACGTCAGGATCCACAGCAGCTCCAAAGGTCAGGAAGCCACAGATGCCTGTGGGCAGGGACAACTGGGTCAGGGCAACCCTGGGAGGGTAGTGGGGTGGACTGTCCACTCCTCCTAGGAGCAACATCAGCCTGGAGGCTGCAGCAGCAGCTCTGGACACTTAGACGGAGGCTCAGAGTGGGAGATGGGGCTCCGATCAGATGCCTCCCTCCCTGACTTCTCAGATCCCCCATCGCTGGAAGCCCTCCAGCCCCCAGCTTTCTGAGCCTGAACTTGCCCAGCACATTCCCACCTCAGTGCCTTGGCACTGACTGTTCTGTCTGGCAGACCTTCAGATGCCATCTCCTTATCATTTGGGTCTCAGTTTAGATGTCCTTCCTCAGAGAATGCTTCCTGCCAGTCCATCTACAATGACCCCCACCCCAGGCACTCTCTCACATCACGCTGTCTTATTTTTCTTTTCTTTTTTGAGACAGAGTCTTGCCCTGTTACCCAGACTAGAGCGCAGTAGTGTGATCATGGCTCACTGCAGCCTTGACCTCCTCGGCTCAAGCGATTCTCCCACCTGAGCCTCCCAGGTAGCTAGGACTACAGGCAGATGCCACCACACCCAGCTAATTTTCTTGTAGAGATGGGGTCTTGCTACGTTTCCCAGTCTGGTCTTGAACTCCTGGGCTCAAGTAATCCTCCTACCTCACCCTCCCAGAGTGTGAGCCACTACACCCAGCCTTCTTCTTTTTTATTTTTTTGAGATGGAGTTTCACTCTTGTTGCCCAGGCTGGCACGCGGTGGCACGATCTCGGCTCAGTGCAGCCTCCACTTCCCAGGTTCAAGTGATTCTCCTGCCTCAGCCTCCTGAGTAGCTGGGATTACACCATGCCCGGCTAATTTTTTTTTTTTTTTTTTTTTTTTTTTTTGAGATGGAGTCGCGCTCTGTCATGCCCAGGCTGGAGTACAATGGCATGATCTTGGTCTCCTGGGTTCTCATGCCTCAGCCTCCTAAGCAGCTGGGATTACAGTCACCTGCCGCCACACCTGGCTAATTTTTTTTTTTTTTTGAGATGGAGTTTTGCTCTTTCACCCAGGCTGGAATGCAGTGGTGCGATTTCAGCTTACTGCCACCTCTGCCTTCTGGTTTTAAGTGATTCTCCTGCCACAGACTCCCGAGTAGCTGGGATTACAGGCGCCCGCCACCAAGCCTGACTAATTTTTGTATTTTTAGTAGAAATGAGGTTTCACTATGTTGGCCAGGCTGGTCTCGAACTCCTGACCTCGTCATCCGCCTGCCTCGGGAAGTGCTGGGATTACAGGCGTGAGCCACCACGCCCAGCCCTAATTTTTTTATTTTTAGTAAGATGGGGTTTCGCCATGTTGGTTGGGCTGGTCTCGAACTCCTGACCTCATGTGATCTGCCTGCCTGGGCCTCCCAAAGTGCTGGGATCACAGGCGTGAGCCCCAGTGCCTGGCCGTTTTTTTTTTTTTTTTTAAAGACAGGATCTTGCTCTGTCACTCAGGCTGGAGTGAAGTGGTACAATCATAGTTCCACTGTAGTCTTGAATTCTTAGACTCAAGTTCCTCCTGACTTGGCCTCCCAAGTCACTGGGACTACAGGCACATGCCACCATGCCTGGCTAATTTTTTTTTTTTGAAGACAGAGTCTCACTTTCTCCCCCAGGCTGGAGTGCAGCGGCGCGATCTTGGCTCACTGCAACCTCGGCCTCCCAGGTTCAAGTGATTCTCATGCCTTAGCCTCCCGAGTAGCTGGGATTACAGGCACCACCACCACGCCCGGCTAATTTTTGTAATTTTGATAGAGACAGGGTTTTGCCATGTTGGCCAGGCTGGTCTCGAACTCCTGGCCTCAAGTGATTCACCCACCTTGGCCTCTCAAAGTCCTGGGATTACAGGCGTGAGCCACCATGCCTGGCGGACGCCCAGCTAATTCTTTAATTTTTGTAGAGATGAGTCTCACTATGTTGCCGAGGCTGGTCTTGAACTCCTGGCCTCAAGCGGTTCTCCCATCTCAGCTTTTCAAAGTGTTGGGATTACAGGCATGATCCACTGGGCCTGTCCCCTAACACTCATTTCTCTCTTTTTTAGAGACAGGGTCTCACTCTGTTGCCCAGTTTGGAGTGTAATGGCATGATCATGGGTCTCTACAGCCTTGATCTCATAGGCTCAAGCGATCCTCCCACCTCAGCCTCCCAAGTAGCTGGGTCCACAGGTGCATGTTACCATAACCTGGCTAATTTTTAAATTTTTTGTAGAGATGGAGTTTCACCATGTTGCCCAGCCTGTCTTGAACTCCTGGGCTCCAGAGAACCTCCCACCTTGGCCTCCCATAGCTGAGATTATAGGTGTGAGCCACTGTGACTGGCCTCATCGCTTTCTAATTTTTTTTTAACTGTACTATCACACTGGTCTTTAAGTAAACAATAATACAAATAAAAATAATAACAATAATAATAGTAATTAATTTTTACAGGCTTATTTTCTGTCTCCCCAGCCAGGACATGAGCCCCAGGAGAATAGGGATTTGGCTGTTTGCCTCTCTTGTTCCTGGCTGTGTATTCAGAGGCTAGAACAGTATTGGCCCAGGCAGCTCCTACGGTCTATCCGTGGAAAGAACTCAGGGGATCCTTCTTCCAGGGTCTCCTAGACTTGCTCCCTCACCCCAACCACTCTCCACACGGCAGCCAGAGCCACCTTTCCCCGAACCACCCCCCTGCTTAAAACACTTCCTCGATGACTCCCAGCAGCCCTCGAGGCCCAACAGGATCTGGCTGCCAGTGCCTGTCTGGCCTCACTGCCTTCACCTGCCCCCATCACACACCACTCCAGCCACATAGACTTTCTTCCTGGCCCTGCCTCAGTGATTTGGTGTTTTGTGGTTCCTCTGCCTGGAACCCTTCTTCCCCAGCTCCTCCTCTTCTGGCTCTTTCTCATCATTTGGGCCTTCTCTGAGAAGAACCTTCTGTGAACCACTCCCAAAGCCACCCATCCAGTCCCATTCATACCTTCCCCATTTTAGGCTGGGTTGGTGGCTCATGCCTGTAACCCCAGCACTTTGGGAGGCCGAGGCAGGAGAATTGCTTGAGCCCAGGAATTCAAGACCAGGCTAGGCAACATAGTGAGACCTTGTCTCTGCTAGAAAAAAAAAAAAAAAAAAATTAGCTGGGCACAATGGCACATGGCTGTAGTCCCAGCTACTCTGGAGGCTGAGGCAGGAGGATCACTCGACCTCAGCAGGTTGAGGTTGCAGTGAGCTATCATCATGCCACTGCACTCCAGCCTGGGCGACAGTTTCTGAGACCCTTTCTCAAAACAAAATAAAATAGAATAAAACAAAACACACCTTCCCTATTTCACTGTCATCAGGATGCTTGCCACCATCTGGAATTCCTTACTGATTCCCCAGTTACTCCTGCATGACTGTCTCTCCAACAAGAATGTCAACTCCATGAGGGCAAGACCAGTTCTGTCTCTCTCCATGGCATCCCCCATGCTGAGAACCGTTCCTGGCACTTCCTAGGCACCAAGTTAGAACTGGTGAATGAATGGATGAATACACCACTCTCATCTTGGCAGGAGGAGGCTCCAGGCAGGCCAAGTTCAAGCCAATGCCTATACAAGTCATGCTGGGAATGCAGGGCTGTCCCCAGGAAAGCTAGGCCCCAGGACCTAGGGACTCCTGTGGAAGTGAGAGCACTCTAGTCCCAGGTCTTGGGGGGGGGGAGCACTCACCTGTCCCCATGTAGACAGCGAGGGCTATGACCATGGCAGCTGTCACCACTCCACCCCAGGTCTTCACTTCAGGCTGCTGCATGCTGTTGAAGACGGGCACACTGCTGACGTGGCACTGTCCAGGTGAAGGGCACCGTCATGGTGGGGAAATGACCTCAACCCCAGTTTCCAGAGGAAGGTACCTTGGGAACAAAGACCCCAGGAACAAGGGGCAAGTCCTGAGGCCCCTGTTCCATCCTTCCCCCCAGGATTTCCTCCATTCTGCCTGGGTTCCTCCTCCTTGCTGGGTTCCATCCCAGGGTGGGGTGATCTAAGGGGACAGCAGGGACCTTGCAACTGGCACTGGCACCTGAAATCCGAAGCAGATGGTGGGCATGGCATTGAACACAGCCATCCAGGAAGCCGGCCTGTGAACAAACACACATGGTGCTGCCACCTGGGAACCCCTCAGAGCCACAACCCACCCCACGCCCTCACTCTTCGGTCAGCCCACCATGGTCTCCAGCAACTGGGATTCCATAGCTTCAACCCACAGAAGTCTGGGAACAGGGAGAAGAGGCATCCTTATGTCCCAGGGCCCTCTGGGATGGGGCCTGGAGGTTCAGAAAAGCCCCCCTGGGGCCAAAATCCAGAATTCCTGGCTCCTGGACTGGGGCTTTTGCTTTACTGGTTTGTTCCTTTCAAAAGAAGGAAATTGTTTTTTTTGTTTTGTTTTGTTTTGTATTTTTTTGAGATGGAGTCTTGCTCTGTCACCCAGGCTGGAGTGCAGTGGCGCGATCTCGGCTCACTGCAACTTCTGCCTCCCAGGTTCACGCCATTCTCCTGCCTCAGCCTCCCGAGTAGCTGCTACTACAGGCGCCTGCCACCACACCCGGCTAATTTTTTTGTATTTTTTAAGTAGAGACGGGGTTTCACCGTGTTAGCCAGGATGGTCTCAATCTCCTGACCTCATGATCCGCCCGCCTCGGCCTCCCAATGTGCTGGGATTACAGGCGTGAGCCATTGTGCCTGGCCCCCCCCCTTTTTTTTTAATAATAAATTCACCCTCAAAGATACAGAAATTACAGATAAGCAGATGCTGGAAACACAGGCAATTCGACCCTGGGATTCCACCCTCAGGTTCCTCCACAACCCAAGGCCTAGCCTCACACTGGCTCATCTGTTGGATGTAGGTGGCAAAGTGCCTCCTGTCTCTGATTCTTGCTCTTCCTTCCAGTAACATCAGAGCAGGGGCTCTTTCCTCCTTCCTACAATGACCAAGTCAGCCCTGATGAGCTCATGAGCCTTGAGAAGAGCACCTGTGTGGCCTTCTGGTTCCTGACCCAGCACCTGCTGGGGCCCAAGTGGTGGCTTCTTCCCCATGTCTCCTAGGGCCCTCACCCTCACCTGGTCAGGATGTTCCCTGGGGTCATCTCTTTATCTGGCCAGATGTACTTGATGATAACGATGGCTGTGACGTACCAGGTACCCACGACGCTCAGGAAGCTGCCGGGAAGGAGAGACTAAGTGTCCTCATCCCCAGCTGCCTCTTATCTGATTCCACCCCTAGGGACATCCACCTTCAGCTCTAGCGACCACAAGTGTCCACTGAATGAACCGGAGACTATGCCAAGCAGACTCAGGAAACGCCTGAGAAGTAGTTTCAGAGAAACCTGCCACAGCTAGGAAGGAGCTGGACAGCCAACAGGGGACCTGATCAGCATTCCTGGCCATCAGGAAGTGCTGGTTCAGCTCCATGGCTCAGAGACGATGCAGAGAGCAGAGCTCCAAAGCACACCTGGGACTTGAATCAGAGCAGCCCAGCCCGGGCAGGGGCTGTGGGAGACCATCCTCTGAGCCTGGCCTTTGAGAACTAAGAGATGCCAGAGGTAAGAGGGTTGAGAGTACAGACACTTTTGTGTCAACATTTATGGGAGCCTTGGAGAGAGCGGAGCATGGCCCCTGCACTTACAGACGGGGAAGCCTAGAATCCCACAGCCTTTCAGACACCGAGACAGGAAACCAGTCTCCTTCCTTCATGCCAAGCTGCAGGTAAGATGCTGGTAGGCTGACAGTCTCAAAGACCCAAATTCCTCCCAGGGAATGCCAGGAGGCTGCCTTCACCGCCCAGATACCACCTGTTCCTTCTTTGACAAGGGCACTTAGAACTGAACTACTCATGGATGCAAAAGGACATTTAGAACTGAATCTCTCATGGATGCATCCTTTTTCTATGATGGAGACAGAAAAGGATGGTCTTATCTGAAACCCTGCAAGCCCCGGTCTGCCCTGCCTTGCCTACTCTTGCTCCCCAAGGTGAGGTGGCATGGAGGAGCAGGGTTCCCCAGGAGCCCTTGGGTCTACAGCTGCCCAGGATCATAGCTTCTGTCTGACCCAGGCTGGGGCCTCCAAACCTGGCATATTTCTGGAAACCAATCTCCCTGGGGATGGAGAGGGGCAGGATGAAGAGGAAGGCAGTGAGGCTGATGGTGAACTTGCGGTCTGTGTACCAAGGGCCGCTGGCCCCCTCCGGCTCTTTCGCCATCACAGCTATAACTGCACAGGGAGGAAGGAGGGAATGTCAAGCCAGGCCACCATGGGGTGTGGCCCTCCTGCTCTGCTGGGCCCCAGGACCTCCCTCTGCCTGGAGGGAGGATTCCCAGATGAATGCTGGGCCCAGGTAAGTCCTGGAGAGGTGTTCAGTGCCTTTTCCCTCCACCCCAGGATCCCTGGGGCTGATAAGAAGAGATGGGGTAGGGACTGAGGGAGAAGCTCACTCTTGTCCTGCTGGTCGCCAATGATGATTAGGAAGGCAATGCAGGTGCCAAAGGTGTAGACAGCGATGGCCACCTCACATAGCACACCTGTCAGCTTGCCACACACAGCCCATACCACCTCCTGGTAGGTCCTCTCATTGCTGGCCTGGGAGCAGTAGGCCAGGATGACAAGGCCACTGATGATGAAAACCAGCATACCCTGCAGGCAGAGGCAGAACAAGAGCTTGTGGCAAAGGCCTGGCAGCAGAGGGCACCCTGGGCTCGCCTAGCATTTACTGGGCCAGTGCCCAAAGCAAGCTTGGCAAATCTCACAAAGGCAATTTTAAGAGACTGCTAGAGGATGCCGAGTTGAGATTTTCTTTAAAAACAAAAAGTTTTTTGAAAAATTGCCAACATACAAAAGTAAAGAGAATAGGCTGGATGCGATGGCTCATGCCTGTAATCCCAGCACTTTGGGAGGCTGAGGCAGGAGGATCACTTGAAGTCAGGAGTTTGAGACCAGCCTGGCCAACATGGTAAAACCCCGTCTCTACTAAAAATACAAAAATTAGCTGGGCATGGTGGTGGGTGCCTGTAATGCCAGCGACTTGGGAGGCTGAGGCAGGAGAATCACTTGAAACTGGGAGGCAGAGGCTGCAGTAAGCCGAGATCGGGCCACTGCACTCCAGCCTGGGTGACAAAGCAAGACTCCATCTCAAAGAAAAAAGTAAAGAGAATAGTAAAAAGAACTGGCATGTATCCATCACTCAGCTTCAAAAATGATCAATGCATGGCCAACTTGTTTCATCATTCCCCTTCCCTCCCACTCTGCATTTATTGTGAAGCCAATATAAGCTATCATATCATTTCATCAATAAATATTTCAGTATGTAGTTCTAAAAGATAAGGGCCCTCTTTTTAAACATACCACAAAATCAATGTTACACCTAAAAAATTAGAGATGTAATTGATGTTCAAATTTCTCTGATTGTTGGAAGGCTTCTGAAGCCTCATTTGGGTCACAGGAAAGAATACTAGAATAGATTAGTCATGTCTGCCATGTGTGAGGGAGGGGAGAGCAGTGCGTGTATCACTTACTGGCCATCCCTGACCCGAAGCCTCCCTTTTGAGGCAAAGCGCCCAACTGAACTGCACCTCTGCCCTCCCGGCCAGTGCACTCACCATCTGCAGTGCGATGCCTGCTGCCACGCCCCCCGCAGTGCTGAAGGCTGCTGGGAAGTTGAGTAACCCTGCACCCAGGCACGCGTTGACGACGATGAAGATGGCCCCAAGTGTGGAAGTGGTGCCTCTGTCCAGACCCCCAGGAGAGGCTTCCCACTCACTCTTGGGGGCTGTGTCCACACAGGGACTCTGCAGCAGCCGAGCCCGCTCCCCGGCATCCGTGCTCAAGTCCCACTCGCTGTAGTCATTGTTGATGCTGACCTGGGCCATGGCCCCGAGAGCCTTCTTCCTGCAAGGTCTGTGGGTTCTGCCTTACAACCACATGCCTCAGGGAGCTGAGCAACACCCACCTGTTTGGGGCTGTTAGCTTAGGACTCTTCTCAACCTAGATGGGACAAAGGCAGGCACTACTGTTATCCTAAGATGGGGGAACTAGGGGACAAAAAGGTGTAATAACTTTCCCAAGATCACATGGGTAGGGTCCAAACCCAGGTATGCCTCTGTGCAGACAGTGCACTGGGTGCCAGAGTATGGGGAGACAGACACAGAAACAGATCAGGTGCAAATCATGCTTGCTTCAGGCATACAGACTCAATGGACCAGTTAGATGTCAACATAAAATGGGTACTAACACATCAGCACTCGATAGAGGCCCCGCATCGGGCAGGTGTGTCATGGATATACTTTATCTCATTCAATCCTTAGGATGGTCTTGTGGTCAAAAGGTTCGGAGAGATCCCATCACTGACCCAGGGTCATATATTAGCAAGTTGCATAGCAGGATTTGGATCCAGATCTGTCTGGCTTCCCAGCCTGTTTCCACCCCACAGGGTCCCAAAAGGACCCCTTACCAAGAACTGAGATTCAACATATTACAGTCCAGCACGCCTCCCGGTGGCCTGGAGTCTGAATTCTGTGGCTTTCGAGGCCCTTCGAAATTCAGGCCAATTCTCGACTCTTCTCTCATGTGACAAGCCCCCATGCCTGTCATGTTTGCGTCTTCAGGAAAACAGTGATTCATCCCATGCTTCTAATGCTCCCAACTCCTTTGCCGCCACCCTTTTAGGTCCTATTTCTTCCCCATTTCCTGGGTCACTCACTGAGCTCTTCTTGGAGCCATGTAGGGGCCCAGAACCACTCTAGCTGGTTTCTTCTCAGTACTCTCTCATGTGCTAGCATCTCACTGGCCACTAGGCTTGCTTTCCTGGGCTAGATTACAATGATCAGTGCCAAACATGCAGTGCTGTTTGTCACTATAAACCACTATTGCTGCAGCTATGGAATGCTTTCTCATTCAATCCTCAATGCAGCCCTAAAAGGTAGACATGACAGTCACCATTTTACCAAAGAGGAAGCTGAATCCCAGAGGGGATAACCACTCTCCCCTCAGTCATATGGCGGTCAGTGGTGGAGCTGGGATTCAAACCCAGGCCTGTCTGACCATAGGGCATCCATCTGTTTGTATCTGCCCCACTCCTGGGTCCAAGATGGTACCTTGGGTATGGCAGAACTCAGATAACAGGCTTATCACCTGACTGATTCTCTTTGCTCTCTGGATAAACACAATTGAGATGCAGTTTTTTTTCTTCCAAGAATCTCGAGAGGCTCTGAGGAGCCCAGCCCTGAAAAAGGATCTTCAGTGTTCTCAAGGTTCAGCTCATAGCCTGAGACCCGCAGAGAAATGATGGTCCTAAAGCATCAAGTCCACCCCCAGATCAAGAGCAGCCCTGGGCAGGGCTGTGATCTGGGTCTCCGAGTAGGTTCTGCCGTCAGAATGCTGACTCCTCCGCTGCCTATCTGTGTGACCCTGGGCAAGTCACTTCGCCCCTTTAGGCCTTTACATCATATGTTCCTGTGGGTCGTGTGTTAATATCAGTAAGGGTTTAAGACTCAATAAATGGTCACTGCTGCTGTTATTTCTGCAGATGCCCCTTCCCATGTTGCCCACCACCACCATGCCTGAGACTCTCCAGCCCTAAGCAAGCAGGGAGCAGAACACTGATCAAAACCAGAGCCTGGGCCGGGTGTGGTGGCTCACATCTGTAATTCCAGCACTTTGAGAGGTCGAGGTGGGCAGATCACCTGGGGTCAGGAGTTTGAGACCAGCCTGGCCAACATGGTGAAACCCCATCTCTACTAAAAATACAAAAATTAGCCAGGTGTGGTGGTGCACCCCTGTAATCCCAGCTGTGCAGGAGGCTGAGGCAGGAGAATCGCCCGAAATTAGGAGACAGAGTTTGCAGTGAGCCCAGATCACGCCACTGCACTCCAGTCTGGGCGACAGAGTGAGACTCTATCTCAAAACAAACAAACAAACAAAACTCAAACCACAGCCTGGTGCTATTGGCCAGGTAACAATGGGCACAGAGGCCCTGGGATAGCTAATGGGAGAAAGAGCAGGAAGAAGGCCAGATTTCAAGGGCAGGAACTAAGGGGGCAGGGAGGAGCCAGGGCAGTCTTCCCCAGAGGCTGCTATTAGCTGGTTACCACCCAGGCTGGCGAAATCTGCCAAAGACTCCTTCTCCTAGAGTCTCCTCATTCCTGAGTCCCGATTTCACGGTACTCATACAAAACTCCATTTTAATCTCTACTCCCTCCCTGGTTTAGTCTTTATTTATTTAGAGACAGGGTATCACTCTGTTGCCCAGGCTGGAGTGCAGTGGCGCAATCAGAGCTCACTGCAGCCTCAATCTACCAGGCTCAAGCAATCCTCCCACCTCAACTTCCCGAGTACCTGGGACTACAGGTGTGTGCCACCACAGCCAGCTAACTTTTAAAATTTTTTTTTTTTTTGAGACGGAGTCTTGCTTTGTCACCCAGGCTGGAGTGCAATGGCACAATCTCAGCTCACTGCAACCTCTGCCTCCCGGGTTCAAGAGACTTTCCTGCCTCAGCCTCCTGAGTAGCTGGGATTACAGGTGCCCGCCACCATGCCTGGCTAATTTTTGTATTTTTAGTAGAGATGGGGTTTTGCCATGTTGGCCAGGCTGGTCTTGAACTCCTGACCTTGTGATCCCCCTTGGCCTCCCAAAGTGCTAGGATTACAGGCGTGAGCCACCACGCCTGGCCAACTTTTTAAATTTTTTGTTCCTGTGGGGAACAAAATTGGCCTTTCAAAATTCAGGCCAATTCTCAACTCTTCTCCCATGTGACTTCTCCCACGTGACAAGCCCCCCACGCCTGTCATGTTTAAATTTTCTGTAGAGATGAGGAGGTCTCACTATGTTGCCCAGGCTGGTCTTGAACTCCTGGGCTCAAGCAATCCTGCTGCCTCGGCCTCCCAAAGTGCTGGGATTACAGGCGTGAGCCACAGCCCCCAGCCTGGTTTAGTCTTTATAGCCCAGAGGGAAAAAAAGGGAACTGAGCATATTCAGCCATAATGACTGCCCTAACCATTGGGCCACCCTCTCTGATGCCTTCAGCCCACTGGGGGTTTAAAATGACTAACAAGACCCCTTGGACTACTTCCCATTGCTCCTCCTGATGATGGACAAACAAAGCTGGGGACCATCCACTCATGAGAGGGAAAGGGTGAAAGTTCATGTGCTCTCAGCCATCTGTTATCAAGCATGGAACCAAGGGACATGGCACCAGAGGAAACATTCCTCTGCTGGCTCGAAACCCAGAAAGATCTGTCAGATGTCACAGGGCTTACACATCCTCTTACACATCCTGTCACCCAACCAGCAACTCAGCAAAATCAAAGCAGTGAGCAGCGAAGGCAGAGTCTTGGGACTCCCAGGCTTCCAGTGTAGCTAGAGAAAGAACCCTGCAAAGTGACCACTGCCAGAGCTGTGACCATCTCCTCCCCGCTGCTCACGTCACAGAGACAGAGGTCTACAGAGTGATTCGTCCAAGGTCACAAGGCTTGGTGCGGCTTCCTGACTCTCCAACCAAAATGTTTCCCTTGGGCACCCCTGCCCGAGTCCTGCACCATCCTCCAGCCTCTCCTGCCACCCACATGAGAGTGCAGGCTGGGGTCCTCGTGGAACTCAGAAGCTGGGGGTCCCACCTCTTGCAGATTCTCTGCCTTGGTTAAGACCTCTCGGCACCCCCACTGCTCACTGGCAAATTACTCAGCTCATTGTTGCACCTTACCTGCTCTTTCTCCCTGATGGGCTGTGCCAGAGGCGGTTGCTCCTTCTCCCCAAAGGTCTGGGATCTGATTCTCCTCACTTCCCTTTCTGGACCCAATTTCTTCTTTCTCAAGACTTTGCCTAAAATTTGCTGTCAGCAGAGGGAAGAGTTTGGGCTACTTCTGTGCTGGCTTCAGCAGAGCTGGAGGAAACTGAGCGGCTCTCACGCTTACTCATGAAATGGAGCTTCAGGACAGATAGGAAAACAGGCCCAGGAGGGAGAGGTTAGACTAAGGTCACAGTGGGTAGCTGGCAGAGCCAGAATAGAAGCCTGATGCCCACATGCTCAGGCCAGCGATGTAGGCCCCTCAGATCCCAACTGGAGTGTGCTCCCAGTCCAGCCTGGGGTTGGAGCCCTGAGATAGAAAGGGTGGGCTGCTTTGTGAGGTGAGGCTTTGTGAGGTGAGCCAGGGCGCACCCGGGCCAGGAGGCCGGGGCGGGGCGATTCCCAGGCCTGGAGCGAGAAGGGTGGGCTACTGTGGGGTAACCTGGGGAGGAGCTCCGGGACCCGATCCCGGCCTAGGACTGGGTGGAGACCCTCTGGCTGGGTAAAGGCGCGGCAGAGCTGGCGCAACAGAGGGACGGGCGTGGGGCGAGGACGCCAGGATCTGGACCCCTGCAGGGAAAGGGTCTGAGCTTTTCCGCGGTGGCGGGGACTGAGGGGCTCCACAGACCTCGGGGATCTAACACTTCCACCCTCCAGAGCCTGTCTCCGGCCACCTACCTTGGGGGATTCTTTCCCGAGCCGGCTGCGGAGACACGTGAGCATGCATCACATGACGCCCGCTCGGGCGGCCGCGGGACACGCTGGGAGTTGTAGTTTCCGCAAATGTGAAGCTTGGACAACACCAGCTCCCTGAATCCTCAGCCCGACAGCACTGCCCTGAGCCAGCCTCGCGTCCAGCCAGCTCGTGTTTATCCTCTTACTTTTAGTCTTGGCCTCTTGACCAAATCAAACACTGCTCCTTCCTCCAAGGAAGAGCATTAGGAGGTCTGGCCTCTTTGCCAGTCCCGGTGGCGGTGGGCCAAAGCTGTTTGGCCTCATTATCCTCCCGGTCTCTGTCCTTGCCTTCACGCCCATGGCCAGAGCACTGGAGTTTTTTTTTAATCAGTAATGTGGGGGACCTGGAGCCACGGTCTTTCCTGCAAGGGAGTGGGCTGGGGGCATGGTTACGACCCCATCGGTTTAGACTCTAGAACAGTTTTTGAGGGATTGTAGGTGCTCAGTAAATATTTGTTGAATGACGAAATGGGCATCCAGTCCTGGTTCTGTTCTTGGCTGTGTGTCACTCATAAATTGTCACGTAATCTCCAGCATCCCAATAGCCTCATCTCTGTTTTGTGGATATGCTCTCCACTGCACTTACCTCTCCATGCATCAGAGGTCCTCACCGATGAGGACACACTGGGAATCCTTAGAAACCCAAATCACACCTTTTTTTTTTTTTTTTTTTTTTTTTTTTTTGAGACAGAGTCTCACTCTGTCTCCCCGGCTGGGGTGCAGTGGCACGATCTTTGCTCACTGCAACCTCTGCCTCCCGGGTTCATGTGATTCTCCTGCCTCAGCCTCCCGAGTACCTGGGATTACAGGCATGCACCACCACTCCCAGCTAATTTTTGTATTTTTAGTAGAGATGGGGTTTCGCCATGTTGGCCAGGTTGGTCTCAAACTCCTGACCTCAAGTGATCCACCCACCTCAGCCTCCCAAAGTGCTGGGATTACAGGCATGAGCCACCGTGCCTGGCCTCCAAAAAGTTTATATAAATTGAATCATACTGGTTGAGTGCGGTGGCTCACACCTGTAATCCCAGCACTTTGGGAGGCCAAGGCGGGCTGATCACTTGAGGTCAGGAGTTCGAGACCAGCCTGGCCAACATGGCGAAGTCCTGTCTCTATTAAAAATACAAAAATTAGCTGGGCATGGTGGTGCACGCCAGTAGTCCCAGCTACTCGGGAGCCTGAGGCAGGAGAATCACTTGAACCCGGGGGGCGGAGGTGGCGGTGAGCAGAGATCGTGCCACTGCACTCCAGCCTGGGAGACAGAGTGAGACTCTGTCTCAAAAAAAAAAAAAAAAATAGAATCATACTGTCTTAATCAGTTAAGGCCGCTATAACAGAGTATCATAGACTGGGTGGTTTAAACGACAGAGATTTATTTTTCACCGTCCTGGAAGCTGTCAAGACTGAGGTCAGAATGCCAGCAGAGTCAAGTTCTGGGGAGGACCATCTTCATAGTTTTCAGATGGCCATCTTCCTGCTGTGTCCTCACATTGCGGAAAGCAGAGAGGGAAAGTAAACTCTCTCTTATTTTTATTTATTTTATTATTATTATTATTTTTAGAGACACGGTCTCTGTTGCCCAGGCTGGAGGGCAGTGGCGCAATCACAGCTCACTGCAGTCGCCATCTCCCAGGCTCCACTAGTCCTCCCGCTTCAGCCTCCCAAATAGTTGAGACTACAGGCATGCGTGCCATCATGCCTAGCTAACTTTTCATTTTTTATAGAGACAAGGTCTTCCTATGTTGCCCAGAATGGCCTCAAACTCCTGGGCTCAAGTGAACCTCCTGTCTCAGTCTCCCCAAGTGCTTGGATTACAGGCATGAGCCACCATGCCTGGTCTTGTTTCTTCTTATAAGTGAACTAATCCTGCGGCTGGGTGTGGTGGCTCACGCCTGTAATTCCAGCACTTTGGGAGGCCGAGGCAGGTAGATCATGAGGTCAGGAGTTCAAGACCAGCCTGACCAACATGGTGAAACCCCATCTCTACTAAAAATACAAAACAAATTAGCTGGGTGTGGTGGCATGCGCCTGTAATCCAGCTACTCAGGAGGCTGAGGCAGGAGAATTGCTTGAACCCAGGAGGCAGAGGTTTCAGTGAGCCGAGATCGTGCCACTGCATTCCAGCCTGGGTGACAGAGTAAGACTCTGTCTCAAAAAAAAAAAAAATAGTACTAATCCCATCATGAGGGCTTTAATTACCTAATTACCTCCCAAAGGCACGTCTCCAAATACTATCACGTTGGGGATTAGGGTTTCCACATATCAGTTTGGGATGAACACAAACATTCAGTTCATAGACCACACAGTCTGTAATTTTCTAAGATTGCCTTTTTTTTTTTAACTCAGTAAAATTCCCTAGAAGAGATTCATCTAAGCTATATACGTCAACACAGATAGGTTTTATTGCTGAGTAGTATTCAGTGGTATGTATGTACCACAGTTTACTTACCCATCACTCTTTGAAGGACATTTGAATTGTCTGCCTTTTTTTTTTTAACATAGCTTTATTGAGGCCAGGCATGGTGGCTCATGCCTGTAATCCCAGTACTTTGGGAGGCTGAGGCAGGCAGATCATTTGAGGTCAGGAGTTCGAGACCAGTCTGGCCAACATGGTGAAACTCTTGTCTCTACTAAAAATACAAAAATTAGCTGGGTGTGGTGGTGCATGTCTGTAATCCCTGTTACTCAGGAGGCTGAGTCACGAGAATCACTTGAACCTGGGAGGTGGAGGCTGCAGTGAGCCGAGATTGCGCCACTGCACTCCAACTTGGGCAACAGAGTGAGACTCTGCCTTGGAAAAAAAAATTTAAAAAATAAGAATAGTTTTGTTGAGATATTCGTATGCCATAAAATCCACCCTTTGAAAGAGTCCAATAAGGTGCATTTTAGTTTCTTCAGAGTTGTGCAATGATGACCACTATCTAATTTCAGAATATTGTGATCACCCTCCCCTACTAAAATCCTGAACCCATTAGCAGTCACTTCCCATCTCCCCCTCCACCAAGCCCCTGGCAACTCTGAATCTACTCTTTGCTTCTGTGGGTTTGCCTATTCTTGACCTTTCATATAAATTGAGTCACACAATATGTGACCTGTTCTGTCTGCTTCTTTCACTGAGCATACTGTTTTCAGTGCTCATCCTAGTTGGAACATGAACCAGTATTTCATTCATTTTTATTGCTGAATAATGTTCTGTTGTATGGCTATACCACATGTAGTGTGGCAGGTCCCCCATCAGGTTACTTGGAGGTGTATATCCACTGCTTGAATCCTGAATGCTGGGTGGTGAGCCAAGGCCATGGTGCCCAGCCTAGGAGCAGATATTCCTGAGAACTCAAACATCCTGGAGAGGATCTGAGAATCTACCAAGGAAAACAGTCCCACTGCATACACGCAGTAGGCAAAGAGCTAGAAAATTAGCTTAAAAATGGCTTAGAGATGGGAGGTGGCGCGGATCTCTAGCACTGTCCTGCTGCTGTCAAGGAGTGTCCCGTATGTAAGTCCTCAAACTCATCTACTCGCCAAGCTGGACTTGCCTGAGTCATTCTCTGGTCTCTCAACTGCCTCCAAGTTTGGGGGAAGGTTTTTCGTACAATTCAGTGTTTTTCTCATTACACCACATTTTTTTATCTGTTCAGTAGTTGATATTTGTGTTATTTTTTCTTTTTGGCTACTGTGAATAATGGTGCTGTGAACATTCATGTACAAGGTTGTTTTATTTGAGATGGAATTTCGCTCTTTTTGCCCAGGTTGGAGTGCAATGGCATGATCTTGGCTCACTGTAACCTCTGCCTCCTGGGTTCAAGCGATTCTCCTGCCTCAGCCTCCCGAGTAGCTGGGATTACAGGTGCCCACCCCCACGCCCAACTAATTTTGTATTTTTAGTAGAAATGGGGTTTCATCATGTTGGCCAGGCTGGTATCGAGCTCCTGACCTTGGGTGATCCGCCTACCTCGGCCTCCCTCATGGACTAGTTTTTGTGTGGACATATGTTTTCATTTCTCTTGGGTATACATGTAGAAGTGGAATTGATGGATCAGATGGTAACTCTATGTTTAACCTTTTAAAAATTATTTTATTGGCCGGGTGCGGTGGCTCACGCCTGTAATCCCAGCACTTTGGGAGGCTGAGGCGGGTGGATCACGATGTCAGGGGATCTAGACCATCCTGGCTAACACGGTGAAACCCTGTCTCTACTAAAAATACAAAAAAATTAGCCAGGTGTGGTGGCATGCGCCTGTAGTCCCAGCTAGTCGGGAGGCTGAGGTAGGAGAACTGCTTGAACCTGGGAGGTGGAGGTTGCAGTAAGCCGAGATTGCACCACTGCACCCTAGCCTGGGTGACAGAGCAAGACTCTGTCTCAGAAAAAAAAAGTATTTTGTTATTATTATTATTATCATTTTAGAGACAGGGCCTTGCTCTGTTGCCCAGGCTGCTGCTCAGCACAAAATCCTGGGCTCAAGTGATCCTCCCACCTCAGTCTCCCAAGTAGCCAGGACTGCAGATGTGTGCCACCATGTCCAGCTAATTTTTAAATTTTTTGCAAAGACAGGGTCTTGCTGTGTTGTCCAGGCTAGTCTTGAATTCCTGGGCTCAGGCAATCCTTCCACCTCAGCCTCCCAAAGTGCTAGGAATACAGGTGTGAGACACTGTGCTACTCCTACAACTGTTTTGTATATTGATCTTACACCCTACAATTCTGTTGAACTTATTTACTAGCTCTAATAGTTTTATTAGTGGAATCTTCAACATAAGATTATAAAACCTGTAAATAGAGATAATTTTATATCTTCCTTTCTAATCTGGATTCCTTTTATTTTCTAGCCTTGACTGTACCAGAACCTCCAGTACAATGTTGAATGAAGTGATGAGAGTGGACATCCTTGTTTTGTTCCTTGTTTCAGGAGACAATCATTCAGCGGTTCATTATTAAGTATGATGTTGCCTGTGGATTATTTGTAGATGCCTTTTATCAGGGTAGGAATTTCCTGTGTATTCCTAGTGTGTTGAGTGTTTTTTATCATGAATGGGTGTTGGATTTTGTCAAATGGTGGGGTTTTTTTTCTGCTTCTATTGAGATGATTATGTGATGTTTCTACTTTATTTTATCGATGTGGTATGTACATTGATTTTCCTATGTTGAATCAATTTTGCATTCCTGGGATTAATATTTCTTGGTGATGGTGTAGTCTATGTGAAGCTGTCAAATCCTCAGTTTTTCTTGGTGGGAAGTCTTTGGATTCTTCATTCAATCTCTTAATTGTAAGTCTATTCAAATTTTCTATTTCTCTTTGAGTCAGTTTTGGTAGTGTTTTTCTTTGAGATGGGGTCTCACTCTGTCACCCAGGCTGGAGTGCAGTGGCACGATCTTGGCTAACTGCAACCTTTGCCTCCTGAGCTCAAGTGATCCTCCCACCTCCCAAGTAGCTGGGACCACAGGCATGTGCCACCACACCTGGCTAATTTTCTGTATTTCTGGTAAAGATGGAATTTTGCCATGTTGGCCAGGCTGGTGTCGAACTCCTGACCTCAAGTGATCTGCCCGCCTTGGCCTCCCAAAGTGCTGGGATTACAGGTGTGAGCCACCACGCCTAGCCAGTTTGGGTTAGTGTTTTTCTAGGAATTTGTCCATTTAATGTAGGTTATCTGGCTTGTTGGCATATATTTTTCATAGTATTCTCTTATAATCCTTTTTATTTCTATAAGGGCAGTATTAATGGCTTTTATTTCATTCCTGATTTTAGCAATATGAGTCTTCTCTTTCTTGGTCAGTGTAGTTAAAGCTTTGTCAGTTGTATTGATTCTTAAAAAGAAACAATTTTTTTATTTTGTTGATTTTCTCTATTTTTCTATTGTGTTTCCTGTATTTTAGCTCTAGTTTTTATTATTTTCTTTTCTTCTGCTTGCTTTGGGTTTAATTTGATCTTTTATTTACAGTTTCTTAAGATGGAACATTAGGTTATTGAATTAAGATCTTTCTTCTTTCTTTTTTTTTTTTTGACGGAGTCTCGCTTTGTCGCACAGGCTGGAGTGCAGTAGTGCGATCTCGGCTCGCTGCAACCTCTGCCTCCTGGGTTGAAGTGATTCTCCTGCCTCAGCCTCCCATGTAGCTGGGATTACAGGCACGTGCCACCACGCCTGGTAATTTTTTGTATTTTTAGTAGAGATGGGGTTTTACCACGCTGGCCAGACTGGTCTCGAATTCCTGACCTCAGGTGATCCACCTGCCTTGGCCTCCCAAACTGCTTGGATTACAGGCATGAGCCAACGCACCTGGCCAACATCTTTCTTCTTTTTTTAACACAGGCATTTATAGCTACGCACTGCTTTAACTACTTCCCAGAAGATTTGATATGTGTTTTCATTTTCATTAAAATATTTTCTATTTTCCCTTGTGATTTCTTCTTTAACTGATGCTATTCAGTAGTATATTGTTCAACATCCATGTATTTATAAATTTCCCAAATTTCCTTTTGTGATTGATTCCTAGTTTCATTCCACTGTGGTCGGAGAACATACTTTGTGTGATTTCAGTCCTTTTATGTTTATGGAGGCTTGTTTTATGGCCTAATGTATGGGCTACTCTGGAGAATGTTCCATGTGCATTTGAGAAGACTGCATATTCTGCTCTTGTTGGGTCAAGTGTTCTATAGATTGTCTATTAGGTGTAGCTGGTTGATTTATGGTATCGTTGAAGCCTTCTCTTTTCTTGTTGACCTTCTGCCTAGTTGTTATATCCATTCTTGAAAGTATGAGGCTGGGAGCAGTGGCTCATGCCCATAATCCAATCACTTTTGGAGGCTGAGGCAGGAGGATTGTTGAACTCAGTAGTTTGAGACCAGCCTGGGCAACATAGTGACATCTCATTTCTACTAAAAATTAAAAAAATTAGCCAGGTGTGGTGGCACATGCCTGTGGTCCCAACTACTCAGGAAGATGAGATGGGAGCATTGCTTGAGCCCAGGAAGTTTGAGACTGGAATGAGTTGTGCTCACGCCACTGCACTCCAGCCTGGGTGACAGAGCAAGACCCCATCTCAAAAAAAAAAAAAAAAAAAAAAGATTGTCTTTTGTCAACAGCATGTAGTTGGATCTTTTAAATAAAAAAATCCCTTCTGCTAGTATCTGTCTTTTAATTGTAGTGTTTAATTCATTTACATTTAATGTAATTACTAGTAAGGTAGGCTTTACATCTGCCATCGTGCTGTTTGTTTTCTATATGTCTTTTGGTTGTTGTTGTTGTTATTCCTCTGTTCCTCCATTATTGTCTTATTTTGTGTTAAGTACATATTTTCTAGTCTATCATTTTATTCCCTTGTGATATTTTACTTTTATCATTTGAATATGTCCCCCAAAATTCATGTGTCAGAAACTTAATACCTAATGCAACAGTGTTGGGAGGTGAGGCCACATAAGAGGTGATTAGGTCATGAGCGCTCTGCCCTGATGAATGGACTAATATCATTATTGTGGGAGTGGGTTAGTTATCATGAGATTGGGCTTATTACTGAAGCAAGTTCTGGACTGCGGACGGTGGCTCACACCTGTGATTTTTAGCACTTTGGGAGGCTGAGGTAGGCCTCACTTGAGGCCAGGAGTTCAAGACCAGCCCAGTGAACATAGCTGTCTCTACAGAAAAGAAAAAGTAGCCAGGCATGCTGTCTCATGCCTGTAGTCCCAACTATTCAGGAAGCTGAGGCAGGAGGATTGCTTGAGTTCAGGAGTTTGAGGCTGCAGTGAACTATGATCCTGCCACTGTACTCCAGCCTGAATGACAGAGCGAGATCCTGTCTTAAAATAAAAATAAAAATAAAAATAAAAATAAGTGTTCCACCTTCTGCCATGGGATGACTCAGCATGAAGGCCCTCACCAGATGGCAGCACCATGCTCTTGGACTTCCCAGTCTCTAGAACCATGAGCCAAATAAACTTCTATTGCTTATAAATTCTCCAGTCTGTGGTATTCTGTTACAGCAACTCAAAATGGACTAAGACATTTACTATATACAGTTTTGAGTGATTTTCTTAGTGGTTGCCCTGTGGATTATAATTAATGTTAGTACAACAATCTAGTTAGAATTAATACCAATTTAATTCACTTGGTTCCAAATCTTTGCTTCTATATCCTTTTGTTCTCTTCCCCTATATGTTACTTCAGTATGACAAGAGTTTATATACATTATAAACCCATCAACATAGTTTTACTGTTAAATTAAAAAAATTCTTTTTCTGACAGAGGGTCTCACTCTGTCATGCAGGCTGGAGTGCAGTGGCACAATGCTGACTCACTGCAACCTCTGTCTCCCGGGTTCAAGCTATTCTCCCACCTCAGCCTCCTGAGTAGCTGGGACTACAGGCATGCATTACCACTAAAAATACCTAATTTTTGTATTTTTAGTAGAGACAGGGTTTCACCATGTTGGCCAGGCTGCTCTCAAACTCCTGACCTCAAATTATCTGCCCACCTTGGCCTCCCAAAGTGCTGGGATTACAGGCATGAGCCACTGAGCTTGGCTCCATCAACATAGTTTTATAATTCTTACTTTATGCAGTTGCCTTTTAAATGAGAGAGCATGGCCAGGTGTGATGGCTCATGCCTGTCATCCCAGCACTTTGAGAGGTGGATATGAGTGGATCACTTAAGCCCAGGAGTTTGAGATCAGCCAGGGCAACAAGGTGAAACCCCATCTCTACCAAAAAAAAAAAAAAAAATTAGCTGGGTATGGGGGTGTGCACCTGTAGTCCCAGCTACTGGAGAGGCTGAGGCGGGAGAACTGCTGAGCCTCGGAGGCAGAGGTTGTAGTGAGCTGAGGTTGCACCACTGTACTCCAGCCTGGGGGACAGAGCAAGACTGTGTTTTAAAAAATAAAAAATAAGTAGGGAACACAAGAAAAGTGTTATACACAAAAAAATGCATTTGTACTACTTTTAATATTTACTATGTAGTTACTTTTACTGGTGCTCTTTATTTCTTCATTCAAATTACTGTCTAGTGTCCTGTTATTTCAGCCTTAAGGATTTCCTTGAATATTTCTTATAGGACAGATCTGCTAGCAACAATTTTCTCTGTTTTCATCTGGGAATGTCTTAATTTCTCTGTTTTTGAAGGATAGTTTTGCTGGATGCAGAATTCTTAATTTATGGTCTTTTTCTTTGAGCACTTTGCATGTGTCTCCTCACTGCCTCCGGCCTCCATGGTTTCTGATGAGAAACCAGTTGTTAAGCTCACTGAGGAGCCCGGTATGTGTTCCTTCTCTTGCTGCTTTCAAATTTCTCTCTTTGACTTTGGATAGTTTATGATGTTTCTAGGTATGGATCTCTTTAAGATTATCTTAGGCCGGGCGCGGTGGCTCACGCCTATAATCCCAGCACTTTGGGAGGCCAAGGTGGGCGGATCACGAGGTCAGGAGATCGAGACCATCCTGGCTAACATGGTGAAACCCCGTCTCTACTAAAAATACAAAAAATTAGCTGGGCGTGGTGGCGGGCGCCTGTAGTCCCAGCTACTCGGGAGGCTGAGGCAGGAGAATGGCGTGAACCTGGGAGGCGGAGCTTGCAGTGAGCCGAGATTGCG
This sequence comes from Homo sapiens, assembly GCF_000001405.40. Lineage (NCBI taxonomy): Eukaryota > Metazoa > Chordata > Mammalia > Primates > Hominidae > Homo > Homo sapiens. Next base: position 58,694,347 of record NC_000016.10, read on the forward strand.
CCACTGCACTCCAGCCTGGGCAACAAAGTGAGACTCCGTCTCAAGGAAAAAAAAAAAGATAAAAAAAGATTATCTTAGAGTTTCTTGGATGTGTAGATAATGTTTTTCTCAACTTTGGAAAGTTTTCCATCATTATTTCTTCAAATATTCTTTCTGCTCCCTTCTCGCTCTCTTGAGACAGCCATTATGTATATGTTGGTATGCCTGATGGTGTCTCACAGGTCTCTGAAATTCTGTTCATTTTTCTTCATTCTTTTTTTTTGAGACAGTCTGGTTCAGTCACCGAGGCCGGAGTGCAGTGTTGTGATCTTGGCTTACTGCAACCTCCCTCTCCTGGGTTCAAGTGATTCTCATGTCTCAGCCTCCTGAGTAGCTGGGATTACAGGCACATGCCACCATGCTCGACTAATTTCCATATTTTTAGTAGAGACGGGGTTTCACCTTGTTGGCCAGGCTGGTGTGGAACTCCTGGCTTCAAGTGATCTGCCCTCCTCAGCCTCCCAAAGTGCTGGGATTACAGGTACAGCCAGCCCTCATTTTTCTTCATTTTTTTTCTTTCTCTTCCATAGGCCGGATAATCTCAATTGATGTATCCTCATGTTCAGTGATTCTTCTGTCAGCACAAATTTACTATTGAGCCCTTGTATTAAATTTTTAATTTCAGTTATTACTGTACTTTTTAACTCCAGAATTTCTATTTGGGTCTTTTTAATAATATCTATTCATTGATAGTCTCTATATGACAGGACGCTGTTCTCATACTTTTCTGTAGTTGTTCAGACATAATTTCCTTTCACTCTTTGCCTATGTGATTCCAAGTCTTTGTCTAGTAAGTCTAATGCCTGGGCTTGGGCTTCCTCAGGGACAGTTTCTATTGACTGCTTTTTTCCCTATGTATGGACCATACTTTCCCATTTCTTTACATTTTTCATAATGTTTTTGAAGACTAGACATTGAAAAATAATATAATATGGAAATCCAAAAATTGGAGTTTGTTGCTGCTACCTTTTCTGTAGTGACCTTCCTGGACTAATTCTTTAAAGTCTGTATTCTTTGCTGTGTGTGGCCACTGAAGTCTCCTCTGAGTTAGTTTAGTGAATTTGATAGATTTCCTTAAATGCCTTGAACCAGTAAGTATCCCAGCCCGTTTGATTTTAATTCTCTGGTTGGCAGTTTATCCCTCTGTCCTGGACTTCACTTTCTGCTTGCACAGAGCCTCAAGGCCAGCCAGAAGTGAGAGATTAGGATGTTCTTAGATCTTACCTGGACATGTGCACAGCCTGTGCCTGTTCATGGTTTTCTAGTTTTCCAGGAGAATGACAAACTTTTACTTACTTACTTCTTTTTTTTTTTTTTTGAGACAGAGTCTCACTCTGTTGCCCAGCCTGGAGTGCAGTGGCACAATCTTGGCTCACTGCAATATCCCCCTCCCGGTTCAAGCAATTCTCCCACCTCAGCCTCCCGAGTAGCTGGGACTACAGGTGTGCGCCATCATGCCCAGCTAATTTTTTTGCATTTTTTCATAGAGACTGGCTTTCACCATGTTGGCCAGGCTGGTCTTGAACTCCTGACCTCAAGTATCTGCCTGCCTTGGCTTCTCAAAGCACTGGGATTACAGTTGTGAGCCACTGCGCCTGGTCCTTACTTATTGAGACAGGATCTCACTCTGTCATCCAGGCTTGAGTGCAGTGGCATTATCATGGCTCACTGCAGCTTTGACCTCATGGGCTCAAGTGATCCTCCTGCCTTTGTCTCCCAAAATGTCGGGATTTTAGGTGTGAGCCACTCAAAACTTTTTAAAGGCCTCTATAGACAATTCATTCCCCAGCTTTTTTCTTTTGAAGTTATTTTTTTTTCTTTCTTAGTTTTTTTGAAACCAACTCTTGCTCTGTCACCCGGGCTGGAGTGCAGTGGAAAGATCTCGGCTCACTGCAACCTCCGCCTCCCAGTTCAAGTGAGTCTCATGCCTCAGCCTCCTGAGTAGCTAGGAATACAGGTGTGCACCTGCATACCCAGCTAATTTTTGTATTTTTAGTAGAGATGGGGTTTCACTGTGTTGCCCAGGCTGGTCTCAAACTCTTGAGCTCAAGAGATCCGCCTGCCTCAGCCTTCCAAAGGGCTGGGATTACAGGCATGAGCTACCGCACTGGTCCCTGACACCAGTTTTGAGTCTTTTGGTTTTTAAGGCTACCATGGAGCTGGGAGGAGGGGGATGGGAATAGGGCGTTAAATGCTACAAGTCTTGCCGTTCTTACTGAGGTTGTCATTTTTCTTGAATAAACTCTCCTGGGATTGTTGGAAGCCTTTGCTTCATTCCCAGAATGTTGATTTTGGCAATTTTTGACAGTATTCTCATTGCTTTTATGGAAGAGAAGATTCTCTCTTCCACATTGTGCCATTTCAAAAATGCTCTCATAAGAATCATTCTATTTTTTTTTTAGATGGATTTTTGCTCTTGTTGCCCAGGCTGGAGTGCAGTGGTGCGATCTTGGTTCACTGCAACCTCCACCTCCCAGGTTCAAGTGATTCTCCTGCCTCAGCCTCCCGAGTAGCTGGGATTACAGGCGCCCGCCACCACACCCGGCTAATTTTTGGGATTTTTAATATAGACAGGGTTTCACCATGTTGGCCAGGGTGGTCTCGAACTGCTGACCTCAGGTGATCCACCTGCCTCGGCCTCCCAAAGTGCTGGGATTACAGGTGTGAGCCACTACGCCTGGCCAAGAATTGTTCTTTATTTTCCACTTCCTCCAGTTTAGAGTAAGAGTTTGGATGGGGATCAATGTTCATATTGATGCAACCGAATTGAGATGGAGCAGATGACATTGTTCCTTAAACCGCTTTGCCTACAGGATCCAGTAATTCCTTAAGAAGACATAATGCACTTGGTGGTGTGGCCTCTGCCTGCCCTGCTAGACAGATCTCTTGCTACTCCAATTTTTAAGCTCTAACTTGCTTCCAGGCCTTCCATTATGCTTTTGCATCTGCTGTGGAATATCCTAAACTGGACCAACTTAGAATAGGTCTTCAGACATTTGTTGAAATTGAGAAAGAGAAGCTTTTTTTCTTTCTCTCTTTCTCTTTTTTTTTTTTTTTTTTGAGAGGGAGTGGAGTTATTAAAAACTCCTGGAGCTGCTAGTGAGTATCTTCTCACTGTTGAGAGGATGGCCTTCTCAAGAATGAAGCCAGTACCCGCCAGGCGCTGTGGCTCACGCCTGTAATCCCACCACTTTGGGAGGCCGAGGCAGGTGGATCACTCGAGGTCAGGAGTTCGATACCAGCCTGGCCAACATGGCGAAACCCCGTCTCTACTAAAAATACAAAAAATTAGCCGGGTGTGGTGGCAGGCACTTGTAATCCCAGCTACTTGGGAGGCTGAGGCAGGAGAATCGCTTGAACCTGGGAGGCAGAAGTTGCAGTGAGCCAAGATTGCACTACTGCAATCACTCCAGCCTGGGTATCTGAGCGAGACTCTATCTCAAAAAATAAAAATAAAAAAAAAAAAGAAGAAGAATGAAGCCAGTGCCAGAAGACGAAGAATGAAGCCAGTGCCAGCACCAGCAGCAAAAAAAGTGAAGCTGACAAATGGAGGCAGATTCTTGGCAACATAGAGCACTTGGCTCTGGCTGTTGGACCTACCAGCTAGAGAGCTAGAGCTACCGTTATATCAGCCTTGGGCTGTTCTCCAGTACATGTACATGAGGTAATTCCCTTTTTATTCTTGTGCCAGTCAAGCTGGCTTTTGGCACTTGCAACCAAAGGAGCCCTAATTGGTAAAGTCTATAGTGTCAAAGCCAAGATGGGGAAAAACAATAAAGGGTGCCTTCGAGTTCTAAGCACAAATGACCTGCCACAGTACTTGCTCAAAAATATTTATTGAAGGTTGCTATGGGCATCAAATAATCAAATAAGATCATGTACTTTTTTTTTTTTTTTTTTTGAGACGGAGTCTCACTGTTGGCCATGCTGGAGTGCAATGGTGCCATCTCGGCTCACTGCAACCTCCGCCTCCTGGGTTCAAGCGATTCTCCCTGCCTCAGCGTCCCAAGTAGCTGGGATTACAGGTGCCCGCCACCACACCTGGCTAATTTTTGTGTTTTTAGTAATGATGGGGTTTCACCATGTTGGCCAGGCTGGTCTCGAACTCCTGACCTCAAGTGATCTGCCTGCCTCGGCCTCCCAAGGCCTCCCAAAGTGCTGTGATTACAGGCATGAGGCACCGCGCCTGGCCGATCATGTCCATTTTTAAGTGCCATGTAAATAAAGGTAAGGGATTGTTAAATATAAGCCTGACAGAAATTCTCAGCTGCAATTCCTTCACATTGCTCCAGGAATTGGTCTGAAAAGATCTTTGGATATTGAGTAACTTCCTTTTTTAGATTTGGACATTTAGAGAATGGCCTTCATTTTTTTTCTTTAGTGTACATATACTTTTTACAAAAATCTTTTTTGAGATGGAGTCTCTCTGTCCCCCAGGCTGAAGTGCCATGGTGCGATCTCGGCTCACGGTAACCTCCAGCTTCCAGGTTCAAGCGATCCTCCCACCTCAGCCTCCTGAGTAGCTGAGACTATAGGCCGTGTGCCACCACACCCAACTAATTTTTGTATTTTTAGTAGAGTTGTGGTTTCACCATGTTGCCCAGGCAAGTGATCCTCCTGCCTTGGCCTCCCAAAGTGCTGGGATTATAGGTGTGAGCCACCACGCCTGGCCTATATTTTTTAATTAAAAAAAATTCTTTTTTAGAGACAAGGTCTCATTATGTTACCCAGACTGGACTTAAACTCCTGGACCCAAGTGATCCTCCTGCCTCAGCCTCCCAAATAGCTGGGACCACAGGCCTATGCTACTGCATCCAGTTAGAGAATGGCCTTCCTGTCTGCAGATTCCCCAAACCTACCACCTCACTGGGGACTTGACAGCAAGTTTTTACTGTTTTAAAACGAAACCATGTGGTTTTGTTTTTATCTTCCGCTTATTTCCTAAGCTCTGCCAACTCACTTATTCTCTTTTTATTGTTTTTTTTCCTTCCTTGATCTCTACGTTACATAATTGTCTTTCAGTGCTTTCAACATATGTGAGAATCTGTGGCCAAAATTTCCATTTTCTTTGTGGCATTATTTTGCTTTCTTTGGTATGCTCATTTGCCTTGTTTCTCCCACTCCTTTTTTTCTCCTAGTATGTTTTAAAGCTTATTTTAGGGCCGGACTTGGTGGCTCATGCCTGTAATCCCAACACTTTGGGAGGCCGAGGTGGGCGGATCATGAGGTCAAGAGATTGAGACCATCCTGGCCAACATGATGAAACCCCATCTCTACTAAAAATACAAAAATTAGCCGGGCATGGTGGCACACGCCTGTAATCTCAGCTACTTGGGAGGTTGAGGCAGGAGAATCGCTTGAACCCAGGAGGCGGAGGTTGTGGTGAGCCAAATTGTGCCACTGTACTCCAGCCTAGCGACAGAGCAAGATTTCATCTCAAAAAAAAAAAAAAAAAAAAAATTGAAGGGTAAGACACATATAGCAAAGTGACTAAAATATACTAAATTCAGCACATCCTGATGAATTTTTACTTATGTATTCACTTTTGTAACCATGACCCAGAGCAAGATTTAAAACATTTATAGCACAGCTCTTATAGCTTTTTTTTTCTTATCCCTATGACAGATTAAGCAATTTTTTTTTTCTTTTGGAGATGGGATATCACTATGCTGCCCAGGCTGGTCTTGAACTCCTGGGCTTAAGCAATCCTCCTGCCTCATCCCCTCAAAGTGCTGGGATTACAGGTGTGAGTCACTGAGTCCGGCCACATTAAGCATTTTTAATAGATTTTGTGCTGGTTCTTTAAAAAAATATATTTACTTTTATGTTAGGAACAACTTTACATGTAATAAATTTTAATTGAAATTTTTACAAGTGTTTATACATACATGCAACCACCACTCAGATTGATACAGAATGTTTCCAGCATCTCAGAAGCCTCTCTTGTATCCCAGGTAATATCCCCCTCTAGAAAAGGCAACCACTAGTCTGGCTGATGTCACCATAGATTAGTTTTGCCAGTTCATGAACTTCATATAAATTAAATTATACAGTATTTGCTCACTGGAGTCTAGTTTCTTTTGGTCAATACTATGAGATTCATCCAGGTTGCTCTAAGTAGCTATACATATATACACACACATATATATATAGCAATATATATGTACACACACATATATATAGCTATATATATACACACATATATATAGCTATATATATACACACACACATATATACATATATATATATATATATATATATATGTATTCCCCCCATGACTGTGAATTTTAAGAAACTATTCCTTTTTTTTTCTTTTTTTTTTTTTTTTGAGACAGAGACTCGCTCTGTCACCCAAGCTGGAGTTCAGTGGCACAATCTTGGCTCGCTGCAACCTCCGCCTCCCAGGTTCAAGTGATTCTTCTGCCTCAGCCTCCTAAGTAGCTGGGACTACAGATGTGCACTGCCACGCCCAGCTAACTTTTGCATTTTTAGTAGAGATGGGGTTTCATTGCCATGTTGGCCAGGCTGGTCTTGAACTCCTGACCTCAGGTGATCCACATACCTTGGCCTCCCAAAGTGCTGGGATTATAGGCATGAGCCACTGTGGCCAGCCAGAAACCCATTCTTCTAAGAGAAAAATTCATTCTTCTGTTGATGAATACTTGGGTTGTTTTTAGTGTTGGCAATTGATATAGTTTGGCTCTGTGTCCCCACCCAAATCTCATCTTGAATTGTAATCCCCATGTGTCGAGGGAGGGAGGTGACTGGATCATGGGGGTGGTTTTCCCCATGCTGTTCTCGTGAGAGTGAGTGAGTTCTCATGAGATCTGATGGTTTTATAAGCGTCTGGCATTTCCCCTGCTTGCACTTCTCTCTCCTGCCACCATGTGAAGAAGGTCCCTACTTCCCTTTCAACTTATGCCACGATTGTTAAGTTTCCTGAGGCCTTCCAGTCATGTGGAACAGTGAGTCAATTAAACCTCTTTCCTTTATAAATTACCCAGTCTCAGGTATTTCTTTTTCTTTTTCTTTTTTTTCTTGAGACAGAGTCTCGCTCTGTTGCCCAGGCTGGAGTGCAGTGGCGTGATCTTGGCTCACTGCAACCTCCGCCTCCCAGGTTCAAGCGATTCTCCTGCCTCAGCCTCCTGAGTAGCTGGGATTACAGGCATGTGCAACCATGCCTGGCTAATTTTTCTATTTTTAGTAGAGATGGGGTTTCACCATGTTGGCCAGGATGGTCTTGATCTCTTGGCCTCATGATCCGCCCGCCTCAGCCTCCCAAAGTGCTGGGATTACAGGCGTGAGCCACCGCGCCCAGCCAGTCTCAGGTATTTCTTTATAGCAGTGTGAAAACAGACTATACAGCAATTAAGAATAGGTATTGTGTATGTTCTTGTTCATGTCTTTGGGTTGACATATACAAATTTCTCGAGTGTATACCTAAGAATGGAATTGCTGGGTCATAGGATAGGAATATGCTATGGTTTTGATATGTGACTCCTCCAAATTTCATTTTGAAATTTGATCCCCAATGTTGCAGGTGGAGCCTAATGGGAAGTGTCTGGGTGATGGAGGTGGATTCCTCTTGAATGGCTTGGTGCTGTCCTCATGGTAATGAATTCTCACTCTATTAGTTGGCAGAAGTTTCCTTCACAGCTGACTGTTTAGAGGAGCCTGGTACCTCTCTTCCCCTCTCTTGCTTCCTGTCTCACCAAGTGATGTCTGCCTACACCAGCTCCCCTTTGCCTTTGCCAAGAGTGATAGAGGCCGGAGGTCCTCACCAGAGCAGATGCTGGTGTCATGCTTCTTGTACAGCTTGTAAAACCATAAGCCAAATAAAGCTCTTTTTATAAATTACCCTTGTCGTCTTTGCTCCGAGAATACTCACTGGCAACGCTTGTGGCTGCAGCATTTACCCTGAGATAAATTTGCCACGAAATATCTCGCTTTTATTATTTTTGTATTGTTCTAGTATATCAGCTTTGGAAACAAAAGACATCGTTCTATTTATAGCATTGTGTTTTTAGCAGTGGTATTTTCATTTACTACAGTAATTGCCTATCATTGAAAATGTCAAATCCTAGAAAATGTAGCATTCCTATGCATGATGTTAACATCATTCTCAAACAGTTGTTGGCCAAAGATTCATTTGATGAATCTGATTTTTCAAAAATAGACAATTCTGATGATTCTGATGTTAGTTCTTTTTAGAAATAACTCCAAGAACAGTTTTTTATGTTTTCACATTGAAAATCAATCAGATTTGGTTCAGCCTCAAAGAGTGTGTTTATGTAAAATTCAAATGAGCGCTGGCAGCAAGCTGCGTTTTTTTTTTTTTCTAAATGGGAAAGGGTTAATAGCGACACAAAAGGACTAAGACAGCCTATGTGTAGCTTTAGTAAATTCCAACAGTATTTACTCCACTGGCAAAGTGAGAGTTCTAGTTACACATCTTCACCAGTCTTGGTGGTGTTTGTCTTAATTTTAGCCATTTAGGTGGGTGCGTCTAATAGAGGTTTTGTGTTTCCCTGATGAATGATACTGAACACTTTTTCATATGCTTTGAATATGCATAAATTCAAATTTGTATATCCTCTTTTGTGACTTGCCTGTTCAAGTCTCTTGCTCATTTTAAAAACTGGATTGTCTTATTGATTTGGAATAGTTCTGGATATATCTGGATTCTAGTTTTATTTTTTTAAGACAGGGCCTCACTCTGTCGCCCAGGATGGAGTGCAGTGGCACAATCATGGCTCACTGCAGCCTCGACTTCCTTGGGCTCAAGCGATCCTCCTACCTCAGCCTTCTGAGGAGCTGGGACTACAGGTATGCACCATCACTTCCGACTAATTTTGTATTTTCAGTAGAGATGGGGATTTGCCATGTTGCCCAGGCTGGTCTCAAACTCCTGGGCTCAAGAGATCCACCTGCCTAAGCCTCCTAAAGTGCTAGAATTACAGGTGTGAGCCACCACTCCTGGCTTGGATTTTGGTGTTATTTATATGTGCTGTCAATATATTCTCCATCTGAAGACTGCTTTTTCACTTTATTGGTTTCCTTTGTGGAACAAAAATCCTTGATTTTGATGAAGTCTAATTATGGTCAGTGCTTTTTATGTCTTGTTTAAGAAACATTTGCCTAAAGTTTTGAAGATTTTTTTTTTTTTTTTTTGAGATGGAGTCTCACTCTGTCGCCTACGCTGGAGTGCAGGGGCACAATCTTGGCTCACTGCAACCTCCGCCTCCCGGATTCAAGTCAAGCAATTCTCCTGCCTCAGCCTCCTGAGTAGCTGGGATTGCAGACGTGTGCCACCACACCCGGCTAATTTTTGTATTTTTAGTAGAGATGGGGTTTCACCATGTTGGTCAGGCTGGTCTTGAACTCCTGACCTCGTGATCCACCTGCCTCGGCCACCCAAAGTGCTGGGATTACAGGAGTGAGCCACCGCGCCCAGCTCCCCCTTTTTTTTAAGACGGAGTTTCACTCTTGTTGACCAGGCTGGAGTTCAATGATGGCGATCTCAGCTCACTGCAACCTTCATCTCCTGGGTTCAAGTGATCCTCCTGCCTCAGACTCCTGAGTAGTTGGGATTACAGGCACATGCCACCATGGCCCGGCTAATTTTTATTTTTTTTTCGTAGAGACGGGGTTTTACCACATTGGCCAGGCTGGTCTCGAACTCCTGACCCTCAGGTGATCCGCCCACCTCGGCTTCCCAAAGTGTTGCGGTTACAGGCATGAGCCTTTTTTACAGGCATCCAGCCCTGTTTTCTTTTTTTTAGAGACAGAGTCTCACTATGTTGCCCAGTCTGGTCTTGAACACCTGGGCTTAAGCAACCCTCCTGCCTCAGCCTCCCAAAGAGCTAGGATTACAGGCATGAGCCATGGTGCCTGCGCCTACTTTTTTTCCTAGAAGCTTTATTGTTTCACTTTCCACATTTAAGTCTGTGATGCATCTTGAATAAACTTTTGTATATGTTGTTAAGTAGGGGGTCAAAGTTCATTCTTTCCATTTAGATCATAGTTCACTGCAGCCTCAAACTCCGGGGCTCAAGTGATCCTCCCACCTCAGCCTCTTGGGTAGTTGGGTACAGGCCCAAGTCACTGCGCCCAGCCAAAATTATATTAGTAGTACAATCTCTACCACGTAAATATTTGCACAGAAAAACCAAGGGAAGATAATTCAATACAAACAACTGTTATCTCCACATGGTAGGCATTTGAGGAATTTAAAATTTTCTAAAATGAGCATACCCTACTGTTATCAATAAAAACTACTGTTTTCAACATTTTTATAAGATATCTTGAAAAAGAAACAATTGGTCTTTCAGTTATCATTAGGTATAAATAAACCAATAGGCCGGGTGCGGTGGCTCACACCTGTAATCTCAGCACTTTGGGAGGCCAAGGTGGGTGGATCGTTTGAGTGCAGGAGTTTGAGACCAGCCTGGGCAACATAGCAAGACCTGGTCTCATAAAAAAAAAACAAAAACAAAAACAAAACAAAACAAAAAAACCCCCAGTAATTTCTATGAAAAAAAAAATTCAGAAAAAAGGCTTAGAATAAACTCTCAAGTTGGCTGAGTAAGTTGGACTTTGGTTGTTTAGATGTATACCTGAAACAGTTCAGGCTGATAGTTCCCCATGGCTGATCTATGGGTGAGCTATATTTGAATCAACTGCAGTTTTTCTTTTAATTTAAAAAAATAGATTGTCAAGCTTTCTCTTAGACATGCTGAATCAGAATGCCTAAGAGGTGAGGCCAGAGAACCAGTACTTTAAATAAATGATCTAGATTTGGGAACTATTCTACCTTGAATTATAATGAAACCAAGGTATGACTATTCTCTCTGAGCTGGCAAACTACTATCAGATTGGAGAATGTTAACATTTTAGACCAGACTAGGGAGCTAGGAAAAGGCTGTGGGCCAATGTTCTGACCTTCTCAGAAAACCATCAAGCTGCAGACACCACATGATGAATGGGACTTAGTCCAGTGTAAGGTGGTAGTACCCATGTTTAAAAATAACAAGGTCAGGCTGGGTGCAGTGGCTCATGCCTGTAATCCCAGCACTTCAGGAGGCTGAGGTGGGCGGATTACGAGGTCAGGAGATCAAGACCATCCTGGCCAACATGGTGGAACCCCGTCTTTACTAAAGATACAAAAAATTAGCTGGGCGTGGTGGCACACGCCTGTAGTCCCAGCTACTTGGGAGGGTGAAGCAGGATAATTGCTTCAACCCGGGAGGTGGAGGTTGCAGTGAGCCGAGATCGCACCACTGCACGCCAGCCTGGGCGACAGAGTGAGACCAGGGGGTGGGGGTTAAGTTCCTTTCACAATTAGTTGAGGTCTTGGCAACCAACTTTCAACCATTTTTGCTCCAGACAGGGAGAACTTCAGTTTCTCCTAACTTAGGCAGTCAGTACCTTTGCAGAGCAGCGGACTAATATGTCTATTGTTTCCCCTTTTCAGATAAAGACATCCAGTGAACCAGTCCTTTCACATATCCTTTCACCACCTTGGAATGTCCACTAGTAACAGGAACACAGAGAAGCAAAGAGTCAGAGCGACCCCTGACCTGCCATGCAGTGTGTCCCTCAGGAGAAGGCAAGGGGGAAAGAACAAGTTGAGCCTGCTTGCCCATCCCAGCAACCATGGGGACACTGTGGAGGGTCCCTGGGCCTGGCTCCTGCTCCATTGCTTATCTGGCTGGTCACTCTCCCACAATGAAAGGCTCCTTGCACTGAATGAAAGGGACAAAATACCGTAAGCAGGACTGATGCCACACAGGTGCCAGTGCTGGATGTCTGCTGACAGGGGCATGTGACCTACATCAGAGGACACAGACTTGCAGTCTACCATCTGCACCCTGCTTCCAAATCATTTTTTTTCCTTTTTTTTTTTTTTTTTTGAGACGGAGTTTCGCTCTTGTTGCCCAGGCTGGAGTGCAATGGCGCGATCTCGGCTCACTGCAACCTCCGCCTCCTGGGTTCAAGCGATTCTCCTGCCTCAGCCTCCTGAGTAACTGGGATTACAGGCATGCGCCACCATGCCCAGCTAATTTTATATTTTTAGTAGAGACAGGGTTTCTCCATGTTGGTCAGGCTGGTCTCAAACTCCTGACCTCAGGTGATCTGCCCACCTCAGCCTCCCAGAGTGCTGGGATTACAGGCGTGAGCCACCATGCCTGGCCCAAATAATTTTTTAAAAATTGAACCAGTTGCCAACTTTTAAGCACCAACAGATCAACCATAGAAATCAAGATTTCCATTTTTCTTGAAAAATGTAAGACCTACCACCTTGGGCGTTCATCCTCACAGCTCCTGTCACTTCACTACTGCTCCTCAATGCTGAGGATGAGGGTTGATCACCACTGATCAACTTAAATCCAGTTCACAACACTTTTTTATTTACGTTACCTTCTTGGCTCCTATAGACCACTGAAGTTGTCACTTCTCCTCCACCCCTTCTACCCTTTGCCTATATCCACAGGATCCTTCATGGGACTCCACTTGTTCCCCACAAGGTCCAAGGGATTACACCCACATTCTCAGCATCTTCGGACTGGACAAACTGAATGGCAACATGAAGAAAACGACGAATCTTCAGCCAATATTTGGAATAGTGGATACATCTACTGGCTTATGATCAGCTACACGATTCCAAACTCCTACCCCTTTATTTATTTACCCACTCCTACCCCTTCCTCCCATTAAAGAAAAAAGATAACTTAGTAGACAGTAGTTGGGTCTACAGTAATTTTATTGTAACAGAGAAACCAGGCCGCAATAAGTCTACATGGTTAGAGCAGATGGTGGTTCTTTCCAGTGGGTGAAGCCTGAACCCAGCTAGCAGCACGCAAAGCCTAGAATATCCTCTTTCCTGGTACCACCCTGCGCCGCTGGACTCACAGTGTGAGATGAGAGGCTGCACACCACATTCAACAAAGGGAGGAGGTCCAACCGGGCAGAGACAACATCCCAACTGGAGAAACTTGCACTATCATTCAAGAGGATGCCGAGATAAAGTACAGTTTCCTACTCTCCACTATTCTTTGCTGAAAAGGGTGAGGGTACAGCATCAGCAGAAAATTATGTTCTTCATTCTTAAATAAATCTCGATAGGATGGAGTTGATGGTCAATCAAGCAGTAGAATGGGATGAAAATCTGCAATAGTTAAAAAATCTTTGCGTGTAAGGAAAAGAACGGCAATGACAAGGGAGAAAAGAGAGCCTTCTCTTTTTCTTAAATAAGACAGGAAACTGCATTATTTCCCTTGCTGGAGTGGCAGCAGCCTCATTGGTTTTCATAAAACATCATTTCTGCAGTGCGGCCTGTTGATAAGGTTGTTCCAAGATGGGAGGACAGACACGAGGCCGACTACTCATGACAGAACTAGGCCTTCTCTCAAAGCCTCTAACGTGTGCTGTTTCTCACGAGGAACCTGACACTTCAGTTAAAGCTTCTGAAATATTGCAATGGCATAATTGACAGGTTTTTTGGTGCGATGACTTTCTTGCACATGTAAACTCTTTGAGAAAAGTTGGAGAAAAAAGGACCGGGGAGAGTTTGGTTTAATATTCCAGACGCCAGCCATGGATGCCTCTGCCCTGTGTCACTACATGTTCTTTTCTGAGAAACATTCAAATGCTGAGTGTTACACACTGTGGCTGAAAGAAATGATCCACTCACCACCATCCACCCTCTCTCATTGTCTGTGTGAAGCTCTCAATAGCAGAGGCTGAAGACAGAAAGGTTGTCTCTGTTTCCTCGCACCAGGGACATTACTTGGTGACCTGGTGAATGGCATGGGCAAGGTAGCCCACGTTGCTGGAGGTGACCCCTGCCACAGAGATGCGGCCATCTTTTGTCATGTAGATGGAGAACTCCTTGATCAGCCGCTCCACCTGCAGAGAGGAAAGAACTTGGGTACCTCTTCCCGGTACAGGGGATTCTCCCCGGCCTGACATGGCACAGTAGCCAACTTACCAACGCTCTATTTCCTCGCTTAAAACCTGTTCCCAGAATTTGCTGTTAGCTTGGAATAAAATAAGAATAAAAAGCTACTTTAAGGCTGGGGCGGTGGCTCACACTTGTAATCCCAGCTATTCAGGAGGCTAAGGCAGGAGAATAGCTGGAACCTGGAACCTGGAACCTGGGAGGCAGAGGCTGCAGTGAGCCGAGATTGCGCCAATGCACTCCAGCCTGGGCGACACAGTGAGACTCCATCTCAAAAAAAGAAAAAAAAAAAAGCTACTTTAAAGTAGGATGATGAATTCTGATGCATAAACAGATGGGGAAAAAGACACCTTTAGATTCAGCAGAGCCAGGATTCAATTATGAAACAGCTATTTCTCCTGTTGCTCTCTTGGGAGAAGCAACAGTGATTATGAACATGATCAAAACAAGCTCTGCTCTTTAGAAGTTTGTGAGTTCATGGGGGATACAGAGAGGTAAACAACTAAAAAAAAAAAGCAAAATAAATGCTAAAAAGTATTACAATACTTTTACCTAAAAGGGCTCCAAAATAACTGTTTTAACTGTTTTTAGGGTAATTTTGAACAGGTGGGTGATCTATGAAGAATCCTTCTGGGGCTGGGCTCAGTGGCTCACACCTGTAATCCCAGTAGTTTGGGAGACCAAGGCAGGCGGATCGCTTGAGTCCAGGAGTTCAAGACAAGCCCGGGCAACATGGCGAAACTATGTCTCCACAAAAAATACAAAAATTAGCCAGGTGTGGTGGCACTCACTTCTAGTCCCAGCTGCTCGGGAGGCTGAGGCAGGAGGATCACTTAAGCCCTGGGAGGTGGAGGTTGCAGTGAGCTGAGATTGCACCACTGCACTCCAGCCTGGGTTTCAGAGCGAGACTGTCTCAAAACAAAAACAAAAACAAAAACAAAACAAAACAAAACAAAACAAAACAAAAAACCCGAAAACATTAAATAAAAAAGAAAAAAGAAAAAAAAGTAATCCTTCGGGTTTGCAAAGACTGATCAGCTGGTCTGCTGCAGAGAAATCAGAATCACTCACCTGTTCAGGCTTTAGCCCTGTGAAACAGAACATGCCAATTTGGTCGGTGATGTGTTGCCAATTGTGGGTGGAACCCTCCTTCTTGAGGTTGGAGACCAGTTGAGTCCGCATGCCAATGATGCGGTCAGCCATGACTTTCACTTCTTGCAGCCTGTAAAGAAACCCTGAGATGCAGCTCATTCTGCCTAAGCACTGACCGATATGCTGGAGTTCACTGCATTTTTACCTCCCTTGAGCAGTCCCCTAGTGTGCCTCAATTCTCAGGTCACGAATGAGTGACACGCTGTCACTGGCCAGGGAAGAAAGCTATTTTATAGCATTCTGTTTTATATTGGAACACTATTTCCATAAGGCAACTGAAGCAGTTAACACACTTGAGTAGAGACAGTCCTTGACTTACAACTTTTCAACTTCATGATGGCACAAATGCAATATACATTCAATAGAAACCGTACTTTAAGTACCCATACAGCCATTTTGTTTCTTTCAGTACAGTATTGAATAAATTACATGAGACATTCAGCACTCTGTTATAAAATGGCTTTGTGTTAGATGATTTTGCTTAACTGTAGTTTAATACCTGTTCTGAGCATGTTTAAAGTATGCTAGGGTAAGCTATGATGTTTGGTAGGTTAAGTGTATTAAATGAATTTTCTTTTAATGTAGAGATGGGGTTTTGCCATGTTGCGCGGTTTGGTTACAAACTCCAAGGTTCAAGCAATCCTCCTGCCTAGGCCTCCCAGAGTGCCGGGATTACAGGTGTGAGCCACCACGCCTGGCCCATTTTCTTTTTCTTTTTCTTTTTTTCAGATACAGTCCATCACCCAGTCTCAGTCTATCACCCAGGCTGGATAGTACAATGGTATGATCATGGCTCACTGCAGCCTCAATCTTCCAGGCTCAAGTGATCCTCCTGCCTCAGCCTCCCAAGTAGCTGGGACCACAAGTGCATTCCACCATGCCTTGCTAATTTTCTTTTCTTTTTTTTTTTTTTTTGTAGAGACAGGGTCTCCCCATTTTGCCCAGGCTGGTCTGGAACTCCTGGGCTCAAGTGATTCTCCCACCTTGGCCTCCCAAAATGCTAGGATTACAGACATAAGCCTGGCCTTAAATGCATTTCTGACTTATGACAGGCTTATTGGGATGTAACCCCATCATAATTGCATCTGTATTAAGAAAAGTGGGCGGGGCACGGTGGCTCACGCCTGTAATCCCAGCACTTTGGGAGGCCCAGGCGGGCGGATCACGAGGTCAGGAGATCGAGACCATCCTGGCTAACACGGTGAAACCCCGTCTCTACTAAAAATACAAAAAAATTAGCCGGGCGGATCACGAGGTCAGGAGATCGAGACCATCCTGGCTAACACGGTGAAACCCCGTCTCTAATAAAAATACAAAAAAATTAGCCGGGCGTGGCAGCGGGTGCCTGTAGTCTCAGCTGCTGGGGAGGCTGAGGCAGAAGAATGGTGTGAACCCAGAAGGCAGAGCTTGCAGTGAGCGGAGATGGCGCCACTGCACTCCAGCCTGGGTGAGAGAGCAAGACTCTGTCTCAAAAAAAAAAAAAAAAAAAAAGAAAAGTGAATGAATCACTCTAAAACCTACTAAGATTAAGGTAAAAGCTGTGGGTTAAACAAAAAAAAAAAATGACCTTATTTTTGACATGGATGAAATATACATTCCCATCTTCACAATTGAGACAATGTACTATGAATCTACAATGAGCCAAGCTATTTTAGGTGGTGAGGACTGAGACATAGTCCTTGCCTTCAAAAGCTTGCAAGGGGTGCTTGTAACCAAACCTGTAAACCAAGTATGGAATACGGCCACAAAATGTAAAACACATAGGACACTGCTATGCTAAAAGCCCCAAGGAGAGTAAATTCTGTCTGAGGGACTGGAGAAGGTAGTCCTCTGACTGTGCACGGGGATCACCTGATTCTGAATACAACCTTCCCCTTCCTCAGAATCTACCCTTTCCACTCCATTCCCATGGCTCTGGGACATTCTTGGCTCTCACCAATGACATTCCCATTTACAGTTTATCTCCCTGTTCTTAGGTGTTCACTTTCCTAAACCATCTCTGTATAATGATGTTATGCACGGTTAGAAGAGAGATCACAAACTGCCAATTAAAGACCAAATATGGGACCTAGTAATGTTTTACTTCACCCAGTGAAACGTTTTTAAATTGGGCACTTGTGCCTAAAAGCTGAAACCTGTAGTTTCTCTTGAAAAATGAGAAACGATAGCACTGTATTAGCAAAATAATTACTGGCTGGAGCTGAGGAGCCCCTGGCCCCTCCAGTTATGGCATCTGATTTTAAATTTCCTACAGTTTCCATCGTCCAGCTTCATTCACTTTGAGGCCTGGATCCCAAAGATATTGAGTGCATGAACAGGGCTAGATGTGGAGCCATCTTAGCCAAACCCCTCCATCCTCCTTGTTGCCTGGAGAATCAAGTGTTGACTTCTTACAGTATCAACCAGGGTGCTTCACGATCTGCTCCACCTTCTCAGCTTGGCTGTCTCCCACAGTCCTCCTCACATTCGTGTTTTCATCACGAAAACAACTTGGGGCTTTCTACACAAGTTCTGCATAATGCACGTCCCACGCCTATGCCCTCACTCAGATCTCTCCCCAGTTTCCTTGTCCGTTTCATTTCCTTTGCAAAAAAAAAAGCCCTTTCCCCTCTTTAATGCACAGCTCACATGCCGCAGTCCTCATTACATCTTCTCTAACTCCCCACTAGAATCAACAGCTCTCCCTTTAGTCATCATTTATTCCATTCTGTCTTATATTAAATATCATGTGTGGCCAGGCGCGGTGGCTCACGTCTATAATCCTAGCACTTTGGGAGGCTGAGGTGGATGGATCCATTGAGGTCAGGAGTTTGAGACCAGCCTGGCCAATGTGGTGAAACCCAGTCTCTACTAAAAATACAGAAATTAGCCAGTCATGGTGGTGGGTGCCTGTGATCCCAGCTCAGGGGAGCCTGAGGCAGGAGAATCGCTTGAACCCAGGAGGCGGAGGTTGCAGTGAGCTGAGATTGTGCCACTGCACTCCGGCCTGGGCCACAGAGCAAGATTCTCTCAAAACAACAACAAGAACAACAACAACAACAACAACAACAAGAACAAGAAAGTCATGTGTGTATCTTTCTCATCAGATTATAACCACCCTGAGGGTAGTCATTAACACAGTCTGGCATCTTTGTCTACTACAGACTCTCAAATTGTGTATTGAAATGCATGCATTAAAAAAAATCTTCATAACCAGAGAATATGAAAATATTTTTAAAAACATTGAAAATATTAAGTAAAAAAGCTTAGTATAATTCTAAGTGACAAAACCAAAACCAGTCCTGCACATACATATATAACAGTATGTCACAACTACAGATAACAATGGGTGGCTGGGCGCAGTGGTTCACGCCTGTAATCCCAGTACTTTGGGAGGCCGAAGTGCTAAGGTCGGGAGTTCGAGACCAGCCTGACCAACATGGAGAAACCCCGTCTCTACTAAAAATACAAAATTAGCTGGGCGTGGTAGCACATGCCTGTAATCCCAGCTACTTGGGAGGCTGAAGCAGAAGAATCACTTGAACCCAGGAAGCAGAGGTTGCAGTGAGCCAAGATTGTGCCATTGCACTCCAGCCTGGGCAACAAGAGCAAAACTCTGTCTCAAAAACAAAAACACAAAAAACAAAAAAACCACACACACAAACAAAAAACAAATAAAGAAAAAACAAACAAACAATGGGTAAGGGAAAAAAAAAGCTGAGTTAGAATAGCTAGAGTTATGGTTAATTTTTTCCCTTTCACAAACTTTCTGAAATATACTTACATGTTAATATCATGCTGCAAAAAAATATAACTTAAAAAGTACTCAAATTTTTGGTAGGTCTAGCATGAACCTATTATACCATAAAGAACTACCCTGAGCTGGGTGCGGTGGCTCACAGCTGTAATCCCAGCACTTTGGAAGGCTGAGGTGGGAGGATGACTTGAGCCCAGGAGTTTGAGACTGGCCTGGACAACACAGTGAGACCTTGTCTTTATAAAAAATCAAAAGGAAAAAACAAAACAAAACAAAACAAAAAACAAAAAAAACTATCCTGAACCAGACTCTTAGTATTTACTTTAATCTTCATGGGACAGAGAGACAGAAAAAATAGTTGTCACATGATGACTAGGGGAGGTACATATCAAGTTTCTTAGAGATAGCAGATTTAGCTTTTCTACCCAAGAGCTGCTCAGAGATGTGACCTCTCAACTAAGCAGCTCATATAACAAATATACGATAAACTCATATAACAAATCACACCTTCCACAGGCATCATGGTTTTATGAACTCATAGAGTAGGGGTTGGCATTCTTTCTGTAAATGGCCAAACAGTAATTATTTTAGGCTTTATAGGCCATATGGTCTCTGCCTTCTACAACTGCTCACTCGGCCATGGCAGCAAAGAAGTAGCTATACAAAATTCATAAACAAATGGGTACAGCTGTGTTCCAATAAAACTTTATTTACAAGAATAGGGGGCAAACTGGATTGACTCTCAGAACAGTTTGCCAACCCCTTTCTACAGCAGTGTTTTCTAAATTATGTGTCATGACCCATTGGTAGGTTAATTTTTTTATTTTTTATTTTTTTATTTTCTTTTATTTTAATAGAGACACAGTCTTGCTATGTTGCCCAGGCTGGTCTCCAACTCCTGGGTTCAAGGGATCCACCTGCCTTGGCCTCCCAAAATGCATGCTGGGATTATAGGTGTGAGCCACCTTACCTGGCTTAGTATGTTAAATTCAACTTAGTAAGATGCAGTTGGCATTTAGAAAATATTGGAGTGGAGGCTGGGCTTGGTGGCTCACGCCTGTAATCCTAGCACTTTGGGAGGCCGAGGCAGGTGGTTCACTTGATGCCAGGAGTTTGAGAACAGCCTGGCCAACATGGCGAAACCCCGTCTCTACTAAAAATACAAAAAATTAGCCGGGCGTAGTGGCGGGCGCCTGTAGTCCCAGGTACTTGGGAGGCTGAGGCAGGAGAATGGCGTGAACCCGGGAGGCGGAGCTTGCAGTGAGCCGAGATCCCGCCACTGCACTCCAGCCTGGGCGACAGAGCGAGACTCCGTCTCAAAAAAAAAAAAAAAAATTAGCTGGGTCTCGTTGTGCACACCTGTGATCCCAGCTACTCGGGAGGCTGAGGCACGAGAATTGCTAGAGCCTAGGAGGTGGAGGTTGCAGTGATTGTGCCACTGCACTCTAGCCTGGGTGACACAGCAAGACTGTTTAAAAAAAAACAAAAAACAAAACAAAACAAAAAACTCGAGTAAAGCACATGAAGCCTTTAGTATTGAGTCTGGAAGACAGTTTCAGTTATATACACATATAAGTATATAATATGTTCAAGGTCATGATGTAAAATATATATTTTTAAAATTTTATAGATGGGGTTTCAGTATGTTGCCCAGGCTTGTCTCAAACGATCTTTCCACCTCAGCCTCCCAAAGTGTTGGGATTACAGGTGTGAGCCACTGTGCCCAGACTTAAATATATTTCTTATGTGGATTGTGGTCAAAAAAATTTAGTAACACTAATTCAGAGAACAGATGTTGAGAGTCAGATAGTACAGATAATAAAAAACAAGCTGAGTGCAGTGGCTCACACCTGCAATCCCAGCACTTAGGGAGTCTGTGGTGGGAGGATCATTTGAGCCCAGGAGTTTGAGGAGACCAGCCTGGGCAAGACAGCAAGACCCTGTCTCTACAATAAAATACAAACATATGCAAAAATACGGATTCAATGCTAGCAATTATTAGGACACAAACAAAAATATGATGTTTTTAAGGAAGTTTTCCTATGTAAGGTACTTAATTTGAAACTGATTTTAGGGGAAAGCAGGTTCTACTTAACACGGAGATGACGGAATAAAAGGAACTACCATTTAAAAATTATGACTGCCTCTTACAGAGAAATATCAATTAACTTGGTTCAAAGTGCTAACAAATACTCGGGAGGCTGAGGCTGGAGGACTGCTTGAGGCCAGGAGTACAAAGTTACAGTGAGTTAGGATTGCAACACTGCACTCCAGACTGGGTGACAGAGCAAGACCCTGTCTCAACCAATCTATCTATCTATCTATATATATAGATTGAGACGGAGTTTTGCTCTTGTTGCCCAGGCTGGAGTGCAATGGCGCAATCTCGGCTCACTGCAGCCTTCGCCTCCCAGGTTCAAGTAATTCTCCTGCCTCATCCTCCCGAGTAGCTGGGATTACAGGCATGCACCACCACATCCGGCTAATTTTGTATTTTCAGTAGAGACGGGGTTTCTCCATGTTGGTCAGGCTGGTCTCGAACTCCCGACCTCAGGTGATCCACCTGCCTCGGCCTCCCAAAGTGCTGCGATTACAGGCGTGAGCCACTGTGCCCGGCCTTAATTTTTTAAAAAAGGAATGCACATTTTTTGCTTCCTTCCCTGCCTTCCACATATGGAATCTATGGGGTACTGTATATCACTAGAGGTCAATTAAAAACTAACTTTGAAGGAGCAGTGGTGGGAACAGGTAGGTGGCTGGGGAGTGGCATAAACCTTTACCATTGTTTTCGCAAATCTGGGGTGTTCAGAATGGCAGCAGCAATCCGGGCCCCATTGAGGGGAGGGTTGGAATACATGGGACGGATCAAGATCTTCAACTGTGACTCTACCCTTTTGGCTTCATCCGCATCTTTGCAGACCATAGTGAAGGCTCCTACACGCTCACCTGAAAGACAAAAATGGATCTCGTCTTCTACTTCTACTATCTAATGTGCTAAAGCAAATCATGAGTGTATTTGCTACGTATTATCTGTTTCCATCCAAAGGACCCCAAAATAACTTTATTATAAATAAAAAGCTTTCAACAACCAGAGTGGTGAACTGAGGCACAAGGAAGTTTTGAGTACTCAGAGTATTCAAAGGTATTTTTTATTGTATCTATCTTCTTGGCTCACGGATTTGTTACTTTTTGTTTAGAGAAGCAGTAATCAGTTTCCTTTGCTGGAAAAACTTAAGGACACCGAAGAATATATGGCTAAGAAAATCAGTAAAATCTACGATACTGGTCTTTCATCTTAGGGTAGGGAGGGACATGGACATGGATGGACACACACACACACACACACACACACACACCCACAAGCTCTATGCCCTCGTGGCATTCTCTCCCAGCATGAGAGCATGTGTCATGCTGGATGCTGTAGCTTACCATATAAGCCCATGTTCTTGGCATATGATTGGCAGAGGCAAACATTAATGCCCTGTTCGATGAAGTGGCGCACAGCCCAGGCATCCTTATCACCATCACCACTGGCAAAGCCTTGGTAGGCCATGTCAAAGAACGCAAAGAGATTCCTTTTCTGAGAAGGAACGAAAGATCGAAGCTTTAGCAGTCTTTCTGAAGAGGCCCCAGATGTTTATAAAAGTCTGAAAGATGTTTATGTGAGGTGGGCATGGTCCCAATAAGCACAATAAGCCTTTTCTGGGGCTAACGTAATCCTGGAAGACTCAACTTATACCCAGGACTCACGAGACAACATCATTAGAACCATTTTATCTTGAAAGTGCTCTCCAAATGCTGTTTCTGTCTCATTCTGTTTGCAGCTTAGATTTGACAGAAGTTAAAGAAAGGGAAACTGGCCAGGCATGGTGGCCCATGTCTATAATCCCAGCACTTTGGGAGGCCAAGGTGGGAGGATCACTTGAGCCCAGGAGTTTGAGATCAGCCTGGGCAACAAAGTGAGATGCTGTCTCTGTGAAAAATAGGAAGAATTAGCCAGGCAGGTGTGGCACACATGTCTGTAGTCCCAGCTACTCAGGGGCTGAGGTAGGAGGATTGTTTGAGCCCTGGAGGTAGAGGCTGCTGTGAGCTGTGACTGTGCCACTGCGTTCTGGCTTAAGGCGACAGAGTGAGACTCTGTCTCAAAAGAAAAAAAAAGAGAGAGAGAGAAAAGAAAGGGAAATGAAAAGGAGTGAAAAGGGAAAACAGGGACATGAGACAACAGGAATAACATTTTCCTCCCTAGGAATTTTGACTAGTGTCTTCTCTGACAGCTGGCTACACTTTGAGAGTGATCATGGCAATGCTGCAAAGGAGAGGACATGAAAAAGTGTTTAAAAAGATCAATAAGCAACCACTGACCAGGGCGAATATAGGCATCAACAGCAGACATCCTGGGGCCAGTGGACAGGTTTTATCAGAGTTCCCTACATCCAGGATGAGGAAAAAAATTATTTTCTTTTTTTCTTTTTTAGAGACAGAGTTTTGCTCTTGTTGCCCAGGCTGGAGTGCAGTGGCACAATCTCGGCTCACCACAATCTCCACCTCCTGGGTTCAAGTGATTCTCCTGCCTCAGCCTCCCAAGTAGCTAGGATTACAGGCATGGGCCACTACGCCCAGCTAATTTTGTAGTTTTAGTAGAGACGGGGTTTCACCATGTTGGCCAGGCTGGTCTCGAACTGACCTCAGGTGATCCACCTGCCTCGACCTCCCAAAGTGCTGGGATTACAGGCGTGAGCCACCGCGCCCAGCCAAAAAAAATTACTTTCAAATACTCATGCGTCATCAATCCCAGAACTGCTAATCACGCAAATGGGGAGCCCTTTTCTGGCAGCTTATCCACCTGTGTGGACATTTCACGCAGGTTCGAGGTTAAGACTCTCTGTTGAGACATTGCCAAATTAAGCCTCCAAAGCTGGTTACTAAACACAGAACTGTCGCCAGTGAGTTCATCGTCCTCACCTTCACCACTGTTGCTATTTCCTTCCACTGTTCCGGACGCGGGTCCACTCCCGTGGGATTGTGGGCGCAGGCATGCAGAAGAAGAACACTCTGCTCTGGTATTTTCTAAAGAGAAAAACAGCCAAGAGACGACTTTGCAGCTTTAAAGGAAATGGTTTATCTGAAATGCCACAGGATCGTCATCATTTGATAAGTAACAAAGGTAACCAGAACCCTGGGAATCAGCTCTTCCCCAGTATTTTAACTCAGATATTGGGACATGGTGGGAGACATCAAATGTCCGCAAGCAAGGAGTTTTATTCACCTCTCTCACCCTGAAAGCCACACTTACTGAAATATCCTCCACAGCGCCTGTGAAGTCAAAACCGCAAGTCTTGGGGTCATAATACCGATAACCTTGTAGCTGCATGCCAGCATCCCTGAAGATGGGTGTGTGGTTTCCCCAGGTTGGTTTGGGCAGAAAGACATCTCGGCTGAACTTAAAAAATCTTTGCTAAAAGATGGGACGAAAGGAAACAGAAAAATGAACAAAGGAGAGGCAAAAAAATGTTGATGTGTTTTATTGAGAGAACATTTTTCTCTGCTGAAACCCAGTTTCTCTCTATGGTTGAGAAGCAGTATTGACTCAGCAGTAAGACTGCCTGGGTTGGAATAGTCTCTGACAGTTATACTGGCCATGTAGCCAAGGACCTTTCTGGGTCTTGCTTTCTTCACTTGTAAAGGGGGTTAATTGTACCTCTCTCATAGGGATTAAACAAGTTAAAATGCAAAAGCTCCCTAGTAAATAGTAAGTTCCTAGTGAACTGAATTTATCATCATCACTAATATATCTTTCCTGTAATTTCTTCAAAGTCCTTTCATTTTTTCATGAGAATAGGACATCTGCAAACTTCACGGAAAGAAGAAATCTACTTCTGCATCAACAGTCAAATACACACACAACAGGAAGCCCTGTCATCTGGAATTTATAATTCTTTCCTGAAGAAGCTTCCAGACTCACCAGAAAACTGGCTCCGATCCTTAAGGCTCCAGTTCCAGAAATGGTCTGCACAGTGACAAACTGAAGGAGAGATACCCACGGTCAGTGATGTGCAACACTCTCTATACAGGCCCAGACCCAGGGCCACTGCTTTGTCCAGGACCTTTCATACTTCAGAAGCTCATTCTTTATGGCCTGTCAGTATCATTTCATGTTACACGGGAAACTTTCAGAACACAAAAATTCCTCCTCAATATGAAAAAGGGGTGAATTATATAAAAGATATAAAAAGACACTGAGAGGCTGGGTGCGGTGGCTCATGCCTGTAATCCCAGAACTTTAGGAGGCCAAGGCGGGTGGATCACCTGAGGTCAGGAGTTCGAGACCAGCCTGGCCAACATGGCGAGACCCTGTCTCTACTAAAACAAAAATTAGCTGGGCATGGTGGCGCATGCCTGTAATCCCAGCTACTGGAAAGGCTGAGGCATGAGAATTGCTTGAACCTGCGAAGTGGAGGATGCAGTGAGCCGAGACTGTGCCATTGCATTCTAGCATGGGCAAAAGAGTGAGACTCTGTCTCAAAAAAAATAAATAAATAAAATAAAAAGACACTGAGAACAGTCACTACATTAAAACATTACTTTAGAATTATACAAAGTAGAATGACTCTCTAAACATCAAAGTTCCTTGAAAAGCAAGTCAACAAGTATACAAGGATAACATTACAACATTTTAAAGGTTTTCTGGCCGGGCGCAGTGGCTTATGCCTGTAATCCCAGCACTTTGGGAGGCCGAGGTGGACGTATCACCTGAGGTCAGGAGTTCGAGATCAGCCTGACCAACATGGAAAAACCCTGTCTCAACTAAAAATACAAAATTAGCCAGGTGTGTTGGCGCATGCCTGTAATCCCAGCTACTCAGGAAGGCTGAGGCGGGAGAATTGCTTGAACCCAGGAGGCGGAGGTTGCGTTGAGCTGAGATCGTGCTATTGCACTCCAGCCTGGGCAACAAGAGCGAAATTCCATCTCTAAATAAATAAATAAATAAAGGTTTTCTAAGAGGTCCCCTTCTATGTGTTTTCATAATCTGAAAATATTCATGTTTTGGGTAATAGGAAGATGCCTAAGGTGAATCTCCTTATTCAAATTGGTCAACTTTAAGGGACAAACAAGAAATTACCATAGGTTTAAGAGGTTTTTGTTTGTTGTTTTTAAAGGTGTTGTAGAAGTACAAGGCTCTACAAAGCACAAATGTATTTTTCTGGACTGGGGTGGTAGTAGATTAAAGAGGGAAAAACCCAACTAAAAAATTATTTTAAATAGTTTGTCCTGCAAGCTTTGGCATGATGGAAATAAAAACCTCACTGTAGGTCCGATGATACTACGATTCACAAAGGCACAACAATTTTTTTTTTTTTTTTTTGAGATAGGTTCGTGCTCTGTCACCCAGGCTAGAATGCAATGGCATAAACTTGGCTCACTGCAACCTCCACCTTCTGGGTTCCAGGATTCCTCCCATGTCAGCCTCCCCAGTAGCTGAGACTACAGGCGTGCACCACCACACCTGGCTAATTTTTGTATTTTTAGTAGAGACGGGGGGGCGGGTCTCACCATATTGGTCAGGCTGGTCTCGAACTCCTGACCTCAGGTGATCCACCCGCCTTGGTCCCGGAAAGTGCTGGGATTACAGGAGTGAGCCACTGCGCCCGGCTGAGGCACAACAACTTATAAAAGACAAGCTGATGTTATTTTAAGGTAGGCCAGTTTCATACTTAGGTTGTTATTTAGATGGAGCAGAGACTAGGCAAAAGAGCACATGAATTAAAAAGTACAGAAATTTCCAGGAGGGGCTAACAGGCAGTTGACTGTATGGACAGAACTAAACCAAATTCTATTTGACGTAGGATAATTACTACATAACCCTGGGGTTGAGGTTGTGTGCTTTACTCTGAGTTAACGAATTCATGTGTGGACTTAGACCAGTCTTGTAAATAAAGTGTATTTATTCTGGCTTTTCAGAGGGGGAAGGGCAGAAAAAATGTTGACTTAATTTTGCTAGTTTGTATGTTTCTTCACTCCCCAGGCTTACCCAGAAAAACGTACAAATGCACTCACTAAAAAACATGTTTTTTTCAAAAGAAAGTGAACCACAATGTGCACGAGTTCACATGTTGGGAGCGTGGTCTTCTTTCTGTGTCCATGTGGGCTGTGAAGGGACAGCAGAGGGCTGCCAGACTGGTCCAGCCCCCACAGTCCACCCATGGCTTGTTTCCTGCTTGCTGCTTCTGTGCAAGTTGGAAGCTTAGGACATGAGGGTGTGGGCTAACTGCAGGCTTAAAACTCGGCATAGTTAACATTTCTAAAGCATATTTGATGTAAAATGAACATAAGCAGGTAGAGACTAACAGCAAAAGTAACATCAAATCTATCAGTCAAATGACTACCGCATTTTCAGGATTACTACTAGTACATTTTTGGAATTGGTGTCATGTAAATTATTTTATTTAATGATGGCAATTTACTATCAAATAAGAATTATTAGAAATAGTGTGGCCTCCTCAAAACAATCATTACACACAAAATGAGTTATCTTTTCATATTTCTTAAATTTTTTTTTTTTTTTTGAGATGGAGTTCTGCTGTTGTTGCCCAGGCTGGAGTTCAATGGCATGATCTTGGCTCACCACAACCTCTGCCTTCCAGGTTCAAGTGATTCTCCTGCCTAAGCCTCCTGAGTAGCTGGGATTACAGGCATGTGTCACCATGCCCGGCTAATTTTGTATTTTTAGTAGAGATGGGGTTTCTCCATGTTAATCAGGCTGGTCTCGAACTCCCGACCTCAGATGAACCACCCGCCTTGGCCTCCCAAAGTGGTGGGATTACAGGCGTGAGCCATCGCGCCTGGCCTAAAATTGTTTAAATAATTACAAATTTGTTAAAACAGACCTGGGATGATGCCAGAGCCTGCTCAGCTTACCCGGCCACTCTTCAAGACTTCGCTGTTCTCACCCAGGGCTAGTTCTGCAGATGCCTTGCAAAATTCAGCCAGTCCCCCAATGGGCAGGTATTCCTTGTCCAAATTTTTTGCGGCAATCTGGGCCTCTGCCTAGACAAGAGAAAATACATCCATTGAATTTCTTCTCCTTACTTGGAATTACTATGATTAATGTTTAAAGTTTTATAAGTTAAGTTTTGGAGGTAAAGTCTTTTTTTTTTGAGATGGAGTTTTGCTCTGTCACCCAGGCTGGAGTGCAGTAGTGTGATCTCGGCTCACTGCAACCTCCACCTCCCGGGTTCAAGTGATTGTCTTGCTTCAGCCTCCCGAGTAGCTGGGATTACAGGCGTGCACCACCACGCCCAGCTAATTTTGTATTTTTAGTAGATACGGGGTTTCACTATGTTGGCCAGGCTGGTCTCGAACTCCTGACCTCAGGTGATCCACCTGCCTCGGCCTCCTAAAGTGCTGGGATTACAGGCATGAGCCACTGCGCCCGGCCAAACCTTTTTTTAAAATTTGAAGTTACTCTCTGAGAAGAAGGGTAGGTAGAATGCTTGATAGTTTGTATTGCAGAACAGAAATACTTTCTTTTTCAAATTGTATTTTATTGTTTAAGTTAGGTTTTATGTGGATGGGTATAGTCTCTCTTGGTTACAATTTAACATAAAATGAGATTCTTGGAATGCACAAGACCAAGGTTTAAGAGCAACACCTAAAATAGATATAAGATGATTAAATCAAACTAAATACAAAAGAGAAAGCATGTCAAGCTATATGCCAGTCTAAGAACTTCGAAGTGTTAACAGTAATAGCCACACATCTTCGTGCTTTGGCATTGGAAGCCTGGCTGTCCCTTACAAGTTGTGTTACCCTAGGCAAGTTATTTAGCCTTCCTGAGCCTCAGTTTCCTCCTCTGTTAAATGGAGGAACTATTTCTACCTCTCACAGTGTTGAGGTGAAGTGTGAATGAGGGAATGTACAATAGTGCTTGGTAGTGATGCAGGTTGCAGTAGCAAATACTTGCTGAATAACTTAAAAAATTATTCTAAGGGGATTTGTTATATTATTTAGTTAACAAATAAAGATGCTACTAATAAAAATATAACAAAAGAAAGAGGTGAAAATTGCATAGCTCAGCAGGAAGAAAGGACAGAGCATGCCTGTGTACAAAGGTTTGATTAAAGTAATCACAGTTAGAGAAATGGAAAATAAAAATAGTAATCCACGAAGAGCTATTCCTCTCAACAAGAGACAGCGCTTAAAGTCTTGGTCCTCTTATGCACCTTCAGGATTAAAGTAGGCATAGCTAAGCATTTCTAAAGCGTATTTAATGTCTGTTTTATAGATGATCACAGAACCATAGAAAGTTCAATCTTGGGAAAAAACAGGTGGTTCCAACCTCTCACCTTTACAGTCAAGGAGACTACAGCCCAGAAAACCCGGGTGATTCATGCCATTAGTGCCAGAACTAAAGCCCAGGGCTCCTGATTCCCGGTCCAGCACTATTCCTGCCACTCTCCAGGGCTCTCTTCAGTTTATTCATCCCATTCAAAAGGAGATGAACAGCAAGCTCACCTTGCGGACGCTAGGCAGAACGTAAGGCTTTCCATTATCATCCCGGTAGGCACCAACTCCCAGATTCATCTTTTTGCTATTGGTGTCCCTCTTAAAGGCTTCAGTGACTCCCAGAATGGGATCTGGAGGTCCCATTTCCACATGGGTCCACCAGGAGCTGAAATGAGAAACACATTAGCTCAATCCCATTAGCTAGATCCAAGATCCATTTTACTTATTTATTTATGAGATAGACTCTTGCTCTGTTGCCCAGGCTGGAGTGCAGTGGTGCTATCTTGGCTCACTGCAGCGTTTGCCTCCTGGGCTCAAGTGATTCTCCCACTCCAGCCTCCCAAGTAGCTGGGATTACAGGCATGCATTACCACGTCAGCTAATTTTTGTATTTTTAGTGGAGATGGGGTTTCACCATGTTGGCCAGGCTGGTTTTAAACTCCAGACCTCAAGTGATCCACCGCACCCGGCCATATTACTCTTATATATTTAAAATTATGAAAAATACAAATTTGTGTTAAATAAAATTGAATTGCTATTCTGACAAACTTTTTTTTTTTTTTTGAGACAGAGTCTCGCTCTGTCACCCAGGCTGAAGTACAGTGGTGCAATCTTGGCTTACTGCAGTCTCTGCCTCCAGGGTTCAAACAATTCTGCCTCAGCCTCCGTGAGCCAAAACAGTATTGATTTACAGAAAATTGAGCAGATAGTACAGTCCCATATACCCTTACCCCCAGGTTTCCCCTATTAACATTTTACATTGGTATGGCACACTTGTTACAATTAATGAATCCATACTGATACATTATTATTATTATTTTTGAGACAGTTTCCCTCTTTGTCACTCAGGCTGGAGTGCAATGACGTGATCTCAGCTCACTGCAACCTCTGCCTCCCATGTTCAAGCGATTGTCCCACCTCAGCCTCTGGAGTAGCTGGGATTACAGATGACCGCCACCATACCCAGCTAATTTTTGTATTTTTGGTAGAGACGGGGTTTCGCCATGTTGGCCAGGCTGGTCTCAAACTCCTGACCTCAGGTGATCTGCTCGCCTTGGCCTCCCAAAGTGCTGGGATTACAGGCATGAGCCACCATGCCTGGTCCATACATTATTAGGTCCACACATTATTTAGATTTCCTTAGCTTTTACCTATTTCTGTTCCACGATTCCATCTAGGACACCACATTATGCTTAGTTGCATGTCTCCATAAGCTCCTCTTCGCTGTGACAATTTTGGGAATGCTGGTCAGGTATCTTGTAGGATGCCCCTCTACTGGAATTTGTCTGATGTTTTTCTTATTAGACTGGGGATAAGCTTTTGGGAGAACAGTAATTGTATTTTGTAATATGCCAGCTTGACAATTTCTTTCTTTCTTTTTTTTTTTTGGAGCTGGGGGATGGAATCTCACTCTGTCACCCAGGCTGGAGTGTAGTGGCGTGATCTTGGCTCACTGCAAACTCCGCCTCCTGGGTTCAAGTGATTCTCCTGCCTCAGCCTCCCAAGTAGCTGGGATTACAAGTGTCCGCCACTACACCCAGCTAATTTTTGTGTTTTTAGTAGAGATGGGGTTTTACCACGTTGGCCAGGCTGGTCTTGAACTCCTGACCTCATGTGATTTGCCCGCCTCAGCTTCCCAAAGTGCTGGGATTACAGGCGTGAGCCACTGCGCCTGGCCTTGAAGACAATTTCTAAGATCTTTAGGGTAACTTACACTTTTGGTCTAATATTACAATGAATTGATTAACAGATTATTATTCATTGTATACCTAAATAATTTCTAAGATAGACTACAGACACATTGATTACCAAGCATAATTTAAAATTTATATACCTTTGTTTATTTTTACATGCTCGAGAGGCTATAGCTTTGAGTCATTAAAATAAAAAGGTCTTTCTTTGTTGCCACTTTAAGGAGGTATAAAAGGGATACATGTGGCTGTAGAAGTTGTACTGCGTGTGTTCACGAGTTTTGCCAGTCTGTTTAGAATGCTTGTGTAGGACTGACATCACCACCCTCTCTTCTTAATTTTCTCTGGGAAATAGAAGCTACTTTGGTTAAAAGATAAGCAATGAGTGTTGAGACCACACTAGGATCAACAGTGACAAATAAATACAACTGTGTGTTTTTAAGGAAAAAGAGTAGTATTGGTCTAAAGCAGCAATTCTCAAACTTTGTGATCTTTAGATCCTGTTATACTCTTAAAACTTACTGAAAACCCCAAAGAGCTTTTATTTATGTGGGGTATAACTATTAATACTTACTGTATTAGAAAAACTGAGCAGCTTGTTATACTTTTTGATTCATTTGACAATAGCAATGATGGAAACACATTGCATGCTAACATAACTAACACAGAACATGTTCCCAGGGAGAACTACCATCCTAAAAGACCAGTTTGTTTTAAATATGAAAGAGCATATGAGGACAAAACTTAGTGAATTTTGTTTATTTTTTATTTTTTTGAGACGGAGTCTTGTTCTTGTCGCCCAGGCTGGAATGCAATGGTGCGATCTCGGCTCACTGCAACATCCGCCTCCCGGGTTCAAGCGATTCTCCTGCCTCAGCCTCCCAAGTAGCTGGGATTACAAACTCCTGCCACCATGCGCAGCTAATTTTTGTATTTTTAGTAGAGACGGGGTTTCGCCGTGTTGGCCAGGCTGGTCTTGAACTCCTGACCTCATGATCCACCCACCTCGGCCCCCCAAAGTGCTGAGATTACAGGCGTGAGCCGCCCCCGGCCTGCTTTATTTATTTATTTATTTATTTATTTTTGAGACGGAGTCTTGCTCTGTCACCCAGGCTGGAGTGCAGTGGCACGATCGTGGCTCACTGCAACCTGTCTCTGGGTTCAAGCGATTCTTCTGCCTTAGCCTCCCAAATAGCTGGGATTACAGATGTGTGCCACCCCGCCTGGCTAATTTTTGTATTTTTAGTAGAGACAAGGTTTCACCCTGTTGGTCAGGTCTCTACCTCCTGACCTCAAGTGATCCACCCACCTTGGCCTCCCAAAATGCTAGGATTACAGGCGTGAGCCACTGCACCCGGCTGTGAATTTTGTTTTGATTTATAGTAAGTGAATCTGAAAAGAAGCTGAGTTAACTTTTTTTTTCTTTTTTAAAGAGATGGATCTCGGCCGGGTGCAGTGGCTCACGCCTGCAATCCCAGCACTTTGGGAAGCCGAAGTAGGCGGATCACCTGAGGTCAGGAGTTTGAGACCAGTCTGACCAACACGGTGAAACTCTGTCTCTACTAAAAATACAAAAATTATCTAGGCAAGGTGGCGTGCGCCTTTAATCCTAGCTACTTGGGAGGCTGAGGCATGAGAATCGCTTGAACCCAGGAGGCGGAGGTTGCAGTGAGCCGAGAATGCACCACTGCACTCCTGCCTGGGCAATAGAGCAAGACTCCGTCTCAATAAACAAACAAACAAAGAGATGGGTCTCACTCCGTCCCCCAGGCTGAAGTGCAGCCTTGACCTCCTAGACTCAAGCCATCCTCCCACCTCAGCCTTTCAAGTAGCTGGGACTACAGGCGCACACAAGTTAACATTTTAACAAAGTTTGCCCAATCTTGATGGCCTAGTTTCCTTGGTTTAGTCATTAATGACTTCACCTACAATATAAAAGGTTTTTTTTTTTTTAAAAAAAGAAAAAACTGTGCAATCAGTTTAGAGTGTAGAGATTCTCTGCCTTGCCAGAACACTTTTCTAGGCTTTATGATCTTCTAAAGCAATCATTAAGAACATTATGCTAAGGGCTGGGAATGTAAAGAAGAGTACAACACAATCCCTTACCACCTGACTAGTACACTGTGGTGATCAGCAGAGATCTGCACGTAATGCAGGCTGGGCACTGCAGGGAGATGATGGATAGTGATACACACCTACCCAGGGCATTATTATGGGATATTACTTATGGGAGCCCTGAGCAGAGGACGTAATAGCTTGGAGAAGGGAAGGAAAGTACTGCACAAGGTTAGGAAGGCTTCCCAGAGGACGTGACTTAGCAGCTGAGTGCTAAGGCTGAAAGGAGGAGTAAAAGGGCTTTCCAAGAAGAGAATTAAGAATAAAGGCTCACGGTGAGAAGGAGCTGGGGGTTGTTGCAGGAGAATCGCTCAAGTTCTCCTAGTAATCACTCATCCACTGTGAATCAGCCACATGTTTCAGTATGGTACCATGGAAGTTCTCCGTGTTCACCATGCTGATAAACTCGTGAATTACCTCATGAACATTTCTTTCCCAACAAAGGTTCTCTTAATGTACTTGTGGCTAGTCAGCACTCATACACCTCACTCCTCCATGGGGCACACTTGATGGCAGTACAGAGTTTAATTCATGCTCCCTTGACAAGTTAAAGACTGCTGCAGTCTCAATCGTTGTAATTAATTAGTGTGTACAGTCAATTCTCTGTTATTAAAGGGCAGATTATTTCCAGTTTTTTGGATTTCCCAGGCTCTTATTTCTTGTAATGTTTCTTTTAATAGTTTGCCTTGGGTAATTTCAGTACTGGGCAAACTGTACGGATTCAAATAATAGCTCAGCCACCTGCCAGCTGTGTGAGCACTGGCAAGTAAATCAAGCATCAACTTTCCTTATCTGTAAAATGGGGCCATAAAACTACCTATCTCACAGGGCTGGTCTAATGATGAAAAAAACACTCAAAACCTAAATTGGCAGAGTGCCTGATGTTCGCTAATAGTCATCGTTACTAAATTATTATCACTCCACTTTTATTTGTAACCATCCTGCATCCTAGTACAGAGCCTGGTGAGGCCAGTATGTAGAGAATTCAAGGAGCATATGCAGCCGTAAGACCTTGTGACCAAATGCAGGTCCTTTCTGTTTTTCTTTCTCTTTAAATACAAAGCAAATCAAGCATGGCTGTGGGGGGAGACAATGTTAATCAGTTTAACAATAACCCACAACCCTCCAACCAACCTTTTCTGCTTTTCTTTTTTTTGAGACAGAGTCTCACTGGGTTGCCCAGGCTGAACTGTAGTGGCACGATCTCAGCTCACTGCAAGCTCCACTTCACGGGTTCAAGCGATTCTCCTGCCTCAGCCTCCCAAGTAGCTGGGATTATAGGCACCCGCCACCACGCCCGGCTAATTTTTTTATTTTTATTTTTAGTAGAGATGGGGTTTTGCCATGTTGGCCAGGCTGGTCTTGAACCCCTGACCTCAAGTGATCTGCCCGCCTCAGCCTCCCAAAGTGCTGGGATTACAGGCGTGAGCTACCGCACCCGGCCCTTTTCTGCTTTTCAATTACTACTGCATAGTTTTTTCTAGAGAATCAGGAGACACTGCCATTATCACCCTTCCCCCTCACTAGTGTTGGTGCCAGTTCTTTTAATAGCTTGCCTCTCATTTTGTGTTGCTGTGGCTCTAGGTTGCTTGGCTGTTCCTAGTACCTAGGCAATAGTAAGAAGCACAGATACCTTAAACCAACTTCTGAACTGGGCCTGAAGAAAGCTTTCATTATTACTTATCCACAATTCAGACCCTGAAAACATGCAGCCACCTGTCTATCTACATCACTGTCATTAACTGCCGAGTGAAAGGAATACCCTGAATGTCAAGGACATACTAGATTATAAAAGAGAACACTTCTGGAAAAGTTTTCATTTTTCAAAAGATGGTCTGGCTGGGCATAGTGGCTCTTGCCTGTAGTCCCAGCTACTCAGGAGGCTGAGGTGGGAGGGTCACTTAAGCCTAGTGTTTGAGACAAGCCTGGGCTACATAGAGACCCTGTCTCAGGAAGAAAAAAAAAAAAAAAGAAAAAGAAAAAGAAAAAACAATGGTCTGTATCCTCCAAGACCCTCAATCATAACAAAGCCACTGCCCATTGCTCCCTACCACAAGGAGAGAAAGCATCATTCTTGTTAAATGGTGTGAAAAGCACTTATTTTTCAAGTTCTTTAAAATGTTAAGCATAGAAACTCAGAAACCATAGACTTGTGTCTTCTGGTATACCTTTTAAGAATTCTTTTTTTTTGTTTTTGTTTTTGCTTTGGAAAATGACATGTTTTTATCGCTATGTTTGCACAGTAAGAATGTCCCCGCAGGCCCACCACCCTCCCTCAGCCCCAGCCCTCCAGCCTCTGTCTTTTAAGAATTCTAAACACAATTTCAAAATACTGAATTTTTAAACAATCTAAATATAGGAGCAGGGATACTCAATTTTTTTTTTAAAAATGTAATAAATTATGTTCATTTTACAATTACAATGCTAGTTTTGAGATTGAAAATGAAGTACAGATTAAAGAACACAGGTATGAAAACTATGTATCTATTGCTTGAGACAAGTTTATAATCCAGATCACAAGGAAAGTTATTCTTAGCCAGAGAGAGAGGAAGGGGTTGCCTAGCTAGGGAACACTGACAATTTATGGAGACATTTCTGTTTGTTGAAACTCTGGGGGAAAGCAGGTGCTACTAGCATCTGAAGGGCAGAGGCATGGGAGGTTTTTTTAACTTTTATTTCAGGTTCACGGGTACATGTGCATGTCCTGGGGGTTTGGTGTACAGATAATTTCATCATCTGGGTAATAAGCATAGTACCTGACAGTTATTTTTTCTGATTCTCTCCCTCTTCCCATTCTCTACCCTCAGGTAGGCTCCAGTGTCTGTTGTTCCCCTCCTAGAGGGATACAATTTTTTTTTTTGAGACAGGGTCTCACTCTGTCACCCAGGCTAGAATGCAGTGGCGTGACCACGGCTCACTGCAGCCTCTACCTCCCGGGCTCAAGTGATCCTCCCCGAGTAGCTGGGACTATGGGTGTGTGCCACCGTGCCTGGCTAGTTTTTTGTAGAGATGGGGTTGTGCCATATTGCCCAGGTTGGTCTCCAACTCTTGAGCTCAAGTGATCCTCCTACCTTAGCATCCCAAAGTGCTGAGATTACAGGTGTGAGCCACGGCACCTGGCCTAGAGGGAATACTCAATTTGATTAGCCCCACATTAGTAACCATCTTTCAACTCCTCCATGCCTTTCATTATTCCATTTCTTAAAATGGTAAAGACTACACACATATTGTAAGAACTCTGATGTTTTTAAAGGAATCGAGTAGATGAAAATAGGAGTGTTCTAGGGGCAAAACTCATGCTGATAACCTGTGACCTAGAAAGTGATTTCTATCAGTACATTTTGGATACAGGCACAAAGCCTCAAACATTGAGCAATATTGACTGGTCATCCAAGAGAGGTTAGGTACCAAGTATTCAGGTAAGCCTTTCCAATCGAAACGCATTGTAATTTCCCTGGAGCTTAAGCCTACTTAAAGTTTTACAGTTTTTAAACTGCTTTTCCTCACATTCTTCTTACTTTAAAATCAGAAGGGAAGTTAATTAGCTTGCCCACAATCACAGAGCTAAAAATGGCAGAGACAATAGCACAGCTGTGATCTTTTTTTTTTGAGACACAGTCTTGCTTTGTTGCTCAGGCTGGAGTGCAGCGGCGTGATCAGCGGGCTCACTGCAACTCTTCACCTCTCAAGCGATCAGGCTCGAGCGACCCTCCCACCTCAGCCTCCCAAGTAGCTGGGACTCCAGGTGCACATCACCATGCCCGGCTAATTTTTGTATTTTATGTAGAGACGGGGTCTTGCCATGTTGCCCAGCTGGTCTAGAACTCCCGAGCTCAAGCAATCCACCTGCCTCAGCCTCCCAAAGTGCTAGAATTACAGGTGTGAGCTACTGTGCCTGGTCTGTGATCTTTTAACCAATGGTTATGGTACCACAGTTGCACACTGCATTTTTAAAGTCTCACGAGACCTGCTCAGTTATTTCACCAAAAAGTAAATAATCAGAATTAAATAATTAAAAGCAAATCATTATAAATCAAAATACATTAGCATCTTTTTTTTTCTTCATTGAACTGCAACTATGTCTGATCTCATGTCACTATACATTTACAGTACAAGTCAACAAGAGAAAGTTTTATTCGCAGTGTTTAGCTAAATGATACACTTGAACTTACAAAGAGTTCCACATATTTACAAAGAGTTCCAAGTATGCCATTGGATAAATCCTCAGTTCTTCAGAATAACAACAGACAAGGTTTTATTGTATTAGAATGAGCCATTTAAATAGAAATGTCGATGAATTCAGTTTAAGTATTTTCCACTTTTACCATTTGGAGCTAGGTAAAGATCACTTCCACAGTGTAAGGAGGGAAGTCTGATCTTGCCTGAAGAGTTAACCTTCATGCCAAATATGGCATCTGATTCTGTCACCTAATCAGGTATCATTATTTAAATCTGAAGAGTAATTCCTCAACATTAGGTGCTCAACTATTTCAAGAATTTATTTTCTGGTCAGGTGGGGTTGCTTAGCCTATAATCCCAGCGCTTTGCGGGGCTGATGTGGGAGGAGTCTGAGACCAACACAGGGAGACTCTGTCTCTACAAAAAATAAAAAATTAGCTGGGTGTGGTGGTGTATGCCTGCAGTCCCAGCTACTTGGGAGGCTGAAGCAGGAGGACCACTTGAGCCTGGAAGGTCAGGCTGCAGTGAGCCATGATTGTGCCACTGCACTCCAGCCTGGGCAACACAGTGAGACCCTGTATTTAAAGAAAAAAAAAAAGGGAATTTTTTTTGGTACATATTTTGCAGCACTGTGGTTCCCCTGTGTAAGATTAGTCGAGAGAAGGAACAATAAAATCTGTAACTGGTTATGATCAATTAGTTGTAAACACCATTACACTTGGACCAGCCTATGTTCAGATTTTGATCTAAGATACAACATTAAAATGTCATACTGTATTTGTTTCCGTTGCATTACGTGAAAAATCAGGGCTTAAAATAAAAATATCCAATATAAGAGACATGCCAGCAACTGTTAATAGTGCTGAGATGTAACAGTGAATATAAAGTAGGTAAAGTCTCCGCTCTCATGGAACTTACATTCTAGTAAGAAAAATACAGAAAAGAAAAATGAGTCAGACTCTCAAACTGAAAGAATGACTAACCCTGACCCCAAGGGATTTTCACCAAGCACTAGAGCTTCAGGTGATCTAGCCAAATCCATAAAACAAGGTATTATTTTAAGATTACTGCAATAGGGAAACATACTTTCTCTTGACGGAAATTTTAAGCACTCCTTTGGTTTTCCAAATTTGTTGCATAAATAACTCCTCCTGGCTCTGGCCCACTAGGTAGGCAGACTTAAAGAGCACACGTTGACAGTGGGCCAGGAAGGAGCCAAGTCAGGAAGAGAAAAAAGTGCGAAGCCTGGGCAAAACTGTACTGCCAAGGCTGTGGGGCCTTGGAAAGGACAGATAGTTCTGCTGGCTGAAAGACACAGAGCATACATTCAAACGAAAGGCCAAGCTACGCTTTGCTCCTTGCAGTTAATACCTGCTTGGGGGTGGTTTTAAAACTCAGTTCCTTATTAAGGTAGTGCTTAAGGAGAGTGCTCCAAATCGGCTTCTTGAGTTGAATTAATCTTCTGGCTCCGGTCTCCACTGGGAATGAATTACTAGAGCTCGTTTCAAGCTCTGAAATTTCCCTCCATACTATTATACACGCCACAGTACGAAATTACGTTTGTCATTTTTTGAGCAATGACCATTTGTCATTGTCCTTCCCTCGCCTTGTTCACAGTTGTATCGTTGGCATCTGGTCCAGAGCCTGGCTCTGAGAAACTGCAGTTACGAAATATTTACTGAATGAAAGAGCACAGGGAGATGGAGAGGAAGATTGATAGCCTCCCTGCAACCGGACCTCCTTAGGGGCAATAAGGAAAAAACAAAACAAAACAAAAAAAGAGACACACTACACCTCGACCCTTTCCCAAGCAAAGGCCAAACGGGCCCCGGGGTCACAGGGACCTCGGGGGGTCGCAAGGTCAGGAGAATGCCGCACGCCAAGGTCGCAGGTGCGGGAAGGAAAGCGAGGCCCGAATGCCGGCGCCCCGGAAACCTTCCTCTCGCGCTCTTCCCGCCCAGGGCACACACGCGGCAGCCAGCCGCCGCCGGCCCACCGACTCGGGCGGGCCGGGGGCCAGGACAGGTGCGCCCGCCGCCCCCAGGGCACCCTATCAAGGGCACGGTCGTTACCCGGCGCCGCTGCCCCAGTACTATCCGCACCCCTCCCACTGAATGGGAGTCCGGCAACCGCCGAGGGCCACACTTCCTTTCCCTAGGGATTGCGTTGCACGCCTTCCTGCAGGGCCCAGTGCGGGGACCAGAGGGATGTGGGATCCTGAGGATCACTGTGGGGCACGGACGCTCAATCCTCAGTCCCCAGTAAGGGAAAGCCGAGGGGGTGGCAGAAAAGTGTGTGTGTGTGCGTGTGAGTGACAGTGTGTATTTGGGGGCCGGGAGGGGTGAATGTCCTGGGGTGCTCGCAGCTCGGCGGGGCAGGGCCATCGCCCTGGCTCCATCTCCGTTTCCCTTGGCTTACCTGGCTCTGGCAGAGGCCGCGGCGGCGAGGCCCGGGTGGAAGGCGGCGGCGATCCCGGGGAGGACGCGGCCGGAGTGCAGCAGGGCCATGGTGGACCGTAGGAGGGCAGTGGGCAGCCGCAGGACGGAGCAGAGGGCGAGCGGACACACACACAGGGAACCGGCTCCTGCTGAAGGTAAGGACAGGGACTTCCCTGGGCCAGAGCGGCCGCGTGCTGGGCCCGAGCCACGTCACAGCGATCCCTGGCGGCCGGCGGGCGGAGCGGCGTGGGCTCAGCGGAGGTCGTGGAAGAGGATGACTGCACAGTTTACCTACGCCCAGCCCTTGCTGCGCTTCATTCATTTAATCCAGCTGGGCCAGGCCTGGCCGGCCGAAGAGGTGGCTGCTGTTATGGCAGTTTGAAAGATGAGAAAATGTAGGCTGACATAGTTGACGTATTTTGTCTGATGCCTTACAGCCATTAGGACCCAAGGTGGCCTTACTTTCAACCCTAATAGTTTCCCTAAGCACAAGTCATGTCACGTCGTTCCTGAATGTTTCCTTATCCCCCACCCTTTTTTTTTTTTTTTTTTTTTTGAGATGGAGTTTCACTCTGTCACCCAGGCTGGAGTGCAGTGGCGTGATTTCGGCTCACTACAACCTCTGCCTCCCAGGTTCAAGCGATTCTCCTGCCTCAGCTCCCCGAGTAGCTGGGTTACAGGTGCCACCACCACGCCCGGCTAATTTTTGTATTTTTAGTAGAGACGGGGGTTTCACCATGTTGACCAGTCTGGTCTCAAACTCCTGATCTCAAGTGATCTGCCCGTCTCAGTCTCCCAAGACTGCTAGGATTACAGGCATGAGCCACCGCACCTGGCTTCCTTATCCCTTTTATGGAGAGGGTCGCATGTGTATTTTGTGGGGCAGTTGTGAGGATTAATAAGATTAGCAGATTATGTCTAAAACAGGGCCTGATTTAGTAAGCACAAAATAACCCATGGTCATTAATGACAAACTCGTGTATGTCAAATCCTGATAACTGTTTGTGGAAGGAAATGAATCGGTTTTGAAGGAAATGAATCGGTTTTAAAGGAAAAAGCAAATGAATTTCAGACACATCCACAAGTCAAACGAGTCTTTCTCATGTGTAGTCTATTTCTCTGATACTCGTCTCTTAAACCAAGGTAGGGGCCCGGTGTGTTGGCTTATGCCTGTAAACCCAACACTTTGGTAGACTGAGGCAGGAGGATAGCATGAAAACAAGAGTCTGAGACCAGCCTGGGTAACAAGATGAAACCCCCATCTCTTAAAAAAATAAAAAAAAATTAGCAGGATGTGGTGTTGCGTGCCTGTTCCAGCTACTCAGAAGGCTGAGGAGGGAGGATTGCTTGAGCCCATTAATTCAAGAGTGCAGGCCGGGCGCGGTGGCTCACGCCTGTAATCCCAGCACTTTGGGAGGCCGAGGCAGGCGGATCACGAGGTCAGGAGATCGAGTCCATCCTGGCTAACCCTCTCTCTACTAAAAAAATACAAAAAAAAAGTAGCCGGGCATAGTGGCGGGCGCCTGTAGTCCCAGCTACTCGGGAGGCTGAGGCAGGAGAATGGCATGAACCCGGGAGGCGGAGCTTGCAGTGAGCCAAGATCGCGCCACTGCACTCCAGCCTGGGCAACAGAGCCAGACTCCGACTCAAAAAAAAAAAAAAAAAAAGAGTGCAGTGAGCCAGGATTGCGCTACTGCACTCCAGCCTGGGTAACAGAGTGAGACGCTGGCTCTAAATAAATAAATAAATACATACATAAATAAAATAAAACCGAGATAGAACTGTGTACCTTGGCAATTTAATATCTCCTCTGTGGCTCCACGTTGCCTGAATGGTAAAGTCTAAACCCCTACTTAGGGCCACATTCTAGGTCCTTCCGGCCCAGCTCCAATTTACTGTCTCAGACCCTTATGCTCTCATATGACCTTGACCTATGCGCCTATAGGCCATGACTTGGGATTCTACCTGTGAAAAGTAAAGTAGAGATTCTTCTTTAAAGACTTTCCTCCCTGTCTAATTAGAAATAAATAGTAACTTCTCTTAAAAACAAAATGTATTCAAAGACCTGTACTAACAGTCTTAAATATCTGCTAGCCATAATAAAGAAATCAATGTACTTTATGTTCCTAGCTGCCACCATTTAGCCTAAATATTTGCCCTGGCATGCTTATACTGGTCCAAGCAAGCATTAGGTCATAGCCTGTTCCTCTTCCTTATTTGAAGGTGTTTTTACCTTTCTCAGCATTCCACAAGTTACTTCCTCCTTCCTTTGCTCTCCTCTGCCTTTGCCTCTTTTAAAAAGTTCTAAGTTGCTAGCCAATCAGAACAAATACAAAATGTGAGGACCTGTTCCAGCCAATGAAAACCGGACACAGCAGCAAGGTGGATGTATCAGGTTATAAGTGACCTTGTCTCCTTTGTTTGGTGTACTCTCATGGCAAAACTGCTGTCGAGTGTACCCTTTCTGCCGAAAGTATAAAGATGGCCTTGCTGAGGAAATTAAATTTATGTTCAAGTGCTATTTCTTTACAGCACCAAGAAACAAGAATTTCAAACATACCAGTACATCAGTTTGCTCAGACTGCTGTAACAAATCCCCATGAATTGGGTGGTTTAAAACAACAGAAATTTATTCACTCACAATTCTGGAGGCCCAAAATCAAAAATCAAGGTATTGGCAGGGTTTGTGCCTTATGGGGTCTCAGAGACTCTGTTCCATGCTTCTCCTAGCTTCTGGCAATTGTCTGCACTCCTGGGCATTCGTATGCTGTTAGAGGCATCACTAATCTCTGCCTCTGGTGTCACACAGTGTTCTCTCCCTGTCTGTCTCTTCTCTTCTTTTAAGGACACCAATCATATTGGGGTAGGGTGCATCTTAATTGCCTCATCTTCGCCTGATTACATCTGTAAAGACCCTATTTTCAAATAGATCACATTAATGGGTTCCCCAGGTTAGAACTTAAACGTATCTTTTTTGGGGGCACATTTCAACACATAACAACTACTATTCCCAAAACAATTACATGTCCAGGTATAAACCCTAGAGATCTTCTCACACATTTTTAAGGCTGTCAGTAAAGCATTGTTTATAAAAGCAAAACAGGGAACAACCTAGTCGCCCATCGATGGAGGAAGAGATGGATGTTCTGCTACAGTCTCATGATGGAGCATTACAGAACTACTAACGTGAATGAACTCAATAGATGTCACCATGGATAGACCTCAAAAACATAAACATGCTATAGAATTATACATATAATATGGTGCCACTTAGACAATATTTTTAAAATACACAAAACCATAACATACATTTATTCATAAATGTATGTAAAAGTTTGAAAAAATATGCCAAGGATATGGTTCAATACAGGATTAGGAGGGCATGAGCGTATTTGCCCTTGTGGAGGGAAGGAGACAACTTTGTCATATTAGCTTCATAAAAATTATAGATAAGAGGCAGGCACGGTGGCTCGCGCCTGTAATCCCAGCACTTTGGAGGCCAAAGCGGGCGGATCACCTGAGGTCAAGAATTAGAGACCAGCCTGGCCAACATGGTGAAACCCCGTCTCTACTAAAAATACAAAAATTAGCCAGATGTGGTGGCGCGTGCCTATAGTCCCAGCTACCCAGGAGGCTGAGGTAGGAGAATCGCTTAAACCTGGGAGGCAGAGGTTGCAGTGAGCCTAGATTGTGCCACTGCACTCCAGCCTGGGCACAGAGCAAGACTCTGACTCCAAAA
Source organism: Homo sapiens (assembly GCF_000001405.40). NCBI lineage: Eukaryota > Metazoa > Chordata > Mammalia > Primates > Hominidae > Homo > Homo sapiens. Next base: position 58,737,899 of record NC_000016.10, read on the forward strand.
AAAAAAAAAAAAAAGAAAAAAAGAAAAAATACAGATCAGATTAACAATTGTCACCATTTTGGGGTTGAGTATTTGTCACATTGGATTCTGTACTTTTCTGTATGTGTGTATATGTGTGTGTGTGCATATAGTTTTTTGTGTGTGTATATATATACACATATACATATATATACACACATATACATACATATACACATATACATATATATATATACACACATATACATATGTATATATGCTAATTTGAGTTCCTGATATGAAAGGTGGATTGGAAGGAACAACCCTACAGTGGGGAGACTAGGTAGAAGGAAGGTTTACACAGGAATCCAGGCAAGAAATTCTGATTGCCTGAGTTCAGGTAGAGGTAACAGTGATGTAGAAAAGGTTACAGATCTGGGGCATATCAAGGAGGTAGAATCAGATGGATTTGGTGATTAGATGCAGAGAAAGGTAGAAAAGGAGTCAGAAATAATTCCCAATGCTTTAGTTAAAATTGGGGTTGTCTGCAGTTAACAGAGACCCCGAATAATTGACTTAACATATATATCTTTCTCACATAAAAATCTGGAGATAGGCAGTCCAGGGTTGGGGTGGCATTTCTGACCCAGAGTCCTTAGGAAGTCAAGTCCTTCCAGATCCTCGCCCCGCCCTCCCTAAAGTATGGTTGACTCCCAGTGGTCCAAGATAGTAGCCATAGCTTCATCCATCACATCTCCATTCAAAGCAGCTGGAGTGCAAAGGACGTACACCAGTTAACTTTTAAAAGAGTTAAAATATGGGCCAGGTGCAATGGCTCATGCCTGTAATCCCAGCACTTTGGGAGGCTGAAGCAGGAAAATTGCTTGAGTCCAGGACCGGTCTAGACCAGTCTAGGCAACATAGTGAGACCCTGTCTCTACAAAAAAAAATGCAAGAATTAGCCAGGTGTGGTGGTGTGCGCCTGTAGTTGCAGCTACTTGGGAGGCTGAGGTGGGAGGATTGCTTGAGCCTGGGAGGCAGAGGTTGCAGTGAGCCGAGATTGTGCAACTGCACTCTAGCTTGGGCAACAGAGTGAGACGCTGTCAGGGGGCGAGGGGTGGGGGGGAAGTTAAAATAGGAGGAGGCAGAGTGTGGCAAAGATCAGATGGAGGAGAGAGTGAGCCAGGGGAGCACAGAGGAGGAAAGGCTCAATGTCAGCTGTGGAAATCAGGGAGGCCTTCATGGGGGAGGTGACATTTGATCTGAACTTTAAAGGACTGAGGTAATGTGGTATGTGGAGGAGGAAGGAAGGAAAAGACATGGCCTATGCCCCTCCTGATTATCTTCCTTGTCCTGGCTGTCTACCTCCCCAGTCTCCCTCCACCCCCCTTTTCTGTGGACCTGCCCCTTCTGGCCATTGCCCTGGGCTTTTTCACCCACGCACCTCATATTTCCAACCCTACTATTAATTACTTGGATTCATGAATACTGCATTTCAGGTTTTGGTCCTGAGCCACGGGTCCTTTAAGCTGTCCACCTGCTCTGACAGTCTCAGGAGCAAATGACAGCACTCCTTCCCCCTCAGGGTCAACCACCATGTCTCCATTTCTCTGTATTTTACAATATGGAGTAAATGCTCATTTGAAAAAATCATCAGGTTTTTGATTTTTGAGTAAGACTCCATCTCAAAAAAAATCATAAACTTTGTTAAAACATTATGAGTTTTTTTGTGATTTTTTTTTCCTCTAGCTCTTCAGCTGTCATCATTGTTAGTGTATTTTATGTGTGACCCAAAACAGTTCTTCTAGTGTGGCCCAGGAAGCCAAAAGATTGAATACTCCTGTCTTACACTGTCACCTCGGGACATCTATAAAGCTTAGATGTTGCAAAACAATGAACTTTGTCCTCAAGAAACACAGCTAATTTACTAAAAATGCACATGTAGACCTATGATTTTAATTTAAAACCATCTTCTAGATATTTACCGAAGAGCCCTTCCCTCCACCCTTTCTCTTCTCCTTCCACCATTCCAGGGACTAAGTACAGGACTATGTCTAGCTCCAAGAGGTCTAGGGACAAAGGTCTCTCCCAGAAGACAGGTGTTTGTAAAAACGAACAAGAGTACATTTATAAAGGGATTATTTTACTTCCTCTACTTTAACATACTTTGAGCATTATAACTTATTTTATTATTTAATGCACGCAATAATAACTAAAATGTGCATATAGAACAATGGTTAGGCCATCTGAAGTAGTCTAACTCATGGGCATAGAACCCTTCTCTCTGCAAACTTCCTCCTCCCCATCACCCACCACCACCCAATGAGCAGTCAGCATACCCTCCAAGACATCAACTTTAACAATTCTGTCCCCAAAATGCAACCACTCCTATAATGTTTAAAAAAAAAAAAAGAAGGGTATTACTTTAGCCCTTTTAACATATTTTTGTGCATTTTTAAACATCTAGGAAGATGAGCTGTTTCAAACAGGACTTAAGTTTTTCACTATACACGCAGTACCATTGAGTAAACGGTGCACATACATAACAAAGGCTATAATTTCAATATGTTTTCTAACTAGGAACATTCTGGCCTAGAATCCTTCCCCTTCCTACCTCTATCAACCCAGGGGACAAGTATAAGCATCTGCAATGCTTAGGAGGGATTTTTTAATTTTAATTTTTATTTATTTATTTTTTTAAGACAGAGTCTCGTTCTGTCGCCCAGGTTGGAGTGCAGTAGTGCAATCTCGGCTCATTGAAACCTCCGCCTCCCAGGTTCAGGCGATTCTCCTGCCTCCGCCTCCTGAGTAGCTGGGATTACAGGCACATGCCACCATGCCTGGCTAATTTTTTTTTTTTTGTGTATTTTTAGTAGAGATGGGTTTTCACCATGTTGGTCAGGCTGGTCTCGAACTCCTGACCTCGTGATCCGCTCACCTTGGCCTCCCAAAGTGCTGGGATTACAGGCATGAGCCACTCCGCCCAGGCTGGGATTTTTTTTTTTTTTCTTTTTTGAGACAGAGCCTCGCTCTATCGCCCAGGCTGGAGTGCAATGGTGCAATCTTGGCTCACTGCAAACTTTGCCTTCCAGGTTCAAGCCATTCTCCCGCCTCAGCCTCTGGAGCAGCTGAGATTACAGGCACCCACCACTATTCCCAGCTAATTTTTGTATTTTTAGTAGAGATGGGGCTTTGTCATGTTGGCCAGGCTGATCTCAAACTCCTGACCTCAGGTGATCCACCTGCCTGGGCCTCGTAAAGTGCTGGGATTACAGGTGTGAGCCACCATGCCTGACCTTACAAGGGATTTTAAAAATTTCACTTCCATAAGTGTTTTTTAAGAACAGTCTTTCCTATGAATTTTAATGTAAAGTGTACTCAGTGTATTAGTTTACTAAGTTCACTTTTGTCATATGCTGGCAAGCTCTGTAACATCTTGGAAGACTAGATGTTGTAAAGCAGGACTCATTTGACCCTTATATACACTAGATACACAGCAAAGTAAAATTAAACGCACAGACGTAAGGGACAACGGTCAAATGTTGTTCACCATAAACACTCTTGTATAAAGCCCTTTGAACTTTCTTCTCCTCCTTCCTCCCTGAACTAGCACAAATATAATAATGTGTACTGCTCAGAGAAATCAATTTCTAAATTGACCAATTTCTAAAAGACAACATTTCATATGAATTTTAACAAAAGGATATCTATAAAATGTGCTATTTACTACCTCTACTTTTAACATACTTGGTCCACTTCTAAATATCTAGAAAGAGTAGATGTTTCAAATAAGGACTTAGGCTGGGTGCAGTGGCTCATGTCTGTAATCCCAGCACTTTGGGAGGCCGAGGTGGGCGGATCATGAGGCCAGGAGTTCAAGACCAGCCTGATCAACATAGTGAAACCCCATCTCTACTAAAAATACAAAAATGAGCCAGTAGTGGTGGCATGCGCCTGTAGTCCCAGCTACTCGGGAGGCTGAGGCAGGAGAATCGCTTGAACCCGGGAGGTGGAGGTTGCAGTGAGCCAAGACTGCGCCACTGCACTCCAGCCTGGGTGACAGAGTAAGACTCCGTCTCAAAAAATAAATAAATAAATAAAAAATAAAAAATAAAAAAATAAGGACTTAAGTTTTCCACTATATACACAGTAATATTAAATAAATGGCACATGTAGCAATGGTTATATCTGAAAGTATCTTCTAAATAGGAACATTCTGGTTTCTTTTCTTCTTTTCTTTTTACTTTTTCACTTCCTTGTCAGTGCCAAGGAACATTCTGGTTTGAATCCTTCATTTCTTCCAACTCCTCTCCACCAACAATCTGGTGGATATAGGGACATGTGTCACTTAGAAGAGATGTTATCATTTCACTTCCAAAAGTCCTTTTCAGAAGACAGCTTTTCATGAATTTTAACACAAACTGTACAAAATGTGTTATTTACTAATATTTAGAGACTAGACATTATAAAATTAGGACTCATTTGTCCAGTATATACACAATACATACAGTACAGAAAAGTTAAGTGAAATGCATGTAACATATAGGGCAATGGATAGACTGAAATTTTCTATTTATTTATTTATTTGAGATGGAGTTTTGCTTGTGTCGCCCAGGCTGGAGTGCAATGGCAGGATCTCAGCTCACTGCAATCTCTGCCTCCTGGGTTCAAGTGATTTTCCTGCCTCAGCCTCCCAAGTAGTTGGGATTACAGGTGCCTCCCACCTCACTCGGCTGATTTTTGTATTTTTGGTAGAGATGGAGTTTTGCCATGTTGGCCAGGCTGGTGTCGAACTCCTGACCTCAGGTGATCTGCCCGCCTCAGCCTCCCAAAGCGCTAGGATTACAGGCATGAGCCACTGCACCCATCCAATAAGCTGAAATTTTCTAGTACACAGTAACAAAACACATTTTGCAATTTCTTCCCTCTTATCTCCCTCAACCCAATGAACAACTACAGAGATTATACTGTTCTCAGAGGTGTTTCATATTAGAACTTGTCCACTGTGTACATGGCACTGTTAAAACTGCACACATGTGGGCCGGGCGTGGTGGCTCACGCCTGTAATCCCAGAACTTTGGGAGGCCAAGGTGGGCAGATCACCTGAGGTCAGGAGTTCGAGACCAGCCTGACCAACATGGAGAAACCCTGTCTCTACTAAAAATGCAAAAATTAGCCAGCCATGGTGGCGGGCACCTGCAATCCCAGCTACTCGGGAGGCTGAGGTAGGAGAATCGCTTGAACCCAGGAGGCAGAGGTTGCAGTGAGCCGAGACTGCACCATTGCACTCCAGCCTGGGCAACAGAGCGAGACTCCGTCTCAAAAAAAAAAAAAAAAATTGCATACATGTAACAATTGTTATAGGTTGGTGCAAAAGCAATTGAGGTTTTTGCATATAATTTGAGGTATCTTCTAAGTATGAGAACATCGTGGGCTTGAACCATATGCTCCTCACTTCCTTCTCTCTGTCATCAATCCAGTGGACTAGTACAGGCATGTGTAATGCTTACAGAGGTTGCACAAACTCATATCCAAAAGTCATTTACAGAGGACAGTGTTTCCTATGAATTTCAATACAAACTGTACAAAATGAGCTAATTTTACTAAGACTTGGTCATACGCTGGCAGCCTTTTTAACATCTAGAGACTAGGTGTTGGAAAATTAGGACTCATTTGTCCATTACATACACTAGATACACAGCAAAACAAAATAAACAAAATGCGCAGAAAAACAGTGTCTGAAAATTTCCAAGTGTGAATGCACTAGCATATTACCTTTTGCAATTCCTTCCCTCCCACCTCCTGCAAACCATTGAAAAGTATAGATGGTACTATCCTGCTCATAGAGGTGGTTTAACAATTTTATTTCCAAAAGATAATATTTCTTATGAATTTCAGCAAAAAGATATTTACAAATTGATATTTTACTACCTCTATATTGAACATGTGTTGGGTACTTGTAAACATCTACATAGACTAGATGTTTCAGGTAAGGATATTTGTCCTCCATAGACACAGCAGTACTGAATAAACCTCACACATGAAACAATAGTTGCAGTTTTTTTTCTTTTCTTTTCTTTCATTTTTTTTTTTCCCCTGACACAGAGTCTGGCTCTGTGATCCTGGCTGGATCTCAGCTGACTGCAACTTCTGCCTCCTGGGTTCAAGCAACTCTTGTGCCTCAGCCTCCCAAGTAGCTGGGATTACAGGCATGCGCCACCATGCCTGGCTAATTTTTATATTTTCAGTAGAGAGGGGGTTTCACCATGTTGGCCAGTCTTGTCTCAAACTCCTGACCTCAGGTGATCCACCCACCTTGGCCTCCCAAAAAGCTGGGATTACAGGCATGAGCCACTGTGCCTAGCCTGCTTTTTTTTTTCTTTATTTCTTATTAGAAAATAGGGGACGCTTCATGAATTTGCATGTCATCCTCACACTGGGGCCATGCTAATCTTCTCTGTATCATTCCAACTTTAGCGTATATGCTGCCAAAGTGAGCACAATAGTTATCATTTAACAGTGTCTTCAAAATATGAACATTCTGGCCTAAAACTGTTCCCTTCTACACCAACGCAGTGGGCTATAATGCTCAAATTTTCAGATGACAATCTTTCCTAGGAATTTTAAAACAAAATGTACAAAATATATTAATTTAACTAACTCTACTTTTGCTTTTGTCATACACTGGCAACCTCTCTAACATCTAGAAAGAGTAGCTGTTGTAAATTAGGACTCGTTTATCTTTTATGTACACGATATATACAGATAAGTAAAACAAAATGCACAGACAGAAGGGCTAGTGGTTAATCTTGCTTCATTATAAGCACAGTGGTGCAGAGTTCATCGCACTTTGAGAGGCTATAGTGAGCTTCCTTCTTCCCCTGAACCGGTGCACAAACACGACGTGTACTAGGCAAAAACATTTCACATGAATTTTAACAAAAAGACACCTGTAACCCCAGCACTTTGGCAGGCCTAGGCCTGCGGATTGTTTGAGGTCAGGAGCTCAAGACCAGCCTGGCCAACATGGTGAAACCCCATCTCTTCTAAAAATACAAAAATTAGCCGGTTGTGGTGGTTCATGCCTGTAATCCCAGCTACTTGGGAGGCTGAGGAAGGAGAATGGCTTGAACCTGGGAGGTGGAGGTTGCAGTGAGCCGGGATCGCGCCACTGCACTCCAGCCTGGGCAGAACGAGACTCTGTCTCAAAAAAAAAAGTTTTACAAAATGTGATGTTTTACTACCTCTACTTTTAACATATATCAGGCACTTCGGAACGTCTAGAAAGACTAGTTATTTCAAAAAAGTACTTTGCACTGTCAACTATATATAAAGTAGTGAAGAATAAAATGCACGCACGAAACAATGATTATGACATGAAAACATCTTCTCCATATGACCTGCCTGGCATAGAACCTTCTCTTCCTTCTCACAGACTTCTGTTTCACGTCCTCTAACCCCCTGTACAAACGTGGACGTGTGTCACTCTTGGTGCTTCTACATTTCAAAAAGTCATTTCCAGTGGGGGTGGCGGGGTTGGGGTGGGGTAGCTCATGCTTGTAATCCCAGCCCTTAGGGAGGCTGAGATGGGAGGATTGCTTGAGGCCACGAGTTCTAGGCAAGCCTGGGAAACATAGCAAGACCCTATCTCTACAAAAAAAATAAAAAATAAAAAATAAAAAAATTAACTGGTTATAGTGGCATGTGCATGTAATCCCAGCTACTCAGGAGGCTGAGGTGAGAGGATTGCTTGAGCCCAGGAATTTGAGGCTACAGTGAACTATGTTCGCATCACTGCATTCCAGCTTAAGTGACAGCAAAATCCTGTCTCAAAAAAAAAAAAAAAAAAAAAGAAAGAAAAAAGTCATTTTCAGGAGACATATCTCTATGATTTTTTAAAAAAACAAATGGATGTTTACAAGATGTGTGATTTTCTAACTCTGTCATAATTGGCAACCTCTTTACATCTAGAAGGACTAGATGTAGCAAATGTTTTGTTTTGTTTTGTTTTGTTTTTGAGATGGAGTTTCGCTTGTAGGCCAGGCTGGAGTGCAATGGTGCAATCTCGGCTCACTGCAACCTTCCTGGGTTCAAGCAATTCCCATACCTCAGCCTCTCAAGTAGCTGGGATTACAGGTGCCCGCCACCACACCCAGCTAATTTTTGTATTTTTAGTAGAGACGGGGTTTCACCATGTTGGCCAGGCTGGTCTCAAACTTTTGACCTCAGGTGATTTACCCGCCTCGGCCTCCCAAAGTGCTGGGATTACAGGCGTGAGCCACCGTGCCTGGCTGCAAATGTTTCCTTTTTTCTTTTTCTTTGTGTTTTTGAGACAGGGTCTCGCTCTGCTGTGTTGCCCAGGCTCTAGTGCAGTGGCACACTCATAGCTCACTGCAGCCTCTGCCTCTCAGGCTCAAGTGTCCTCCCACCTCAGCCTCCTGAGTAGCTGGTACCACAGGTGTGTATCACCACACTTGGCTAATTTTTAAATTTTTTGCAGAGAAGGGAGTCTCACTATGTTGTCTAGGCTGGTTGTGAACGTGCCTAGGCTGATCGCTGAAGCGATCTTCCCGCCTTGACCTCCCAAAGTGCTGGGATTATAGGCATGAGCCACCAGCCCAGCCAAATTTTTTCTTTTAAAAAGTTGGGGGGCAAATCGAGATTAGCTTTTTCATATTATATACACAGGCCTTCTGTGTATTATACACACAGCCAGTAAATCTTTCCAAAGGGTGGTAGGCATTTCCAGTTGGCCAAATGTGGTCTCTTTTTCTACTATTTCTCTCTACCTATATTAAGGTCTGGTAGATTTGTCTGATGGCTGCTGACTCATCCATCTGTTGTTGTCCTGGGCTCCCTCATCTCCTGGCTGGTTCAGGCCTAGGGAGGTCTTGTCCAATTGGGACAGACCGGGCAACCCAGGATCCAGATCTGCACGGCCCCGTGGCCTACAGAGGTGACCAAGCCTGTGTCAGTAGACCTGCCTTTTCGCCTGGCCACACCCATGCCACTCAAGGGCACTGTGTCCTAGCAGCTTGCAGGGGCTTTGCCTGGGCCTGGCAGGACTGGGCCAGGAGACCTCGTGGCTGGTATGGTCCAGGCTGGGAGAGGCTGTTACTGCCATCAAGTCACCCAGGTGGGGAGGGGAGAGAGGTTCCCTGCTGCCTGGGCCCGGCCGGAGGGCAGCCACGGCGAGAGCTCTGGGCATCTGCAGCGCAGAGGCAGCAGCCTGTCCTGGGGACCCCCAGTTCATCTGCCAACCTGGAAGAGCTGGCCTCGTTCCGCTTCTCACCTGGCTTTCTGCTGGAACGTAAAATCAGTTTTTTTTGTTTTGTTTCGTTTTTTTGGAGATGGGGTCTTGCTTTGTCACTTAAGCTGATCTTGAACTCCTGGGTGACTGTGCCCAGCCAGAATCATTTTTAACAAAACAATGTGCAAGTCCTTGGATTAGGCAGTCTGAGTGACCTTTGGGTTCAGGCGTTCATGGCGCCAAGTTCCATCACTTAGAACTTACTAGACACCATGCTCTGTTCTGCTGCATCCAGAGCTTCTCTGGGCCTCTCCCATTTGTTTCCTGCTGGCTCCCAGACAGACCCAGAGGAAACATTTCCAGAATGACCTCAGAAATGATTGCGGGGATCCTTTTCACCCAGGGATCCAGGTAGATATATATACACGTATATATATATATATATATATGTGTGTGTGTGTGTATATATATATGTGTGTATATATATATACGTATATATATACGTATATATATATACGTATATATATATACGTATATATATATACGTATATATATACACACACATATATATATACATATATATACGTATATATATATATGTATATATATATGTATGTATATTGGATTCTCCTGGGAGGGTTTGGGAAGGTCTAACAATGAGGGGGGTCCTGAGTCAAAGAAAGGTCCTGTCTTCACCTACTCGCTTACATCATCATTTGTATTGTTATTTAATATTAATTTTTATTTTAGAGACAGGTTCTTGCTCTGTCACCCAGGCTGGAATGCAGTGGCACAATGATAGCTCACTGCAGTCTTGAACTCCTGGGCTCAGGTGATCCTCCCGCCTCAGTCTTCCTATAGCTGGGACTATAGGCATGTACCACCATACCCGGCTAATATTTTATTTTAATTTTTTGTAGACACGGGGTCGCACTGTATTGCCTAGGCTGGTCTTGAACTCCTGGCTTTAAGTGATCCTCCCATGTCAGCCTCCCAAAGTGCTGGGATTACAGGCATGAACCACTATGACCAGCTGTATTGTTGTTTTAAAATTACTTTGACCACAGCCGGACATTCTGCTGAAATTATGAAAGCTGTTCTGTGGTCACCAGGGATCAATACGGACAAGGCTTTCCTGCTAAGTAAGTAACACTTTTCAACCAAAAGCCTCATGCTCCCATCTCAATCTTTTTTTTTTTTTTTTTGGAGACGGAGTCTCCTCTGTTGCCCAGGCTGGAGTGCAGTAGCGCGATCTAGGCTCACTCCACCTCCCGGGTTCCAGTGACTCTCCTGCCTCAGCCTCCCAAGTAGCTGGTGGGACTACAGGCGCATGCCACCACGCCCGGCTAGTTTTTTGTATTTTTAGTATTGATGGGGTTTCACTGTGTTAGCCAGGATGGTCTCGATCTCCTGACCTCATTATCCGCCCGCCTCGGCCGCCCAAAGTGCTGGGATTACAGGCGTGAGCCATGGCACCCGGTCTTTTTTTTTTTGAGACGGAGTCTCACTGTGTTGTCCAGGCTGTAGTGCAGTGGCGCCATCTTGGCTCACTGCAACCTCTGCCTCCTGGTGAGAGATGACAGCATGCTGGCAGCCCTCGCTCACCCTTGGTGCCTCCTCGGCCTCGCGCCCACTCTGGCCACGCTTGAGGAGCCCTTCAGCCCGCCGCTGCACTGTGGGAGCCCCTTCCTGGGATGGACCGACGCCGGAGCCGGCTCCCTCAGCCTGTGAGGAGGTGTGGAGGGAGAGGCACAGGTGGGAACCGGGGCTGCGCAGGGCGCTTGCCGGCCAGCTAGAGTTCCAGGTGGGCGTGGGCTTGGCGGGCCCCGCGCTGCGCTCGGAGTGGCCAGCCAGCCCGCCGGCCCCGGGCAGTGAGGGGTTTAGCACCCGGGCCAGCAGCTGCGGAGGGTGCGCGGGTTCCCCAGCAGTGCTGGCCCACCGGTGCTGCGCTCGATTTCTCGCCTGGCCTTAGCTGCCTCCCCGCGGGGCGGGGCTCGGGACCTACAGCGGGCCATGCCTGAGTCTCCTCCCCACCCCGCCGTGGGCTCCTGCGCGGCCTGAGCCTCCCCGACGAGCACCACCCCCTGCTCCAGGGCGCCTGGTCCCATCAACCGCCCAAGGGCTGAGGGGTGCCGGCACACGGTGGGGGACTGGCAGGCAGCTCCACCTGCGGCCGTGGTGCGGGATCCACTGGATGAAGCCAGCTGGGCTCCGGAGTCTAGTGGGCATTTGGAGAACCTTTATGTCTAGCTAAGGGATCGTAAATACACCAATCAGCACTCTGTATCTAGCTCAAGGTTCCTAAACACACCAATCAGCACCCTGTGTCTAGCTCAGGGTTTGTAAATACACCAATCAACACTCTTATCTAGCTAATCTAGTGGGGAGGTGGAGCACTTTTGTGTCTAGCTCAGGGATTGTAAATGCACCAATCAGCATCCTGTCAAAACGGACCAATCAGCTCTCAGTGAAACAGACCAATTGGCTCTCTGTAAAATGGACCAATCAGCAGGATGTGGGTGGGGCCAGATAAGAATAAAAGCAGGCTGCCTGAGGTTGCGGTGGTAACATGTTTCGGCGTCCTTCCACACTGTCGCGGCTTATGTTGTTTTGCTGTTTGGGTTTGCACTGTCTTTTTGAGCTGTAACACAGCAAAGGTTTGCAGTTTCGCTCCTGAAATCATCGAGACCACAAACCCACCGGGAAGAACGAACAACTCCAGACGCACCGCTTTAAGAGCTGTAATACTCGTTAGGAAGGTGTGCAGCTTGACTCCTGAGTCAGCGAGACCATGAACCCATCAGAAGGAAAAAACTCCGAACATCAGAAGGAACAAGTTTCAGACACGCCACCTTTAAGAACTGTGATACTCACCGCGAGGGCCCGCGGCTTCATTCTTGAAGTCCGTGAGACCAAGAACCTACCAATTCCGAATACGTTGGGTTCAAGTGGTTCTCCTGCCTCAGACTCCCGAATACCTGGGACTACAGGCACCCACCACGCCCGGGTAATTTTTTGTATCTTTAGTCGAGGTGAGGTTTCACCATGTTGGCTAGGCTCGTCTCAAAATACTGACCTCGTAATCCGCGCCGCCTCAGCCTCACAAAGTGCTGCGATTACCTGCGCCCTACCGCTCCCACCCCAATCGTGTTGAAATTGTGTAGTATAGAATTCTATAAATTTGAAAAAGCTTTTAGAGGTTAGTTGGAGCAGTGCTTCTCATGTTGCACATCACCTTGAGAACTTGTGAAATTGCAGGTCGTGAGTCAGCATGGTGTTGTAGGGTGAGGGGAGTGACTGTGCTGTGTTTTTCGAGACGGGGGCGGGTCTCACTTTGTTGCCCAGGTGGGAGTGCAGTGGTGCAAACAAGGCTCATTGCAGCCTTGATCTCCGGGGCTCAAGCTGGCTGTTGACCTCAGCCTTCTGAGTAGCTGGGACTTCAGGCGTACATCACCACACCCAGCTAGTTTTAGTATTTTTTCGTAAAGATAGGATTTTGCCATGTTGGCCAGGCTAGTCTTGAACTTCTGAGCTCAAGCAATCCACCAACCTTGGCCTTTGAAAGTGCTGGGATTACAGATGTGAACTACAATGCCTGGCTGCTTATGTATTTTTATTTTTTATTTCTTAAAATATTTATTTGAGATGGAGTCTTGCTCTGTTGCTCAGACTGGAGTGCACGGTGGCACGATCTTGGCTCACTGCAACCTCTGCCTCCCAGGTTCAAGAGATTCTGCTGCCTCAGCCTCCCGAGCAGCTGGGATTCTAGGTGCCTGCCAACATGCCTGGCTCACTTTTGTATTTTTAGTGGAGATGGGTTTCACCATCTTGGCCAGGCTGGTGTCGAACTCCTGACCTTAGGCAATCCACCCACCTTGGCCTCTGAAAGTGCTGGGATTACAGGCGTGAGCCACCACATCCGGCCTTCTTTTTTTTTTTTTTTTTTTTTTTTTTGAAACAGGGGTCTTGCTCTGTCACCCAGGCTGGAGAGCAGTGGCACGATCATGGCTCACTGAGGGGATTCAGACAAACCCCAGGCCTGAGCTTGCAGAGTATGGAGAGCAGGGAGAGGGGTGCAGTCATTGACTTCAAAGTCAAGACTTCAGGCTTTACTGGGGAGAGATTCTCTGTGCTCAATAGTAAGGATTTTTTTTTTTTTTTTAGTTTTATTTTTAAATGTTTATTTATTTAGAGGATTGGGTTAGGAAACTGGCTAATTTTTGTATTTTGGTAGAGACGAGGTTTTGCCATGTTGCCCAGGCTGGCCTCGAACTCCTGGGCACAAGTGATCCCTCTCCTTTCCAAAGTGCTGGGATTACAGGCGTGAGCCACTGCACCTGGCCAATAGTTAGGATTTGTGCTCTGCCCTCCTAACCACAATTTGGAGAAACAAACCAGTATACAAATTCACAGCACTTAATTCCTTCAAATAGTTCTGTTTAAATCATGCTGGTGTTAAAGGAAAAACATCAAGCTTTTAAAGAATTAAAGATAGTTTTATTTAGAAGTCTTACTGAGGGCTAGAAACCGAAGCCTACAGCCTGGGAGTGGCCTGTTAGAGATGTCCTATCAGACTGTTCCGGAAGTGCCTACTGCTCGTACACAGGTGGCAGAGGTTCAGTATGTGTAAAATCACATCCAGGCCAGGCACAGTGGCCCATGCCTGTAATTCCAGCACTTTAGGAGGTCGAGGCAGGTGGATCACCTGAGGTCAGGAGTTTGAGACCAGCCTGGCCAACATGGCAAAACCCCATCTCTACTAAAAATACAAACATTAGCTGGATGTGGTGGTGCACTCCTGTAGTCCCAGCTACTTGGGAAGCTGAGGCAGGAGAATCGCTTGAACCCTGGAGGCAGAGGTTGCAGTGAGCCAAGACTGCACTCCAGCCTGGCGACAGAGCACTCCGTCTCAAAAAACAAACAAAACAAAACAACAAAAAAAACTGGTTGTAGCTTACAGAAGCATAACCACTAACTCTACTGGACGTTATCTTAAGTGTAAGAAAAGGCAAGGCAAGGATCATTTACCTTAAAAAAAAAATTTTTTTTGAGAATGGGTCTTGCCATGTTGCCCAGGCTGATCTCTAACTCCTGGTCCCACAATTCTCCTGACTTGGCCTCCCAAAGTATTGGGATTACAGGCATGAGCTACTGCACCTGGCCTCAATTGATCCTTTTAAGGAATGTATTGACTCAGGCGAGGGATGTGGGAGGCTGTGCGCTCTGTCCTCTTCTGACTTCAAGACATTCTTCCTGAGAGCTGTATTTTATCAGAGTCGGGGGTTCAAACAGAAATGAGCAAATACGGCCTCTTAGCACTTGCTGCTATGTCTCACACTAAGCACCTGAAAGAGCCGTGAAAGTAAGAAGAAACTTTAACTTCAAACTGGAAGCTATTCTCCTGCCTTAATCTAACCTACGGTGTCTGGCCCACTTCCAGGCCCAGGGCTAGCTCTCTCCTTGCTTTTGTGAATTTCAACTTCAGTAAACCCTTTCACATAATTCCATGTAACCTTAAACGAAGGTTCTTGTGGATGTTTTAATCATTAAAGAAGACGGCCAGGTGTGGTGGCTCACACCTGTAATCCCAGCACTTTGGGAGGCTGAGGCGGGTGGATCACCTGAGGTCAGGAGTTTGAGATCAGCCTGACCAACATGGTGAAACCCTGTCTCTACTAAAAATACAAAAATTAGCCGGGCGTAGTGGCGTGTTCTGGTAATCCCAGCTACTTGGGAGGCTGAGGCAGGAGAATCCCTTGAACCCCAGAGGCAGAAACTGCAGTGAGCAGAGATTGTGCCACTGCAATCCAGCCTGGGTGACAGAGACTCCATCTTTGAAGGAGGTGCTAGAAAACTGTTTGGGAAGGAACAATTTATTTTTTAAAGATGGAGTCTCACTCTGTTCCCCAGGCTGGAGTGCAGTGGCATGATCTCAGCTCACTGCAACCTCCGCCTCCCGGGTTCTAGTGATTCTTCTGTCTCAGCCTCCTGAGTAGCTGGGATTACAGATGCCCAACACCACACCTGGCTAATTTTCGTATTTTTAGTAGAGACGGGTTTCCCCATGCTGGTTTTGAACTCCTGACCTCAGGTGATCCACTTGTCTCAGCCTCCCAAAGTGCTGGGGTTACAGATGTGAGCCACCGTGTCCGGCCAGGAACACTGTTTTTAGGGGGAAAATCCTCTCATTCTATCTCTTTTATTCAATTGATTCCCAGTTACTGTTTAGGTCTCAAATTAGGTAACCTTTGGGAATCCTTCTCTGCCTTCCCTGCCTACCCAGAGACAGAGTTAAGTGCTTTTTTGATGGGCTTCTTAAGACAGTTCTTATTAGAATACGTTTCTTACTTTATAATGATAATTCCCCATTTTTTTCTTGTCTGTTCTCTCTGTGAAGGCTTGTGAGGGCAGAGACAGAGCCCACCTATATTTTCTGTGCACCTAAAACCTGGCATAGCACATCACATATATATTATAGAATGGTATTCTGTTTATGGATTTCATCAGTTTGATGCAGGATTTTTCTTGGACACTCTGCCAGCCAGAGACCTCTGGTGGCGACACCCTTGTTCAGGCTTTACTTGCGCCTGGGATTGCTGTAGGAGATGCCCCATCTACTCAGCCCACCAGGCCACACCTGGCTTGCACTCTGGCACAATCCCATGGCTGCTGCAACTGCTTGCTCAGCTCCTGGCAGAAGTGGATCTGTGAGCCAGCAAGTGTAGGATCTGGCTGGCTGTTCCAAGTGCTGGCACAGGAGCAGGCTCCATGTGGGTCTTGCAGCTGGACCAGGTGTGTCACACTGAGGGGAACACAGTGGTGCCCAAGCAGGGGTGCCTGAGACCCGGAAGCCCCAGAGGGGGTGTTACAGCAATCTAATAGCTCTTTTGGTCTGGCCGTCCACAGCCTGACAGGTGGTGGCGTGTTAATAGCTCTGTCAGTCCTGTCGTCCTGCTCCGGCCAGCAGCTCGGGCTGGCTCTGCCCTGCCCCTGCTTCCCGTCGGGGCAGCTGCTCTCCGCCAGCAGAGAGTGGAGGGTCATGGTGTTGCAGCCTTATTTGTACCCACGTTCAGTGGGTCCCAAATTCTTGTCCTGCATCCAAGAAGAATGAGGTTATGCTGACAATTGAAGGGTGAGGAGGGTGGAGAAGAATTTTACTGAGTGACTTAACAGCTGTCAATGGAGAGGGGATGCGAGGGTGGTCCTCCACCCAAAGTCGGGTGGCTTCTTTCTAAGTGTGGCTGGGTCTGGGACTTTTATGGGCTCAGAATGGGGAGTGCACGCTGATGGTTTGTGATTGTGCAGAAAAGGCTAAAACAAAGGTACCAACCAAGGGTGGGCACGACAGTGTATATAAAACCAACTAGGGAAGGGTAGGTATATGTAAAATAAGTAAAGTTTGGGGATCAAGCGGAGGAAAGCATGCCAAACAGGAAGAGGTTCTCAGTCCCATCTATGGATTTACCTGGGACTTGTACCTTGACTTTCAAGCTTTAGATTGTCTTTGGTTTGAAGGTCGGGTTTTCACTGGGGACCTGCTCATGTCTGCCTAGGGATTTGTCTGCCTCCTGCTGCTGTCAAGTTCATCAAATATTTATTGATGGCCTCACCAGGCCACCTATTTCATTGTGAGACAGTGTTGGGTGTGACAGTGCTCTACCTTATGGTGAGATAAACTCTATCTGTACCTTCTATTCATAGGCCTGTATCTGATCATTAGAGCCAGGAGAAAAAAAGAAACAAAACCCTGCCTATTTGAATACAGGTGTTAGTGTTTTAATAATCTCTTCTTTAGCCCATGGCATGAGAAACAGCTGAGGACCTGGGGCTATCTGGTCTGTAGCCCCTGCCCTCCTAATCTCTCTTCTCTGGCTAACAAAACATTAAAATGTCGTGATAAGAATTTAGAACCACATCGCTGCTGCTTGTTTGGTTTAAAAAAAATTAAATTAAAAAAATATAAAAAAGAATTTAGCACCACAGGAGATGTCTGACCTAGGCAAGTAGAGTGAGATGATCACTTCCATTGTTTTGAACTTTATCCTTTTATTAATACAACTCAAGCACATATTGGTGTGTTGATGATAATGGCCTGTGGCCAGCAGTAGCATATGTGAAAAAGGAATCCTGGCCGGGCGTTTTTTACAGGCATGGTGGCTCATGCCTGTAATCCTAGCACTAGCACTTTGGGAGGCTGATGTGGGTGGATTGCTTGAGGTTAGGAGTTTGAGACCAACCGGACCAACATGGTGAAACCCTGTCTCTACTAAAAATACAAAAGTTAGCTGGGTGTGGTGGTGGCAGGCTCCTATAATCCCAGCTACTTGGGAGGCTGAGGCATGAGAATTGCTTGAACCTTGGAGGTGGAGGTTGCAGTGAGCTGAGATCGCACCACTGCACTTCAGCCTGAGCGACAAAGCGAGATTCTGTCTCAAAAACAAACCACCAAACAACAACAAAAAACCCCTAAGAGTGCACAGTTTATTTATTAACCTTTTTGAGAATGTGGCAATTTTTATATAATTTTTAAAAAGTATATGTGGTGTTGAGGCATTTTAGGCACTATTGTGATTACAGAAAACGCCATTTTATGCAATACCTTTGAGAATTCACGTTGACTAGAATTCGATGTTCCACTCAGCTATGGCTTGTCTTTGGTAGGACAATTACTATTTAGCACTTGGCAAAATTCTTGGTGTAATTTGACTGGATTATTGGTAAAAAGAAGAAAAATTGCAAGTGACACTAAATTCTTCTCAGATAACTGGACATTCTTGGTTTTCCAGTATTTTAGAAAATGCTGGAGCAGGAGAAAGAATGGGGTTTGGAATTAGACACATTTGGCTTTGAATCTCTTTTCTACCACTAGGTAATTGTATGACAATGGAGAGGTGATTACTGCGCTGAAAATCAGTTTCCTGAAGTGAAAAAGGGAATCAAGTTACGTCACAGAGCCTGGTGTGAGCGGCGCTCTGTCAACACCAGCTCTTCATGGGTTGTGGTTTCCTCCAGTTCCTGGATGTGTGGAGTTCATCCTCCACTGACTGGCGCCCCGGTTGACAATGAGGTCTGGTAAGTCCTGCCACTAAAACTGTTATTGAATGTGCTCGATCTCCAGTGACTTCTGTGTTTAAAATAGGAAGTAAGGAACAGATAGATGCAAGATCCCTCTGAACCTTGAGATCTGGTAGTTCAGGAGCGTTTTCTCAGCTTGGACATCTTGTGCAGGGTGGTTATGTGCATGTGTATGTGTGCGTATGTATAATAGGCACAGCTGTGTGGAAGATAACAGGACTCTTGAAGTGAATGAGGGCGGGAGTGTGTACCTGTTGTTGCATGGGGAGGACGGCCCCTGACCAGGAGATGTTTTCGGATGCAGCCCCTGCCCCTACCAACAGTTCTCAGGGCCCTCTAGTATTCTGTGAGCTTATTGCGAGGTGTTACGGAGGTGGCCTCGGCTGGTTGTAGCATCTCTAGGCAGCGGCTGCCATCTCGTGGTAGAAGTCTCAGGATGCTTCCTGCAGAATGATGGCTTCAAGGGCTGAGCCTTTTATCTGGCTTCTCAGCAGGCCAGATTCTGCTTTTCAAAGAGAATTAGGTGATTGCACCAGAAAGCAATTTAAAAATTGTATAAACTGAACAAAGGTAGATGTATTCTGGAGTAAAATGTATGTCATGTTTATTTGTTTATTTTTATTTTTATTTTTTTTGAGATGGGATTTTGCTTTTGTCCCCCAGGCTGGAGTGCAATGGTGAGATCTCAGCTCATTGCAACCTCTGCCTCCTGGGTTCAAGCGATTCTCCTGCCTCAGCTTTTCGAGTAGTTGGGATTACAGGTGCCCACCCCAATACCCGGCTAATTTTTTTGTATTTTTTAGTAGAGTGGGGGTTTACCATGTTGGCCAGGCTGATCTCAAACTCCTGACCTCTGATCCACCTGCCTTGGCCTCCCAAAGTACTAGAATTATAGGCATGAGCCACCGTGCCCGGCCCTGTCGTATTTATTTTTAACTTTATAGAAACTTTACACAATGCCAAGCCACTTAAGGTCATCTATCCAAGCCCTTGATAAACCCGTTCACTCTGCTCTACATTGTTTACTTAGGGAAAAAAATCCAGATCTTTATAACATAGACTTTTATACTTACTGAACCAAAAAAGGTCCACATCCACTCTCCTGTTTACATTTTTAAATTTAGAAATGCTAACATGGGTATGTGTTAATTGGTAAGGGCATAAGATAAAACGAAAAGAAGAAAACATCTTCTCACATCCTCTCTCTCCAAAGGGAACTAATATAAATGGTTCCTTCTCATTTTTTTAAAATTTGTTTTTATTATTTATTTTTTTTGAGACGGAGTCTCCCTCTGTCACCCAGGCTGAGTGCAGTGGCACAATCTCGGCTCACTGCAACTTCCACCTCCTGGGTTCAAGCGATCCTCCTCCATCAGCTTCCCTCCTACCTCAGCTTCCTGAGTAGCTGGGATTACAGGCCCATGTAACCATGCCTGGCCAGTTTTTTTATTTTTAGTAGAGATAGGCTTTCATGATGTTGGTCAGGCTGGTCTCGAACTCCTGACCTCAGTTGATCCACCCACCTCAGCCTCCCAAAGTGCTGGGAATTACAGGCATGAGCCACTGTGCCTGGCTTTAAATGTTTAATTTAGATATTTAATCAGGCTGGGCATGGTGCACCTGTAATCCCAGCACTTTGAGAGGCCGAGGCCAGTGGATCACTTGAAATCAGGAGTTTGAGACCAGCCTGACCAACATGGCAAACCCCGTCTCTACTAAAAATTCAAAAATTATCCGGGCATGGTGGCACATGCCTGTAGTCCCAGCTACTCGGGGGGCTGAGGCAGGAGAATTGCTTCAACCCGGGAGGTGGAGATTGCACCACTGCACTCCAACCTGGGTGACAGAGTGAGATTCTGTTTGTTTTTTGTTTTATTGTTAGGTGGTTTTTTTTTTAATTTTTAATAGGCTTTTTAAGAACAGTTTTAGATTTACAGAATAATTGAGAAGATAGTACATGAACAGAGAGATCCCACATACCACACATGTGGCTTCCCCTCTTACTAACATCTTACCTCAGTGTGCTACATTTGTTTATATATATATATATATATATATATATAATTATTTATTTATTTATTTTTTTGAGATGGAGTCTTGTTGCGATGCCCAGGCTAGAGTGCAATGGCACGATCTCAGCTCACTGCAACCTCTCCTTCCCGGGCTCAAGCGATTCTCCTGCCTCAGCCTCTGCAGTAGCTGGGATTACAGGCGCCTGCCACCATGCCTGACTAAGTTTTGTATTTTTAGTAGAGATGGGATTTCACCATGCTGGCCAGGCTGGTGTCGAACTCCTGACCTCGGAGGCGATCCACCCACTTCGGCCTCCCAAAGTGCTGGGATTACAGGTGTGAGCCACTGTGCCCGGCCACATCTTTGCTTTGTGATGGTTCAACATATGAACTTTGTTTCATGAACAAAATTATTAGAAATGTTGTATAAAATTACCCACAGGGTATGTGTATACAGTGTATATGAAACATAAGTGCTAAGACTTGGGTCTCATCCAAAGGATATCATATGTATATGCAAATATTCCAAAATCTGAAAATATCCAAAATGTAAAATACTTCTTCATATCTTTCATTCTTATTTTTATTTTTTATAGATTTAGGGGGTACAAGTGCAGTTTTGTTACATGGATATATCACATAGTAATGAAGTCTGGGCTTTTAGTGTACCCGTCATCTGAATACTGTACATTATACCCAATAGGAACAGTCTCATTCGTCACCCTCCTCCTATCCTCTCACCTTTTAGAGTCTTCACCATCTGTTATTTCTCTGTATGTCCATGTATACTTATTGTTTAACTCCCACTTACAAGTGAGAACATGATATTTGACTTTCCGTTTCTGAATTATTTGACTTACGATAATGGCCTCCAGATCCATCCATGTTGCTGCAAGACATAAATTCATTCTTTTTCATGGATGAGTAATTTTCTCTGATGTATATATCATATTTTCTTTGTCCAGTCATCTGCTGATGGACACTTAGGTTGATTCCATCCCTTTACTATTGTGAATAATGCTGCGATAAACATCTGAGTGCAGGTGTCTTTTTTATATAATGATTTGTTTTTCTTTGGGTAGATACCTAGTAGTGGGATTGCTGGATCAAATGGTAGTTCTATTTTTAGCTCTTTAAGAAATCTCCATATGGCTTTCCATAGAAATCGTACAAATTCACATTCCCACTAACAGTGTATAAGTATTCCCTTATATACCTATACACTTAAAAGTGTTCCCTTTTCTCCACATCCTCACCAACATCTGTTGGTTTTGTTTTTTTGACTTTTTAATAATGGCCATTCAATTGGTGTAAGATTGCATCTCATTGTAGTTCTAATTTGTATTTCTCTGATGATTAGTGATGTTGAGAAATTTTTCATATGTTTGTTGGCCGCTTGTATGTCTTTTGAAAAATGTCCGTTCATGTGCTTTGTCCACTTTTTGATGAGGTTATTTGTTTTTTTTTTTCTTGTTGAGTTCCTTGTACATTCTAGATATTAATCCTTTGTTGGATGCCTAATTTGCAAATATTTTCTCCCATTCTTTGGGTTGTTTGTTTACTCTATTGATTATTTCTCTTGCTGTGCAGAAGACTTTTGGTTTAATTAAGTCCCATTTGTCTATTTTTGTTTTTCTTGTATTTTCTTTTGAGGTCTTAGTCATAAATTCTTTGCCTAGGCCAATGTCCGGAAGATATTTTCCTAGGGTTTCTTCTAGTTTTTTTTTTCTTTTAAATAGTTTCAGGTCTTACATTATACTAGTCCGTTTTCATACTGCTGTAAAGAAATACCCGAGGCTGCTGGATAATTTATAAAGGAAAGAGGTTTAATTGACTCACAGTTCTACATGGCTGGGGAGGCCTCAGGAAACTTACAATCATGATGGAAGGCGAAGGGGAAGCAAGAACCTTCTTCACATGGCGACAGGAGAGGGAAGTGCAAGCAGGGGAAATGCCAGACACTTATAAAACCATTAGATCTTGTGAGAACTCAGTATCAGGAGAACAGCATGGGGGAAACTGCCCCATGATCAAATTACTTCCCTCCCTTGGACATGTGGGGATTACAATTTGAGATGAGATTTGGGTGGGGACCCAGAGCCAAACCATTTAAGTCTTTAACCCATCTTGAGTTAATTTTTGTATATGGTGAGAGACAGGGGTCCAGTTTCATTCTTTTGCATATGGCAATTCAATTTTCCCAGAACCATTTATTGAATAGGGTGCCCTTTCCCCAGTGTAGTGTATATTTTTGTGAGGTTGGTCAAATATCAGTTGTTCGTAGGTATGTGGATTTACTTCTGGGTTCTCTCTTTTGTTCCATTGACCTATGTGTCTTTTTTTTTTTTTTTTTTTTTTTTTTTTGAGAAGGGCCGCCTCTGTTGCCCAGGCTGAGGTGCAGTGGCATGATCTTGGCTCACTACAGCCTCGACTTCCCAGGCTCAAGTGCAATCTTCTCACCTCAGCCTCTGAGTAGCTGGGACCACAGGCATGTGCCAGCATACCCGGCTAATTTTTGTACTTTTTTGTAGAGATGGAGTCTTGCTGTGTTGCCCAGGCTGGTCTCAAATTCCTGATTCAGACAATCTTCCCACCTTGGCCTCCTAAAGTGTTGGCATTACAGGTGCGAGCCACTGCACCCAGCCTATGTGTCTATTTTTCTACCAGTAGTGTGCTGTTTTGGTCACTATAGGCTTGTAGTATAATTTAGAGTCATGTAATGTGATGTCTCCAGATTTGCTCTTTGTTCTTAGAATTGCTTTAGCTATTTGGGCTCTTTTTTGATTTCATATGAATTTTACGATTATTTTTACTAATTCTATGAAAAATGATGTTAGTATTTTGATGGGAATTGCACTGAATTTGTAGATTGCTTTTGGCAGTATGGTCATTTTCACAATATTGATTCTACCCATCCATGAGCATGGGATGCGTTTCCATTGTTTGTGTCGCCTATAATTTCTTTCAGCAGTGTTTTGTCGTTTTCCTTGTAGAGGTCTTTTACCTCCTTGGTTAGGTATATTCCTAAGTATTTTATTTTATTTTTGCAGTTATTGTAAAAGGCGTTGAGTTCTTGATTTGATTCTTATCTTGGTCGCTATTGGTGTGTAGCAGAGCTACTGATTTGTGTACATCTCTCTCTCTCTTTCTTTCTTTCTTTTTGGTGACAGGATCTCGCTCTGTCGCCCGAGCTGGACTGGGGTGGCATGATCATGGCTTACTGTAGCCTCAGCCTCCTGGGTTCAAGCAATCCTCCCACTTCAGCTTCCTGAGTAGTTGGGTCTACAGGTGCACACCACCACACCTGGCTAATTTTTCTGTTTTTTTTTTTAAGACATGGGGTCTCATATGTTGCCTAGGTTGATCTCTAACTCCTGGCCTCATGTATGCCTTCTTTTGAAAAGTGTTCATGTCCTTTGCCCACTTTTTAATGGGGTGGTTTGTGTTTTGCTTATTGATTTAAATTCCTTATAGATTCTGGATATTAGACATTTGTTGGATGCATAGTTTGCAAGTATTTTCTCCTGTTTTGTAGGTTGTCTGTTTATTCTGTTGATAGTTTCTTTTGCTTTGCAGAAGATCTTTAGTGTAATTAGGTCCCATTTGTCAATTTTTTGTTTTTGTTGCAATTGCTTTTGGTATCTTCGTCATGAAATCTTTGCCAGGGCCTATGTCTAGAATAGTATATCCTAGTTTTCTTCCAGAGTTTTTATAGTTGTAGGTTTTTAAAAAAGAATTTTTTTTAGTGATGGGGGTCTCACTGTGTTGCCCAGGCTGACCTTGAACTTCTGGCCTCAAGCCATTCTCTCGCCTCTGCTTCTCTGAGTGCTGGGATTATGGACATGAGCCACTGCACCTAACTCACACTGTTTGTTAATAAAGCCATCCTTTCTGCATTCCTGATATTTCTTTGTAAAAAATCAGCGTTAATTATATGTGAATTTTTTTCTGGATCCTTTATTCTATTTGTCTATTTTTATGCCTCTGCCATGCTGTTTTTATTATTGTATCTTTTAAATAATTATTGACTGGACACAGTGGCTCATGCCTGTAATCCCAGTTCTTTGGGATGCCAAGATGGGAAGATCGCTGGAGCCCAGGAGTTCAAGGCTGCAGTAGGCTGTGATTGCCCTACTGTACTCCAGCCTGGATGACAGAGCAAGACTCTATCTGAAAGAAAGAAAAAAAAAAAAAGGAAAATCATAAAAAATTCTTGAAATTAGGTAGGTTAGTTCTCCAACTTCATTCTTCTTTTTCTGAATTGTTTTGGTTATTTTAGGTCCTTAGCATTTGCATATGAATTCTAGAATCACCTTGTCAATTTCTGCAGAAAGCCTGCTGGGGTTTTGATTGGGATTATTTTGAATCTATAATTTGCAGAAGAATTGACATCTTACCAATATTGAGTCTTTTGACCCATGAACAAGGTATACTTTGTCATTTATTTAATTCTTTAAAAATAAAACGTTTAGAGAAATTTTAAGTGTATGAGTCTTTTCCCATTTAAAAAAAAGATTTATCTCTACGTATTTAACATTTTAGAATGCTATTGTAAGTGGTATTATAAAAATTTCTATTTCCCAGCCGGGCATGGTGGCTCACACCTGTAATCCCAGCACTTTGGAGGCCGAGGCAGGTGGATCACTTGAGGTCAGGAGTTCAAGACCAGTCTGGCCAACGTGGTGAAACTCTGTCTTCACTAAAAATACAAAAATTAGCCTGGCATGATGGCAGACACCTGTAATCCCAGCACTTTGGAGGCCGAGGCAGGTGGATCACTTGAGGTCAGGAGTTCAAGACCAGTCTGGCCAACGTGGTGAAACTCTGTCTTCACTAAAAATACAAAAATTAGCCTGGCATGATGGCAGACACCTGTAATCCCAGCTACTTGGGAGGCTGAGGCAGGAGAATCGCTTGAACCTGGGAGGCGGGGGTTGCAGTGAGCCGAGATCACGTCATTGCATTCCAGCCTGGGCGACAGAGCCAGATTCCATCTCAAAAAAAAAAAAGAAAAAAAAAAATATATATATATATTTCCAATTGTAGCTAATGTAGAACTATATTAGATTTTTGTATATCGATATTGCATCCTACAACCTTTCTATATTACTTATTAGTTCTACTAGCTTTTTGGATGATTTCATGTTTTTCTATATAGGTTTTTGTGCTATCTGTGAGAAGACCATGTACTTCTTTTCCAATCTGGATGGCTTTTTTCTTTTTCTTGCCTGACTGCACTGTCTAGAACTTCCAGTATGATGTTAAATAGAAGTGGACATCCTTGACTTGTTCTTGATCTTAGGGGAAAAGCATTTAAGTCTTTCCCTATTAAGTATGTTAGCTGTGTGTGTGTGTGTGTGTGTGTGTGTATGTGTGTATGTGTTTGTGTGTGTGAATGGCTTTTACCAGGTTGAGGAAGTTCTTCCCTGTTATTTGTTCACTAAGAGTTTTTATCAGGAATGGATGTTGGATTTTGGCAAGTGCTTTCTCTTCATCTGTTAAGATAATAATGTTTTTTCCTTTAGTTAGTTAATATAGTAAATTACATTGATTGAATTTTGAATGTTAAACTAACCCTACATTCTTTGAATAAATCTCACTTGGCCCTGGTATACTATTCTTTATATATATATACATAATTTAGCATTTGACATGCTAAAATTTTGTTTAGAATTTTTATGTCTAAGTTCAAGAGGATTATTGATCTATGTATTTCCTTGTAATGCTTTCTTTCTGGATTTTAGTGTTAGAGTACTATTAGCCTCATAGAATAAGTTGGAAAGTATCCCCTTCTCTTTAATTTTTGGAGGAGTTTGTATTGAATTAGCATTATTTCTTCTTTAAATATTTGGTGGAATATACCCGTGAAGCTATTTGGACTTGGAGTTTTCTTTGTGGAGATGTTTTAAATTATAACTTCACTTGCTTTTATAGATAGATCTTTTCAGTTTATTTTTTCTTTAATGAGGTTTGGTAATTTGTGTCCCATAAGGATTTTTTGTTTTCGTTTTATCTAAGTTTTTGAATTTGTTGCCATAAAGTTATTTACTATATTTGCTTCTTATCTTTAATATCTGAAGAAATTTAAATGATGTAACTCATTTATTTCTGATATTAGTGATTTGTGTGTCTCTGTTAGTCATTCTGGCTAGAGATTTGTTAATTTTATTAATCTTCTCAAACGACCAGCTTTTGGTTTCATTGTTTTTCTCTATTGCTTTTCCATTTCATTGATTTCCACTTTGATCTTTATTATTCTTTTTCTTCTGCTTAATTTAGGTTTAGTTTTTCTTCTTTTTTATTTTTTAATTATACTTTAAGTTCTAGGGTACATGTGCACAACGTGCAGGTTTGTTACATATGTATACATGTGCCATGTTGGTGTGCTGCACCCATTAACTCGTCATTTACATTAGGTATATCTCCTAATGTTATCCCTCCCCACTCCCCCCACCCCACAACAGGCCCCAGTGTGTGATGTTCCCCTTCCCGTGTCCGAGTGTTCTCATTGTTCAATTCCCACCTATGAGTGAGAACATGCAGTGTTTGGTTTTTTGTCCTTGTGATGGTTTTCTGAGAATGATGGTTTCCAGCTTCATCCATGTCCCTACAAAGGACATGAACTCATCCTTTTTTATGGCTGCATAGTATTCCATGGTGTATATGTGCCACATTTTCTTAATCCAGTCTATCATTGATGGACATTGGTAGTTTTTCTTCTTATCCTAGTTTCTAAGGTGGAAGCTGAAGTTATTGATTTGAGACCTTTCTTCTTTTCTAATATAGGCACTAATTTCTGTTAGCATTGCTTTATGGCACTTGATAAATTCTGATACTTTGTGTTGTCATTTTCATGCTGCTTGGAAAACTTTCTAATTTCCCTTTTGATTTCATCTTTGACCTGTGGGTTATTTAGATGAGTACTATTTAGTTTCCAAATATTTTGGGATTTTTCCAGAGCTCTTTCAGTTATTGATTTCTAATTTAATTAATTTGTGGGCAGAGAATATACTTTGTATGCCTTGAATTCTTTTGAAATAATTGAGACTCGATTTATGTCCCAGAGTAGGATTTTTTTTTTTGTAACTGTTTTTTGTGCATTTGAGAAGAATGTTTATCCTGCTGTTGTTTGGTCGAGTGTTTTATAAATGTCAACTAGGTCAAGTTGGTTCATAGTTGTCAAGTCTACTATCTCCTTGGTGATTTCCTGTCCACTTGTTATGTCATTTTTTTTTTTTTTTTCTGAGACAGGGTCTAACTGTGTCACCCAAGCACTGGAGTGCAGTGGTGTGAACATGGCTCACTGCAGCCTCGACCTCCTGGGCTCAAGTGATCTGCTTGCCTCAGCCTTCTGAGTAGCTGGGACCACAGGCTCATGCCACTATGTACAGCTACTTTCTACATTTTTTATAGAGATGGGGTCTCATTTTGTTGCCCAGGCTGGTTAAGAACTCCTGGGCACAAGTGATCCTCCCATCTCGGCCTTCAAATGTGCTGTGATGACAGGTGTGAGCCACTGTGCCCAGTGTTCTATTAATTTTTGAGAGAGAGAGAGAGATACTGAAATTTCCAAGTATAATTGTAGATTTATCTATTTTTATGGACCACATTTTGAGTTGCAAGAATCTGGGTATTCCCTGCTTCTTACTTCTCTGGGAAGCTTTTTCTAACCTCTCAGCTCACCCTAGAATGAAGTACACTCTACTTTTGCAATCAGAGCATTTAACAGTGTTTAATTACCTGTTCATTATTCTGTCCCCGCACTAGATCATTATGTCTTAGATAACAGTGATGGGGTTTTGTTACATTCATATATGAAGGACTTGAGAAATATATATATATTTTAATCGAGACGGAGTCTCGCTCTGTCACTAAGGCTGGAGTGCAGTGGTGTAGTCTTGGCTCATTGCAGCCTCTGCCTCCTGGGTTCAAGCAATTCTCCTGCCTCAGCCTCCCGAGTAGTTGGGATTACAGGCATACGCCACCATGCCAGGCTAATTTTTGTACTTTTAGTAGAAACAGGGTTTCATCATGTTGGTGAGGCTGGTCTTGAAATCCTGTAGTCAAGTGATCCGCCCACCTTGGCCTCCCAAAATGCTGGGATTACAGGTGTAAGCCATCATGCCCGGCCAACTTGAGAAATATTTGATGATATAAGAAAGATATTTAGGACTCAGTAAATGAACATATGGCATAACTAAAATCAGAAATCAGAATTCAGTGGAGTTAGGGAATTGCTGAAAGGAGTGGCAATGAGAATATAAAGATCTTAGAACTGAACAAAAATTATTGGGGAGGGCATGACTTTTCACATGATGCAAAACGGAGAGTGAAAGCTGAAGAGAACATCTGTTATTGTTTTTGTTTCTTTTTTCTTTCTTTCTTTTTTTTAAACATAGTCTTGCTCTGTCACCTAGGCTGGAGTACAGTGGTATGATCTTGGCTCACTGCAACCGCTGCCTCCTAGGCTCAAGTGATTCTCCTGCCTCAGCCTCCCAAGTAGCTGGGATTACAGGTGCCCACCACCATGCCTGGCTAATTTTTTTTTTTTTTTTGAGACGGAGTCTGGCTCTGTTGTCCAGGCTGGAGTGCAATGGCGTGATCTCGGCTCACTGCAACCTCCGCTTCCTGGGTTCAAGTGATTCTCCTGCCTCAGCCTCCCGAGTAGCTGGGACTACAGGCACGTGCCACCACGCCCAGCTAATTTTTTTGTACTTTTAGTAGAGACGGGGTTTCACCACATTGGTCAGGCTGGTCTTGAACTCCTGACCTCATGATCCGCCTGCCTCGGCCTCCCAAAGTGCTGGGATTACAGGCGTGAGCCACTGCACCCAGACAATTTTTTGTATTTTTAGTAGAGACGGGGTTTTGCCATGTTGGCCAGGCTGGTTCAAACTCCTGACCTCGGGTGATCCACCCACCTCAGCCTCCCAAAGTGTTGGGATTACAGGCGTGAACCACCATGCCCGGCCTGTTATTGGGTTTGATTAGCATTTACTCAAATTAAGAGGTTCATATTGCTGATCCTTTTTGTTTCCCTTCCTTCCAAAGGATCCAGGTAAAATGTTGACCAACATGCAGGAAGTGGGCATCAGTCAAGAGCTCATGTGAACATCCAGGGATCACAGAGATTACAAGGGTCTATCCTGGGTTTTGTGGCCCAGCTGTAGGGAATGAGGGATTTACTTTGTTTACAGTAACCAGAAGTAGGAAATTAACGGGAAAATTAGGCATTATGGTTGGTGAAGAGAACCACTGGTGTACAGTAATAGTCTGAGGACACATGCCAGATTCTAAATGGAAAAGAGGTGAAAAAAAAAAAAAGAAAAAGCAAGAGGGGGATGGTTCAGGATGAAGCTTGAGAATGAGAGAAAGCTGCCAGAGATGCCTTCATTTTAGTCTTGTGATGTGGGGATGGGGCAACAGGCTTAACGGGACAGGGCTGGGCTCTGCTAGACCAGGTATAATCTTTAGAAGTGGTACATTCAGTGTCATTCTGCAATAGTGACAGAATGAAGCTCTTTCAATGCTTGAAGACCCAACTTACAGAGCCAAGACAGATGGTGAGCAGCAATCACTGAATGAATGTATAGAAAAATGTAAACTTCACAGAGCATTTTATCTCCCATCTGTTTCCCTCTGCAATTTCAACCTGGTACCATAAATCCAAATTCTGTACTTTCCCTCTTCAGGCTACCCATGTTGCCTCTGTCTTCGAAGGTTGCAGGCAGCAGAGCTGTTTTGGAAGTGACCTATTTGCCCAAGATGTTGAGTTTAGAGTTTTTAAAGGGGGTCCCCTTGCTTATGTTGTCAGACTGTATTAATGTATTCCTACACTGGGATTTGATTTTGCATATACAGTATCTTCATAAAGAGACCAAAATAGTTCATTCAGTAGCTTTGTGTTCAAATGCTCTGCCTTAGCTACTCACAGACTTACTCCACTGGCGTATTGATATATGACTTTATTCAGATCTCTGTCTAGGAATTGGCAATACAGATATAATTTGATATGGTCTTTGCCCTTAAGGAGTGCATGATCTAATAGAAAAGAAAATGAATGAATATTGCTTAATTATCTATACAATAATTTATGATTTCCCATAAATCTGTGGGTTGTCTCGCCTGCTGGGGCTCAGCTGGGAGGTTCTTCTGCATGTCTTGCTTGGTGGCCTCTTACGCAGATGCATTCAGCTTGCAGTTGGGCTTGACTGGAAGATCCTACTTGGGTTCATTCATATATCTGGTGCCTGAATACTTTTCCCTGTGGTCTTTCTCTTTCTTTGTAGTGTCTCATCATTCAGTAGTCTAGTCCAAGCTTCTTTACAGGAAGGTGACTGGCTTCACCAGGGAGAAAGTGGAGGTTTCTGGGCTTTTTATTTATTTATTTATTTAGAGACAGGGTCTTGCTCTGTCACCCGGGCTAGGGTGCAGTGGTGCAATCTCAGCTCACTGCAGCCTTGAACACCTGGGCTCAAGCAGTCCTCCCACCTCAGTCTCCTGAGTAGCTGGGACTACAGGTGCACACCACTTCACCTGTGTAATTTTTATATTTTTGTAGAGACGGGGTTTCGCTACACTGCCCAGCCTGGTCTCCAACTCCTGTGTGCAAGCGATCTGCATGCCTTGGCCTCCCAAAGTGCTGGGATTACAGGCATGTGCCAGCATGCAGGGCCTCTGCTGGGTTTCTTAAAGGAGAAGACCAGAAATAGCATCCATTCTGCTGCATTTTATTGGTCAAGGAAAGTCACGGTGCCAGTCTCGAGTCAAGAGAAAAGGTAATGAACTTAATGGGTGAAGTGGCACACACTTATAGGCAAGGAGGGGATTGACAGCAACCCTTTTTGGAAAGTATCTCCCACAGATACAAATAAATAAACCATAACTAAAATTTAGTGAGCACTTCTGTGTCAGACAGCAGGCCAAGTACCTGACATGTATTATCTCATGAAATCCTCATACATGAAGTTCCCATATCCAGTGAAGTAGGAATCATTCTTATTCCCATCTTATAAGCAAGTGGAAGATGGCAGAGATTAAATAAATAACCCCAGGTCAAATACCTGATCAATGATGATGCCAGGATTCAAGTCCCTTGGAGTTGGATTTGTTGTACTCTGAGAGGGAGCTGAGTGCACTGGTTAAGAACTCAGTCCTGTAGGTCGTCATACTGTAGTAAATGCTATGAGAGAGGGTTCAGAGAATAAAGATCTCTTCTATTTGGGGGTTCAGAAAAGTCTTCAGGAAAGGTGCCATTTGAGTTGCATGTTGATGTTTAGGAACAATTTAGACCTGAACAAATTTGGGAATTAAGGATTTCTCGTAGGCAGAAAACATCATAATATATATGTGGGAAGAGGAAGCAGAGGCATGCACTGAGACTAGCAATCAGTTCAGCTTGGGTGGCCTCTAGAATTCAAGGAAGGAGACAGCAAGAGCTGTTGGAGATGGGAAGTTTGGGGTCAGATTATGAAAATAGTTGAATACCAGGCTGAGATATTTGGGCCTTTATTTAGTGGAAACTAGGGAGACATTTAGTGTTTTGGAACAAGAGCTTTATTTTTAAAGGTTAAAATCCCTGGCCGGGTGCAGTGGCTCACGCATGTAATCCCAGCATTTTGGGAGGTTGAGGTAGGCAGGTCAGGAGTTCGAGACCAGCTTGGCCACTATAGTGAAACCCCATCTCTACTAAAAATACAAAAATTAGCCGGGCATGGTGGCATGCACCTGTAGTCCCAGCTACTCAGGAGGCTGAGGCAGGAGAATCGCTTGAAACCAGAAGGCAGAGGTTGCAGTGAGCTGAGCTCGTGCTGCTGCACTCCAGCCTGGGCAACAGAGCGAGACTCCATCTCAAAAAAAAAAAAAAAAAATCACAGGGTAGACCTGAAACACTGAAATGGAGATACTGGAGGCAGGATGAACAAAGCGAAATGCTTTTTCAATGTCAGTTGAGAGGGAAACTTTATACTGACCATCCATTGGAGTGGTGAAGAGATACGGAATAGTAGAGATATTGAAGAGTTTGGTAGTTGAGGAAGGAGTCAAAAATAGATCTAGAATATCCAGCCTGAGTAACCAAAAGAATAGAGATGGGGCAGACTTGGAGAACATATAATTATTTAAATTTGAGGGCTACAGAATTGACTTCAAACAGCGCTGTTGACCTTGCGGGGGGCCAAGGTGGACTTCTGGGAGTTGGTCCAAAGGTGAGAGCCATTTATAATGAAGAAACATGACACTTTTCCTTTTAATTAATTTTGCAAGATATTGCAGACCAGTGACCTGGTTTTCTCCTTTTCTCTTCATTACTCTCAATTATTTCCAAAATTAGTCAGATGCAGTGGCCCACACTTGTAGTCTTAGCTACTCAGGAGATAGAGGTGAGAGGATTACTTGAGCCCAAAAGTTCTGGGCTGTAGTGCGCTATGCCCATGGGTGTCCATGCTAAGTTCAGTGTCAGTATGATGACTCTTGGGAGCTGGAGACTGCCAGGCTGCCTAAGGAGGGGTGAACTGGCCCAGGTCAGTAATAGAGCAGGTCAAAACTCCCGTGCTGCTCAGCAGTGAGATCATGCCTGTGAATAGCCACTGCACTCCAGCCTGGGCAACATAATGAGACCCCATCTCTTAAAACAAACAAGCAAACAAACCTCAAAGTAACCCAAACCCAGTGATGTTTCTGGCCTGCTCCATTGGCTTTTACTATCCTCCACCCACATCCCTCTGCCTGCTACCCTCACATCAACATCATAAGAGGTACTGCCTTGTATCAGGGCAATTGGTGCTCAATGGGGCACTATGACTTGATCATCTGCTTTACATGTAAAGAAAGTGAGATAGAGAAAAGTTAAATGACCAGCACAACGTAAAACCAGGATATGTGTGTTGACCTGAGTCCGTGCAGGAGGGAGGGCATTTATGACCTTTATTCACAGGGTATGGGATGGTGGAAGGCCAAGTCATGGTCGGATGAAACAAATAGGTAGGGGAGGGATGAGTATTGCTTTGTGACCTGGCAGCATCAGCACTAATCCTGGGATAAGTAGAGCTGTGAACCGCTGACTCAGTTTCCTTTGCAGAGGCTCAAAAATGCAAGGTATTTACTTGATAAGAGCCCTAATAGGTTCAGGACAGAAGATTCTGTAATGGTGCTGTGATTAAGGACTTTCATTCTGATTAGAATTACACTCTAGCAAATGAGTGTGAACTGTCGGAACTTAAGTAGCTGCTCAACAGAATGAATGCAGTCATTTCTGAAGTGGCTTGTTAACTTATTATTTCCTACCATTCTGCCTCATTACCGACACTCACCCTCATCGTTCATCAAGATTGGTAGCCCCTTGAGGAGGAGAAGAGGAGTGGGAGATGGTATAAGTTGTCTGTACCAGGTCCCATGCTGAAGGGAAAGGGCCCACATAGGAGCAGGTTTCCAAGAGCTTCTACAATTGTTAAGGACCTCCTAGGTGAAGCTATTGTTACCTGCGTGCATATGCTAAAACAATACTACTGTTAATATTTGTAATAGTAACAGTGACAATAACAACTGTCACTTATTTCACAGTTTCAACTGATCTTACAGTGGGCTGGGTGGGATGCATATTATTTTGAATCCCCTTAACAGCTCCCTTTACAGATGGGAAAATAGATTTCTCAGTTCCACAGCTTTAAATCCTGTTTCAGACACCAAAGTTTGTGCTTTGTCTTCTGTGAAGGGAATTGAAATTGCTACTTTCTTTTCTAAGACAGGGTCTCACTCTGTAACACATGCTGGGGTACAGTGGCTTGATCAGGGCTCACTGCAGCCTTGACCTCCTGGGGCTCAAGCAGTTCTCCCACCTCAGCCTCCAAAGTAACTGGGACTACAGGTGTGTACCATCATGCCTGGCTAATTAAAAAAATTTTTTTTTTGTAGAGATGTAGTTTCAACATGTTGCCCAGGCTGGTCTCAAGCTTGTGGGCTCAAGTGATCTGCCTGCCTTGGCCTCCCAAAATGCTGGGGAAATTGCTATTTTCTATCTTACATGGTGGGGAATAGGAATGTTAGGATAGGCCTTTGAATCTAGTTTTCAGTTGTTTCCATACCATCTTTTGGTTATTTTAGTGAGTATGGGGAAAATATATATATACTTCCCAACATTGTAATTCTTCATTCTTCCCCATCATCATGGTAGTCAGGTTAGGACGCTCGTGGGAATAATTCAGACTTGAACATCAGGAAAAGCTGGGCCAAACACAAAATTGGCCACAAATACAGAGCTTGTGGATTTATTTTATTTATTTATTTTTAAGAATGCTTGTTTGTTTACTTTCAATAGCTTTAAGGGTACAAGTGGTTTTTGGTTACATTGATATATAGTGGTGAAGCCTGGGCTTTTAGTGTGCCCGTCACCTGAGTAGTGCACATTGTACCCAACAGGTAATTTTCATCCTTCTCTCCCCTGCCACCATCCCTGCTTCTGAATCTCCAATGTCCATTATTCCACTCTTTATGGCCCTGTGTACCCATAGTGTAGCTCTTGCTTATAAGTGAGAATATGCAGTATTTGGTTTATGTGGATTTATTTTGGGTCATCTTCCTCTCTGCAGCTAGGCTGGCCTCTGCTAATAGGAGGTGAACATTTTGAAAGCTACATGTGAATCAATACTTACCAGGCTTAGCTTAAAGTAATAGGTAATACTGATTAGAAAGGAAACCTATTGCATGTGTAGGAAAATACAGCTGGCTAGGTAGGCAGCTTAGTGTAATGAAAGCAACACAGACTCTGTAATCCAATAGACACTGGTTTGAATTTTATCTCCAAAACTAACCTTGCAACTTTGAGGAATTCTCTTGATCATTCTGAGGCTCAGTTTCCTTGGCTGTAAAATGCACCTACCTCACAAGCTTGGTTGAGGAAGCTATTGCTACTACTGATAGCAGTCCTTGGGTGCTATAATAGCTGTTTTAAGTACATTCGGTGTGTGTGTTCATGCTTTCGTTGATGCTTGGAGGCTCCCAGACCTTTATTTTGGAAATAGGGTCATCAGTTTTTGCTATTGTATTTTTCTTTACTTTTTTTTTTTCCCATTTTGGTGGTCATTGAAGTTTTTTTGAACACCCCAGCCTGCTCCTGCTCTCCTTAGAGACATGTCGATATGGCATTATGGAATTCTAAGGAGTAAGCAGGATACTCCTGGATGCTGTTGTGGAGTAAAAGGAAAAATCCAAGCAGAAGGCAAGACACAGAGGGGCTGTGCGCAGGACTGTTCATATAGCCCTTCTTTCTGGGACAACCCTCTCTGGAGCCCTAAACATAAAAGTCCAAACTGGTCTTAGGGTACTGAATTTAACACAGGATATTAATTCTTCACTAATTCCTTTAACCCCCCTTTTCCATTATCTATCTCTTTATATTTTTAGCTAGATAATATTCATCTATATTTAATCACACCAATAATGTAACACGTAATTATATAATTCAAGAAAGTGGATATAGTGTTGCAAAAATCTAAGATCTTTGCATTGCATAGAAAAAGGGTTTAAAAAGGTAAAGCAATACTTATAACTAGAATCTGGTAGGTCAGGGATGCATTCGTAATCACAAAGAATGAATTTCTAGCTTGTCTTTGGACCTTATCAAATGTTACCTCACACTATAGATATTTTCTAAGAATTTTATCACTGTTTCTCATAGTACAAAGTCATTGCCAATTCCACAGTACCTAGTTCAGAGCTGGTACATAGAGGTGCTTAGTTTTTGTTGGTGGTGGTGCTTTTGATTCAGGAAGAAAATTAGAGAGACTTGACCAATTTCAGTATATCTGTACAGTATTATATGAGGTGCTGTTTGTATCTGTTCAGTTAAACAAATACTAGAGTGTTTGTTTTGTGCAATACTGGGTATACAAAGAAAAATGAACATAGTTCCTGACCTTGAACTTACCATAGTTTGGGGTGCAAAAATCACACAATCACAAAATGTCATGATCACATACAGGATATTATGAAAAAAAAAGGGGAAAGAGGATGTTAATATTATCTGGGGTTTTGAAGAAGGCTTCTGGGCATGGCACCTTCATTAAGAACCTGAATGAATGAACAAGAGTCATCCAAGGGGAAAAAGGAGAGTCCATTCCAGGCAAAGAAGTCAGTGTAAGCAAAGTGAGAAGATATGAAACAAAAAGCAAGTAGGGCCAGGTGTGGTAGCTCACGCCTGTAATGCCAGCACTTTGGGAGGCTGAGGTGGGCGGATCACCTGAGGTCAGGAGTTCGAGAACAGCCTGACCAACATGGAGAAACCCCATTTCTACTAAAATACAAAATTAGCTGGGTGTGGTGGCATGTGCCTGTAATCGCAGCTACTCAGGAGGCTGAGGCAGGAGAATTGCTTGAACCCGGGAGGTGGAGGTTGAGGTGAGCCAAGATCGCGCCATTGCACTCCAGCGTGGGCAGCAAGAGCAAAACTCCATCTCAACAACAACAAACAAACAAACAAACAAGTGGGAAATTTGGTGTTTTACCAGAGTTTGGGCCCAAATGAGCCTCCCACCTCAGCCTCCTGAGTAGCTGGACAATTCCCAATTCCCACACCTGGTAGCAGGTGCCACCACACCTGGCTAATTTTTGTATTTTTAGTAGAGACGGGGTTTCACCATGTTGCCCAGATTGGTCTCAAACTCCTGAGCTCAAGCGATGCACCCACTTTGGCCTCCCAAAGTGCTGGGATTACAGGCATGAGCCACCGGGCCCAGCCATGGTCTATGATTTCATGAAAAGAAGTGGCTGGAGCACAAGTTCAGACTCAAGTAGAGTGGCTCTGAGTCTGCATCCTAGCACTCCTGCATGCTGCTTCTCTTGGTCTTGAAACCAAGAAGTTGCTTATATTTTTGTCAAAGGAATCTTTTCCTTAGTGAATTCCTGTAATTAAAAAATAACTTTCTTATTTGTTTAATATTCATTATAAAAAATTTAGCCAGCACTGATAAGCAAAAAGAAAAACTCCATTTCCAACATCCTTTAGGAAACTATTTAAAACAGTTTGGGATTTCTTTCTATTGTTCTCTCCCTCCCTCCCTCTCTCTCACTTTACTTTCCCTTAATTGTGTGTGTGTGTGTGGGGGGGGGGGGTGGGTATACAGTGATTCTTTGGGCCATCACTCTAAGTCATTAGATATTTTGTAGTCTTCTTTCTTGCCTTCCTTCCTCCCTTCCCTCCCTCCCTCCCTCTTTTCCTTTCCTTTCTTTTCTTTTCTTTTTTCTTTCTTTTCTTTCTTTTTGAGACAGGGTCTCGCTTTGTTGCCTGGGCTAGAGTACAGTGGCGTAATCATGGCTCACTGCAGCCTCTACCTACTGGGCTCAAGTAAACCTCCCATCTCAGCCTCCCTAGTAGCTGGGACTGCAGGAGCATGCCACCATGCCTGGATAAATTTTGTATTTTTTGTAGAGATGGGGTTTCACCTTGTTGCCCAGAGTGGTCTGGAACTCCTGGCCTCAAACGATCCACCTGCCTTGGCCGCCTCCCAAAGTGTTGGGATTACAGGGGTGAGCCACTACCCCGGCAGGCTTATTTTTAATAATTGCATAACACTCCTTTTTGGGTCAGTTTTAACAATTATTTTTAACTTTTTTTTGTCTTTTAAATTCTTCATTTGTGACAACTTAGTTTTTTGAACATATAAAAATTGGGAAACAGGCTGGGCGCAGTGGCTCATGCCTGTAATCCCAGTACTTTGGGAGGCCGAGGTGGGCAGATCATGAGGTCAGGAGATCAAGACCATCCTGGCTAACACGGTGAAACCCCATCTCTACTAAAAATACAAAAATTAGCCAGGCGTGATGGCATGCACCTGTAGTCCCAGCTACTCGGGAGGCTGAGGCAGGAGAATCACTTGAACCCGGGAGGCAGAGGTTGCAGTGAGCGGAGATGGCACCACTGCATTCTAGCCTGGGCAACAGAGTGAGACTCCGTCTCAAACAAAAAAAAAATTGGGTAACAACACACACTGGGGCCTATCAGGGGGTAGGGTAGGGGGAGGGAGAGTATTAGGAAAAGTAGCTAATGCATGCTGGGCTTAATACCTAGGTGATGGCTGATAGGTGCAGCAAACCACTGTCATACGATTACCTATGTAACAAACCTGCACATCCTGCACATGTACCCTAGAACTAAAAAATTAAAATAAAAAAAGAATTTAAAAAACTGTGTATATTAGCAAGCTTCCAGTCACCCCAGCAACAGCCACCTTCTCCCCACTCCCCCCACCTCTGTCTCTCCAATGAAAACTAGGCCCCTACTCGCCCACTGCCCGGGATCTGCAAGCTGCGCGCCCATGAGTTTCAGTACCTATTTGGACTTTCACAATCAGAGATGGCAGTGGTGAAGGCATCAACGTCGAAAGCTTCCAGGCCTTGGTATTCTCATCTGGCGTATGCAAGATACTGGCAACATTATCATCAAGCAATGGCTTGATGGCAAAGCCATCAGAATGCCTACAGGAAGGCCGTGGAATCCTGTGTCAGTCGCCTGTGGCGCTTCCCTTTTATTTTATTTTTTTTTAAAGACAGAGTCTCGCTGTTGTTGCCCACGCTGGAGTGCAGTGACACAACCTCGGCTCACTGTAACCTCCACCTCCCGGTTTCAAGTGATTCTCCTGCCTCAGCCTCCTGTGTAGCTGGAATTACAGGCGCCCGCCACCACACCCGGCTACTTTTTTGTATTTTTAGTAGAGACGGGGTTTTACCGTGTTGGCCAGGCTGGTCTCGAACTCCTGATGTGATCTGCCTGCCTTGGCCTCCCAAAGTGCTGGGATTACAGGCGTGAGCCACCGCACCCAGCCGGCACTTCCTTTCTGCACTTCTTTTCCAAAGCTCTTACAACAGACAGGCTGGATATCCTCAGTCCTTCTGTGACCATCATGTGGCCTGGCAGGACTCCACCTGCAGTTCTTCACATTTCAGAGGGTCTGGGCAGCATCCACATGACAGCACTGGGATCCAGGCATCCACGAGAGAAGACCAAGCTTTGTTTAAAGAGGAGGGGTAGATGCAGAGGTAGAATGTGACCTGAGCAATATGGAAATCACTGAGGATCTCTGCCAGTACTTTGCAGAAACCGGGAGGCACAGAGAAGAACAAGGGTGGCGGCAGCAGCTGGATGCAGAATGCTTGGACAGCTATGTGAATGCCGACCACGACCTTTGCTACAACACCCACTGGTGGGTGGAGCCCCCGACTGAGCGGCCCAGCAAGCGGTGCCAGGCTGAGATGAAGCGCTTGTATGGGAACAGCACTGCCAAGCTCCAGGCCATGGAGGCTTCGGTGCAGCTGAGCTTTGACAAGCACTGTGACCAAAAGCAGCCCAGTTCTGGCTGGTCATGCCTGTGAAATTCTGAGCTTGGGGCACAGGGCCCCAGCCTCTCTCTCTTCCTTTTGGGTACACTCTCTTCATTCTCCCTCTGTACATTTCTCAGGGAAAGGGGGCTTTGTACTGAGGTACAGGCATGTTCACCACAGTCCCAGTGGGGCCTGTCACAGGGTGGATGTACAATGCCAGCCTCTTAGGGGTTGGCAGGACGTGTTCTCTTGCCAATATGATACATTTTCTCCTGACATAAAATAATTTTGTATATATTACACTGGTTTTTGCTGTTGTCAATCATCATTAACTGCCTAGAAACAAAAAATTGTATATATTTAAGGTACACAACGTGATGTTTTGATAGACAATGTGAGACGATCATCACATTCCAGTAATTAACATATCAATCATTTCTACATAGTCACCATTTCTGTACCCTTTGACCAACATCACTCCATTCCCATCTCTTCCCAGCCCCTGGCAATCACCATCCTAC
Organism: Homo sapiens; assembly: GCF_000001405.40. NCBI lineage: Eukaryota > Metazoa > Chordata > Mammalia > Primates > Hominidae > Homo > Homo sapiens. The sequence continues at coordinate 58,778,026 of NC_000016.10, forward strand.
TCTGTGCTTCTATGAGTCTGGCTATTTTAGATTCTGTGTATAAGTGTATAAGTTTGTAGAGGGCAGAACATGGTTTAGACATGCTGAGTTTTTGGGGCTTATGGGTCATTTAAATGGGAATGCCCTCAAGTAGCTGAAGGTATGAATCTGAAGGCCGAAGAAATTTTGTGTAAAGAAATTCTTATTTTGGCCAGGCGCGGTGGCTCACACCTGTAATCCCAGCACTTTGGGAGGCCGAGGCGGGTGGATCACGAGGTCAGGAGATCGAGACCATCCTGGCTAACATGGTGAAACCCCGTCTCTACCAAAAATACAAAAAAGTAGCCAGGCGTGGTGGCAGGTGCCTGTAGTCCCAGCTACTCGGGAGGCTGAGGCAGGAGAATGGCGTGGACCTGGGAGGTGGAGCTTGCAGTGAGCCGAGATTGCACTGCATTCCAGCCTGGGCAACAGAGCCAGACTCTGTCTCAAAAAAAAAAAAAAAAAAAAGTTCTTATTTTACACTTGGTGAACTTAAGACTCAGAAGATAAGTCACTTTCCCAAGGTTCAAAGACTTTATATGTCTGGCTAATGCTGGGTTCTTCATGCATGATATTTACCATTTCATGGGTCAAGAAACTAATAAATTCATCTGTGAGGTAAAACAGTCTTTTTTTTTTATCATACACAATGTTCAGCTCATTTTTCATTCTGGTCACTCTCACCTCACACTTTATTATTTATTCATTTTTTAGAGACAGGATCTTGCTCTGTTGCCCAGGCTGGAGTGCAGTGGCACGATCATAGCTCACTGCATTGACCTCCTGGGCTGTAGTGATCCATCCGCCTCAGCCTCCTGAGTAGCTAGGACTACAGGCACACACTACCATCTTTTAATTTTATTTGATTCTTTTGTCTCTCAGTGTTTCATTTTGAATAGTTTCTATTCCTATCTTTTTAATTCACTGATCTTTTCTTTGCAATGTCTAATCTGCCATTACTCCCATCCAATATATTTTCCATGTGATACATTGTATTTTTTCATCTCTAGAAGTTAGATTTGAGTCTTTTTATATCTTTTATTCTTGTACTTCAAATTTTAAACATGTGAAATGAAGGTATAATAATAATTTGAATGTTTTTGCCTGCAAAATTCAAACATCTGTCTCAATTCTTGGTCAGTTTTGATTGATTGCTTTTTCTCCTCATTATGTTTGTATTTTTTTTTTAAACTTCTTTGTGTTTCTGTTAATTTCTGATTGGATGCCAGATATTGTGAATTTTACTTTATTATATATCTTAGTTCATTTAGGCTTCTGTAACAAAATACCTTAGACTGAGTAATTTACAAGCAACAGAAATTTGTTGCTCACAGTTCTGGAGGCTGGGAAGTCCAAGATTAAGGTGCTAGCAGATTTAGAGTTTGGTGAGGGCTTGCTCTCCACTTCAAAGATAGTGCCTTGTTGTGTTCTCACATGGTGAAAGGGTCAAGGGAGTTCCCTCAAGCCTCTTAGTGACTATTCCTAAGTCACTTCCTAAAGGCCTCACTTCTTTTTTTTTTTTTTTTTTGGGATGGAGTCTCGCCCCATCACCCAGGCTGGAGTGCAGTGGTGCAATCTCAGCTCACTGCAACCTCTGTCTGCTGGGTTCAAGTGATTCTCCTGCCTCAGCCTCCTGAGAAGCTGGGACTACAGGTGTGTGCCACCAGGCCTGGCTAATTTTTTTGTATTTTTAGTAGAGATGGGGTTTCACCATGTTAGCCAGGATGGTCTTGATCTCCTGACCTCATGATCTGCCTGCCTTGGCCTCCCAAAGTGCCGGAATTACAGGCATGAGCCACCACACCGGGCTGGCCTCCCTTCTTTTTATTTATTTATTTATTTTATTTTATTTTTTATTATACTTTAAGTTCTAGGGTACATGTGCACAACGTGCAGGTTTGTTACATATGTATACATGTGCCATGTTGGTGTGCTGCACCCATTAACTGGTCATTTACATTAGGTATATCTCCTAATGCTATCCCTGCCCCCACGCCATGACAGGCCCTGGTGTGTGATGTTCCCCTTCCTGTGTCCAAGTGTTCTCATTGTTCAATTCCCACCTGTGAGTGAGAACATGTGGTGTTTGGTTTTTTGTCCTTGTGATAGTTTGCTGAGAATGATGGTTTCTAGCTTCATCCATGTCCCTATACAGGACATGAACTCATCCTTTTTTATGGCTGCATAGTATTCCATGGTGTATATGTGCCACATTTTCTTTATCCAGTCTATCATTGATGACATTTGGGTTGGTTCCAAGTCTTTGCTATTGTGAATAATGCCGCAATAAACATATGTGTGCGTGTGTCTTTATAGCAGCATGATTTATAATCCTTTGAGTATATACCCATTAATGGGATGGCTGGGTCAAATGGTATTTCTAGTTTTAGATCCTTGAGGAATTGCCACACTGACTTCCACAATGGTTGAACTAGTTTACAGTCCCACCAACAGTGTAAAAGCATTCCTATTTCTCCACATCCTCTCCAGCACCTGTTGTTTCCTGACTTTTTAATGATTGCCATTCTAACTGGTGTGAGATGGTATCTCATTGTGGTTTTGATTTGCATTTCTCTGATGACCAGTGATGATGAGCATTTTTTCATGTGTCTGTTGGCTGCATAAATGTCTTCTTTTGAGAAATGTCTGTTCATATCCTTTGCCCACTTTTTGATAGGGTTGTTTCTTTTTTTCTTGTAAATTTGTTTGAGTTCATTGTAGACTCTGGATATTAGCCCTTTGTCAGATGAGTAGATTGCAAAAATTTTCTCCCATTCTGTAGGTTGTCTGTTCACTCTGATGGTAGTTTCTTTTGCTGTGTAGAAGCTCTTTAGTTTAATTAGATCCCATTTGTCAATTTTGGCTTTTGTTGCCATTGCTTTTGGTGTTTTAGACATGAAGTCCTTGCCCATGCCTGTCTCCTGAATGGTATTGCCTAGGTTTTCTTCTAGGGTTTTTATAGTTTTAGGCCTAACATTTAAGTCTTTAATCCATCTTGAATTAATTTTTGTATAAGGTGTAAGGAAGGGATCCAGTTTCAGCTTTCTACATATGGCTAGCCAGTTTTCCCAGCACCATTTATTAAACAGGGAATCCTTTCCCCATTTCTTGTTTTTGTCAGGTTTGTCAAACATCAGATGGTTGTAGACGTGTGATATTATTTCTGAGGGCTCTGTTCTGTTCCATTGGTCTATATCTCTGTTTTGGTACCAGTACCATGCTGTTTAGGTTACTGTAGCCTTGTAGTATAGTTTGAAGTCAGGTAGCATGATGCCTCCAGCTTTGTTCTTTTGGCCTAGGATTGACTTGGCAATGCAGGCTCTTTTTTGGTTCCATATGAACTTCAAAGTAGTTTTTTCCAATTCTGTGAAGAAAGTCCTGGTAGCTTGAATGGGGATGGCATTGAATCTATAAATTACCTTGGGCAGTATGGCCATTTTCACGATATTGATTCTTCCTATCCACGAGCGTGGAATGTTCTTCCATTTGTTTGTGTCCTCTTTTATTTCATTGAGTAGTGGTTTGCAGTTCTCCTTGAAGAGGTCTTTCATGTCCCTTGTAAGTTGGATTCCTAGGTATTTTATTCTCTTTGAAGCAATTGTGAATGGGATTTCACTCATGATTTGGCTCTCTGTTAGTCTGTTATTGGTGCATAAGAATGCTTGTGATTTTTCACATTGATTTTGTATCCTGAGACTTTGCTGAAGTTGCTTATCAGCTTAAGGAGATTTTGGGCTGAGACCATAGGGTTTTCTAAATGCACAATCATGTCATCTGCAAACAGGGACAATTTGACTTCCTCTTTTCCTAATTGAATACCCTTTATTTCTTTCTCCTGCATGATTGCCCTGGCCAGAACTTCCAACACTATGTTGAATAGGAGTGGTGAGAGAGGGCATCCCTGTCTTGTGCCAGTTTTCAAAGGGAATGCTTCCAGTTTCTGCGCATTCACTGTGATATTGGCTGTGGGTTTGTCATAAGTAGCTCTTATTATTTTGAGATACGTCCCATCAATACCTAATTTATTGAGAGTTTTTAGCATGAAGGGCTGTTGAATTTTGTCAAAGGCCTTTTCTGCATCTATTGAGATAATCGTGTGGTTTTTGTCTTTGGTTCTGTTTATATGATGGATTACGTTTATTGATTTTCGTATGTTGAACCAGCCTTGCATCCCAGGGATGAAGCCCACTTGATCATGGCGGATAACCTTTTTGATGTGCTGCTGGATTTGGTTTGCCGGTATTTTATTGAGGATTTTTGCATTGATGTTCATCAGGGGTATTGGTCCAAAATTCTTTTTTTTTTGTTGTGTCTCTGCCAGGCTTTGGTATCAGGATGACGTTGGCCTCATAAAATGAGTTTGGGAGGATTCCCTCTTTTTCTGTTGATTAGAATAGTTTCAGAAGGAATGGTACCAGCTCCTCCTTGTACCTCTGGTAGAATTCGGCTGTGAATCCATCTGGTCCTGGACATTTTTTGGTTGGTAGGCTATTAATTGTTGCCTCAATTTCAGAGCCTGTTATTGGTCTATTCAGGGATTCAACTTCTTCCTGGTTTAGTCTTGGGAGGGTGTATGTGTCCAGGAATTTATCCATTTCTTCTAGATTTTCTAGTTTATTTTCATAGAGGTGTTTATAGTATTCTCTGATGGTAGTTTGTATGTCTGTGGGATCGTTGGTGATATCCCCTTTATCATTTTTTATTGCATCTTTTTGATTCTTCTCTCTTTTCTTCTTTATTAGTCTTGCCAGCAGTCTATCAATTTTGTTGATCTTTTCAAGTACCAGCTCCTGAATTCATTGATTTTTTGAAGGTTTTTTTGTGTCTCTATCTCCTTCAGTTCTGCTCTGATCTTAGTTATTTCTTGCCTTCTGCTAGCTTTTGAATGTGTTTGCTCTTGCTTCTCTAGTTCTTTTAATTGTGATGTTAGGGTGTCAATTTTAGATCTTTCCTGCTTTCTCTTGTGGGCATTTAGTGCTATAAATTTCCCTCTACACACTGCTTTAAATGTGTCCCAGAGATTCTGGTATGTTGTGTCTTTGTTCTCGTTGGTTTCAAAGAATATCTTTATTTCTGCCTTCATTTCGTTATGTACCCAGTAGTCATTCAGGAGCAGATTGTTCAGTTTCCATGTAGTTGAGCGGTTTTGAGTGAGTTTCTTAATCCTGAGTTCCAGTTTGATTGCACTGTGGTGTGAGAGACAGTTTGTTATAATTTCTGTTCTTTTACGTTTGCTGAGGAGTGCTTTACTTCCAACTGTGTGGTCAATTTTGGAATAAGTGCGATGTGGTGCTGAGAAGAAGGTATATTCTCTTGATTTGGGGTGGAGAGTTCTGTAGATGTCTATTAGGTCCACTTGGCGCAGAGCTGAGTTCAATTCCTGGGTATCCTTCTTAACGTTCCGTCTCGTGGATCTATCTAATGTCGACAGTGGAGTGTTAAAGTCTCCCATTATTATTCTGTGGGAGTCTAAGTCTCTTTGTAGGTCTCTAAGGACTTGCTTTATGAATCTGAGTGCTCCTGTATTGAGTGCATATATATTTAAGGTAGCTGTTCTTGTTGAATTGATCCCTTTACCGTTATGTAATGGCTTTCTTTGTCTCTTTTGATCTTTGTTGGTTTAAAGTTTGTTTTATCAGAGACTAGAATTGCAACCCCAGCCTTTTTTTGTTTTCCATTCGCTTGGTAGATCTTCCTCCATCCCTTTATTTTGAGCCTATGTGTGTCTCTGCATGTGAGATTGGTCTCCTGAATACAGCACACTGATGGGTCTTGACTCTATCCAATTTGCCAGTCTGTGTCTTTTAATTGGAGCATTTAGCCCATTTACTTTCAAGGTTAATATTGTTCTGTGTGAATTTGATCCTGTTATTGTGATATTAGCTGGTTATTTTGCTCATTAGTTGCTGCAGTTTCTTCCTAGCATCGATGGTCTTTACATTTTGGCATGTTTTTGCAGTGGCTGGTACCAGTTGTTCCTTTCCATGTTTAGTGCTTCCTTCAGGAGCTCTTGTAAGGCAGGCCTGGTGGTGATAAAATCTCTCAGCATTTGCTTGTCTGTAAAGGATTTTATTTCTCCTTCACTTATGAAGCTTAGTTTGGCTGGATATGAAATTCTAGGTTGGAAATTCTTTTAAGAATGTTGAATAGTGGCCCCCACTCTCTTCTGGCTTGTAGAGTTTATGCTGAGAGATCCACTGTTAATCTGATGGGCTTCTCTTTGTGGGTAACCCGAGCTTTCTCTCTGGCTGCCCTTAACATTTTTTCCTTCATTTCAACTTTGGTGAATCTGACAATTATGTGTCTTGGAGTTGCTCTTCTCAAGGAGTGTCTTTGTGGCATTCTCTGTATTTCCTGAATATGAATGTTGGCCTGCATTGCTAGATTGGGGAAGTTCTCCTGGATAATATCCTGCAGAGTGTTTTCCAACTTGGTTCCATTCTCCCCATCACTTTCAGGTACACCAATCAGAGGTAGATTTTGGTCTTTTCACATAGTCCCATATTTCCTGGAGGCTTTGTTCATTTCTTTTTACTCTTTTTTCTCTAAACTTCTCTTCTCGCTTCATTTCATTCATTAGATCTTCAATCACTGATACCCTTTCTTCCAGTTGATCAAATCAGTTACTGAAGCTTGTGCATTCATCACGTAGTTCTGGTGCCATGGTTTTCAGCTCCATCAGGTCATTTAAGGACTTCTCTACACTGGTTATTCTAGTTAGCCATTTGTCTAATTTTTTTTTCAAGGTTTTTAGCTTGTTTGTGATGGGTTTGAACTTCCTCCTTTAGCTCGGAGAAGTTTGATCATCTGAATCCTTCTTCTCGCAACTGATCAAAGTCATTCTCTGTCCAGCTTTGTTCACTTGCTGGTGAGGAGCTGCGTTCCTTTGGAGGGGGAGAGATGCTCTGATTTTTAGAATTTTCAACTTTTCTGCTCTGTTTTTTCCCCATCTTTGTGGTTTTATCTACCTTTGGTCTTTGATGATGGTGATGTACAGGTGGGGTTTTGGTGTGGATGTCCTTCCTGTTTGTTAGTTTTCCTTCTAACAGTCAGGACCCTCAGCTGCAGGTCTGTTGGAGTTTGCAGGAGGTCCACTCCAGACCCTGTTCCCCTGGGTATCAGCAGCAGAGGCTGCAGTACAGCGAATATAGCTGAACAGCAAATGTTGCTGCCTGATCGTTCCTCTCGGAGCTTCGCCTTAGAGGGGTACCCGGCTATGTGAGGTGTCAGTCTGCCCCTATGGGGGGTGCCTCCCAGTTAGGCTACTCGGGGGTCAGGGACCCACTTGAGGAGGCAGTCTGTCCGTTCTCAGATCTCAGAGTCTGTGCTGGGAGAATGACTACTCTCTTCAAAGCTGTCAGACAGGGACATTTAAATCTGCAGAGTTTTCTGCTGCCTTTTGTTCAGCTATGCCCTGCCCCCAGAGGTGGAGTCTACAGAGGCAGGCAGACCTCCTTGAGCTGTGGTGGGCTCCACTGGGCTGCTTTGTTTACCTACTCAAGCCTCAGCAATGGTGGGCGCCCCTCCCCCAGCCTCACTGCTGCCTTGCAGTTAGATCTCAGACTGCTGTGCTAGCAATGAGTGAGGCTCCGTGGGTGTGGGACCCTCTGAGCCAGGTGCAGGATATAATCTCCTGGTGTGCTGTTTGCTGAGACCCTTGGAAGAGCGCAGTATTACAGTGAGAGTGACCTGATTTTCCAAGTGCCGTCTGTCATGGCTTCCCTTGGCTAGGAAAGGGAATTCCCTGACCCCTTGCGCTTCCTGGCTGAGGCGATGCCTCGCCCTGCTTCAGCTCTCGCTCAGTGGCCTGCACCCACTGTCCTGCACCCACTGTCTGACACGCCCCAGTGAGATGAACCCAGTACCTCAGTTGGAAATGCAGAAATCACCCATCTTCTGCGTTGCTCACGCTGGGACCTGTAGACTGGAGCTGTTCCTATTTGGCCATCTTGGGACCGTCTAGCTAAATATCCTCACTTCTTAATAAAATCACCTTGGGGATTAAGTTCCAACATATAAATTTTGGAGGAATACAAACATTCAGACCATAGCATTCTGCTTCTGGCCTGAAAATTCATGTCCTTTTCACATGCAAGATACATTCATTACATCCCAGTAGCCCCAAAACTCTTCACTTTTTTCAGCATCAACTCAAAAGTCTAAAGGCCAGAGTTTCATGTAAATATCATCTAAGTCAAATATGGATGGGATTCAAGGTAGGCAAATTGCTTTCCAATTGCAGACCTTTGAAATCAGTCATGTTATGTGCTTTCAAAATAAAATGGCAGGACAGGCATGGAATAGACATTCCCATTTCAAAAGGGGAAAAATAGGAAGAAAGGAATAACTGGTTCCAAGTAAGTCCAAGGCCCAGGAGGGCAAATCTTAAGTCTTGAAGATAATCTTTACACTGGGGCAAGGGTTGGGCCCCCAAGGCAGCCTCATGGCTTTGCTGGGCATAAACCATGCTGCAGTTCTCATGGGTGGGATTGTTATGCCTGCAGCTCTCCCAGACTGCATTGCACGTGGGTGGCTCTGTTAATTTCTGATTGATCTCTCTGTGGTGGCTCCTCCCCTGTGACAGTTCACTGCTGGGGCCCTGAGGCCCTTCAGAATATCCTTTGAAATCTAGGTGGAGGTAGCCATACCTCCATAGTTCTTGCACTCTGTGCCCCTGCAGAATTAGCACAATGTGGGTGCTGCTAAAGTTTAACACCAGCACCCTTCAGAGGGAAAGTCATTGCAGCCTGCATTGCACCTGGGCTCACTGGAGCCACATCTGGGATGACTGAGCATCTCTGTGCCAGAATACAGGGAACAGAAACTTGAGGTGGCACAGTGAAGTGAGTGCTGAGGTCCCACGATACCTGAGGACCCTTTTTTGACATAATTCTGTCCCTCAGGCCTTGGCATTCTGGTCCTGTGATGGCAGTGGCAGCCCCCATGATCTCTAAAACACTTTTGAGGTCAGTCTTCCATTGTCTTAACAGATAGCATCTAGCTTCCTTCTATCCATACTAATCACCTTATTAAATGTTTGCTTGGCCATGATCTTGGTGTTCTCTCTTGAATACATTTTTTTATTCTTTTTTTTTTTTTTTTCCCGACAGAGTCTCGCTCTATTGCCCAGGCTGGAGTGCAGTGGCATGATCTTGGGTCACTGCAACCTCTGCCTCCCATGTTCAAGTGATTCCCTGCCTCAGCCTCCCGAGTGGCTGGGATTACAGGTGCCTGCCACCATGCCCAGCTAATTTTTGCATTTCTAGTAGAGACGGGGTTTCACCATGTTGGCCAGGTTGGTCTCAAACTCCTGTCCTCAAGTGATCCACCTGTCTCGGCTTCCCAAAGTGGTGGGATTACAGGCGTGAGCCACCATGCCTGGCCGCATTTTTATTCTTTACAACATGGGCAGGGTGAGGATTTTCCATATCTTTAAGTTCTGTTTCTCTTTTGATTATTAGTTTAATCTTTAATTTGTGTCTCTCCTCTTGCAGTTTATTATAAGCAGTCCAGAGAAACCATTCTGCACTCTCAAAAGTGTGCAGATTTCTTTTGCCAAATATCTTATTTTGTTGCTCAAAAGTTCTATTTTCCACAAAACGTTAGGACACAAACACAATTAAGCCAAGTTAATTGAAACTTTATAACAAGAATCACCTTTCCTCCAGTTTCCTATAACACGTTCCTAATTTCCATGGGAGACCTCATCGGAATGACCTCTACTGTTTATATTTCTACCAACATTCTAATAGTGACCACTTAGGTAATCTCTAAGAAGACTGAGGCTTTCTCTTCAGCTCTCTTCTTTTTCTGAGCCCTTACCAAATTGCCCTTAAGACTCCTTTCATGGCAATGTACTTCAGAACTTTTCCAGCTTCTGCCCATTACTCAATTTCAAAGCTGCTTCCACATTTTAAGATATTTGTTACAGTAGCACTCCACTTCTCAGTACCAATTTCAGTCATAGCCTGCTCAGATAGCTATAACAAAGTACCTTAGACTGGCTAATTTACAAACAACAGAAATTAACTGCTTACAGTTCTGGATACTGGGAAGTCCAAGATTAAGGTGCTAGCAGATTCAGTGTTTGGTGAGGGCTTGCTCTCCCCTTCAAAGACTGTGGCTTGCTGCTGCGTCCTCACATGGTGGAAGGGGCAAGGGGGATCCCTCGAGCCTCTTTTACAAGGGTAATATTCCTAGATCACCTCCTAAAGGCCTCACTTCTTTTTTTTTTTTTTTTTTTTTTTGAGACAGAGTCTCTGTCACCCAGGCTGGAGTGCAGTGGCATAATCTTGGCTCACTGCAACCTCCACCTCCCAGGTTCAAGCCATTCTCCTGCCTCAGCCTCCCACGTAGCAGGGACTACAGGTGCGTGCCTCTACACCTGGCTAATTTTTGTATTTTTAATAGAGATGGGGTTTTACCATGTTAGCCAGGATGGTCTCAATCTCTTGACCTCGTGATACACCCACCTCGGCCTCCTAAAGAGCTGGGATTACAGGCGCGAGCCACCGCGCAGGGCCAAAGGCCTCACTTCTTAATACAGTCACACTGAGGATTAAATTCCAACATATGAATTTTGGAGGAACGCAAACGTTCAGACTATAGCACTGAGTGCTGGATATTTTTGTACCTCTATAAATATTTTTGAGGTTTGTTCTGGGACACATTTAAGTTACTTGGAAGTAGTTTGATCCTTTCAGGTATTTCTTTTAAGAATTATTAGATGGGACTGGAGCAGAGCTCAGTGTAGGGATAATTATTTTCCATGACTGAGGCAAAACCCTACTGTGTACTCTACCCAGTGACTTATGAGTCCTGTGGTTTTCTAATCTTGCTGGTGGGAATAGGCACTATTTCAAGGCCTGTTTGAACATTGGATACTTTAATCTTTTTGGATGGTTCTTTCCCTGGCCTGGGTAGTTTCCTGACATATATGCATGGATCAGTCAGTACTCATTATACACTTGTAGGGCACCCTGTGCAGATCTCTGGAGTTCTGTCTCTGTGCACTTCCCTCCTCTCTGTTACTTTGTGCTGTGAACTCTAGCTACTTTCTTATTGGACTTGGCAGTTGGTTTGTCTTCGCAACTCAGCAAGTCTGCAAGGCTCAGCCTGGTTTCCCCTCTGTGTGCAGAGGTCTGAAAACTCTCTTAAGAGAGTACAGTGGGGCAATCCTTTGGCTCATCTTATTTGTTTCCCATCTGCAGGGGCTCACAGCCTTTGTTGCCTAAATGTTCAGTATATCTTGAAAATTTTGTTTTACATATTTGTTCTGGTTTTTTGTTTTGTTTTTTTGAGCCTGATTGTGAGTGACTTACACAAGGTTCTGCAGCAAGCAAAAGGTGGAACCGAGACTTGAACTCAGCCGGCTTCTGGACAGCCACCTTTTTTTTTTTTTTTTTTTTTTTTTAAGACAGCGTCTTACTCTGTTGCCCAGGCTGGAGTGCAGTGGGTAATCTCTGCTCACTGTAACCTCAAACTCCCAGGCTTAAGCAATCATGGCTCACTGCAGCCTCAAACTCGTAGGGTTAAGCAATCCTCCCACCCCAGCCTTCTGAGTAGCTGGAACTACAGGCATGCACCACCATGCCCAGCTATTTTTTTTTTGTATTATTTGTAGAGATGAGGTTTTGCCATGTTTCCCAGGCTGGTCTCAAACTCCTCTTGGGCTCAGGCAATCTGTTTGTCTCAGCCTCCCAAAGTGCTGGGATTATAAGCATGCGCCATCACACCCAGCCTTTGTCTATTTTTTTGTGGTTTTAGATGTCTCTGTTATTCTATCTTATGTGTCCAATTTAATTTTAATTTAATTTTATTGTTTTTGAGAGCCTTGCTCTAACTTCCATCTCCTGGGTTCAAGAACTCCTGCCTCAGCCTCCTGAGTAGCTGGGATTATAGGCACGCACCACCACGCCTGGCTAATTTTTGCATTTTTAGTAGAGACAAGGCTTCGTCATGTTGGCAAGGCTGGTCTTGAACTCCTGATCTCAGGTGATCCGCCCACCTCGGCCTCCCGAAGTGCTGGTGTGTCCGGAATCGGTGGGTTCTTGGTCTCACTGACTTCGAGAATGAAGCCACGGACCCTTGCGGTGAGTGTTACAGTTCTTAAAGGCAGCGTGTCTGGAGTTTGTTCCTTCTGATGTTCAGATGTGTTTGGAGTTTCTTCCTTCTGGTGGGTTCGTGGTCTTGCTGGCTCAGGAGTGAAGCTGCAGACCTTCGCGGTGAGTGTTACAGCTCTTAAGGTGGTGCGTCTGGAGTTGTTCTTTCCTCCCGGTGGGCTCGTGGTCTTGTTGGCTTCAGGAGTGAAGCTGCAGCCCTTCACGGTGAGTGTTAACAGCTCATAAAGGCAGTGTGGACCCAAAGAGTGAGCAGTAGCAAGATTTATTGCAAAGAGTGAAAGAACAAAGCTTCCACAGTGTGGAAGGGGACCCAGGCCGGTTGCCACTGCTGGCTCCAGCAGCCTGCTTTTATTCGCTTATCTGGCCCCACCCACATCCTGCTGATTGGTAGAGCCGACTGGTCTATTTTGACAGGGCACTGATTGGTGCGTTTACAAACCTTGAGCTAGATACATAGTGCCGATTGGTGTATTTACAATTCCTGAGCTAGACATAAAGGTTCTCCACTTCTCCACCAGACTCAGGAGCCCAGCTGGCTTCACCCAGTGGATCCCACACCGGGGCTGCAGGTGGAGTGGCCTGCCAGTCCTGTGCCGTGCGCCCGCACTCCTCAGCCCTTTGGTGGTCGATGGGCCTGGGTGCCGTGGAGCAGGGGGCCGCGCTCATCTGGGAGGCTCCAGCTGCACAGGAGCCCATGGAGGGGGTGGGAGGCTTAGGCATGGCGGGCTGCAGGTCCTGAGCCCTGCCCCGCGAGAAGGCAGCCAAGGCCTAGTGAGAAATCGAGCGTAGCGCCGGTGGGCTGGCACTGCTGGGGGACCCAGTACACCCTCCGCAGCCGCTGGCCTGGGTGCTAAGCCCCTCATTGCCCGCGGCGGCAGGGCTGGCAGGGCCGGCTGCGCTGCCGGCTGTTCCGAGTGTGGAGCCCACCAAGCCCATGCCTACCTGGAACTCCAGCTGGCCCAGAAGCGCCGGGTGCAGCCCCGGTTCCCGCTCGCGCCTCTCCCTCCACACCTCCCTGCAAGCTGAGGGAGCCGGCTCTGGCCTTGGCCAGCCTAGAAAGGGGCTCCCACAGTGCAGTGGTGGGCTGAAGGGCTCCTCAAGTGCTGCCAAAATGGGAGCCCAGGCAGAGGAGGCGCCGAGAGCAAGCGAAGGCTGTGAGGACTGCCAGCACGCTGTCACCTCTCAACTGGGATTACAGGCATGAGTCACTGCACCCAGCTGCGTGCCCAGTTTTAAATATAAAAATATATATAATTTAAAAAGACCTAAAATTAGCCGTCACCTTATATTCTAGAAATAACTACTATTGACTTTTTAAAATGTCTTCCACAAATCTTGTATGCTGTGTAGTAAAAACGGTTTTTGGGGTCAGAGACTTGGGACTAAATCTGCCACTTATTTTCTGTGTCATCTTTTATAAATTATTAAAACTCTTTAGTTTTGAATTTCTCATCTAAAATGTAGAGGTAATGATATTTATCTCATGAGTTGCTGCGAGGACTAAATAAAACTGTATTTGTAAAACACCTAGTACAGTGCCAGGTATATCACGAATGCCTGAGAATGGGCAGTTAATGCTTATGGTTATGAGTTAGGGAAAAACAAGGCAGAGAGAAGCAGATTTGAGCAATCTGTGTGCCTTGGGAAAAATGACAAAAACTGTTTTGGTGCCTCCTGCTATGGCAGTTTTGGGCATGAGACCCCTGATGCTTGCATTTGGTGGCAATTCAGAAAGTTTCATGGTTGGGTTGCGTGAAAAATGTAGCTAGGGTGGAGGAACACAGGAGTCCATGTTGAAGATGTGGACAAATGGGTATCAATGTAGCATAATAATCACCATCATAGAGAAGGAAAATCAGAGTGACAGAGCTGGGGGAATAATGAGGGGTTCACCCATGCAGCCCTAAAAAGAAAACCCATTCGGTTTCACATGCAGATAAAAAATAAAACTCATCCAGTCAGTCCAAGCTTCAGTGGACTAGTTCTTTAGTTCTAGAATTGCTTGTTCTTTGGACAGAGAGGAAAGTGGAATGGTTGATTTCAGCATGAAAAAAGGGCTTAGCTAAAGGCAAATTGAGGCTCTTTTTAACCTCTAAGAGCTCTATGCATAATACGATCTAGCTTTTTTTATTCTCCCTTGATGGGTTTTAAAAATATCACATTACATCATTTGCTGTTGCTACTAGTTGAAGCTTTTAACTCCCTATCTTGTTTGGGCCAGGCATGGTGTGGAAGGTGACTCAAGGTCAGTAATTTGGTCTCTGCTCCTAAGTTATCACTCTGTGTTTCTTTCTGTCTTTCTTCCATAGATAAAAGGGGCCCATGAGCACTGTCGTCTGTTGAGTGACTTTCATTTTTAACTTTAAAAGAGGTTGTCTGAAGGCTTACAAAATTTCCCAAGGTGGGAGTTTTAATATTCAGAGATGCAGCCTGCTTTTTGGAAGCTGAATTCTTTTGTTACTGACAAAAATCAGAAAAGCTCTGGAGTTTGGGGGGAAAGATTCTTGTTTTTAAAATTGCTTCTGAAATCATTGTGTTATTGTTAGAAAAATGTTCACTTTGTGGATAATGGGGCCATAATTCCAATCCCCATGCCAGCCCTGCCCCAGGAGCTCAGTGCTGCATGCTGCCTGCTGCATCGGTTATGGGCTCTTTGTATTGCCTTTTGAGCTGGGGTCAGGCATTCCAAAATATCTCTTTCAGTTCAACACAGTCATCTTGTGGTTTATATTAAAAAAATACTGGGGTGTCACTCAAACCTCCTCTTTCTTAAAGGGCAGAAATTAAATACATGGGGACCCCAGTCTTTATTACTGGCCAGGGCATGCCACCAGGACCAAGATTATGAACTATGGAAAGAGCACCACTGAAGCAAAATAGTGCTTAAACTTGAAAATTTTCTTCCATATCTCCTATGCATTGCATAGTGCAAGGTTATTTAAGTTTGGCACTATTGGCATTTTGTGCTGGGTAATTCCTTGTAGTGGGGGTGCTGTCCTTTGTTGGATGTTTGGCAGCATCCCTGGCTTCCACTTACTGGATGTCAGTAGCACCCCTTCCTACTTCCAGTTCTGACAACCAAAAATGTCTTCAGACACTGCCAAATGTCCCCAGGTAGGAAGAGGGGCAAGATCACCCCTGATTGAGAACTGTTGGCACAGTAGGTAGAATCCTGGGCTTGGAATCAGGCAGACCTGGGTAAAATGTGACTATTCTTTATCAGCTGGTTGGCTTTGGGATAGTTAATTGACCTTTTAGGTCTCAGTAGCTTCATAGGGATGTAAAATAGGGATGTGATTACCTACTACATATGCTTGTTCTAAGGTCTAAGAGAAACAATGCCTGTAATAGCACAATGCCTGCTAAGTCTCTTCCTTTGCTGCCTCGCCTTCCTCCCTGGATTCCTTCCCCATCAGCTTCTTACTTCCCCATCTTACTTCCCCATCAACTGCTGCTGGCCTTGGTCTTAGGTGGCTCATAATATTCTAATTTTCTTTCTTTTTTAGAGTTTTAATTTTTATTAGTCTTAATTTTACTTTTTATATTACACAGAACACTAAAAGGTTGAAAGAGAAAAAGATAAGCATAAAATAGCATTTCTTTATTTTTTAAAATTTTATTTTATTTTAGTTTCGGGGGTACGTGTGCATGTTTGTTACATAGGTATATTGCCTACTGGTGGGGATTGGGCTTCTAGTGTACCCGTTACCTAAATAGTGAACGTTGTACCTGATAGGTAATTTTTCAACCCTCACCCATCTCCCCCTCCCATCTTTTGGAACCCTCAGTGTCTATTATTTTCATTCATATGTCCATGTGTACCCATTAGCTTCCTCTTATAAGTGAGAGCATGTGGTGTTTGGTTCTCTGTTTCTTAGTTAGTTTACTTAGGATAATGGTCTCTGCCTCCATCCATGTTGCTGCAAAGAATATGATTTCATTCCTTTTTATGGCTGCAAGAATTCTGATTTTCTTACTGAGATCTGATGTTGTCTTTCATGGCTTGGTTCCTGACCTGTGACCCAATGGTGACTCTTTTGTTCTACATTAATAGGCTTTGGTGCTGGGAAGGTCTGCATAACATTTATGGGGTCATGCTTTGTTATCTGAACTACCATCTCAATATCTTTTAGTCCACTGAATTCAAAGGATCAGGCACACATGTGATAAACATCAGGAAGAATTCCAGGTCACCCAGAGAAAGAAGTTTGGAACATCATGGTGAGAACCTGCGGGAGGGCATTATTGAGAGAAGACTCACTTTTCTTGGGAATGGATTACACATGAGCACACGGCTCCTGCTTAAAGTTGTTTAGATACAGTCCAGTTTTGGAAGAACAAGAATAAAAGTTCTCGTAATGTCGCTAAGAGGAAATATGTCTAGAGTGAATTCTAAAAAGTGGTGATGTGATTTACCACAATAAATCAATAATATTAGAACCTGGTATACACAAAGAGCAGTGAAATCAGAATTGAAAGATACATTTGAGGTCATCAGGCTCTATCTCCTCTAAAACATAGTTATCTAACTTCTCTACAGCATTCCTGATTTGTGTCTCTCCTTGAATACCTTGAAAGATGGGGCTATCACTGTGTTCTCAGACAGTTTACTCCATATTGAATGCTTGTGAGAAAACAATGCAAGTGCGATATGAGACCAAAATCTACGTCCTAGAAACCACTACACATTGATCCTTGCTATGGTTTCTGTAACTACATGAATAAGACTAAGTAAGACTCAGAGAGACTACCATCTATGGGATATTTCTTTTCAAAAAATTACATTTTTCTTCAGTTCTCTTCTATGATAGCATTCTAAGGATATACTCCACCTGCGCAGATGTGGACATCATGTTCCAGATGTCTGAATAGTGCAGACCTCATTTATTAATCTAGTTTGTTATCCAATTTATTGTTTGAGCAGACATAGCACAGGGTTGGGGCTCAACATGACCTGTAGCCAACTAAAACTCTTAGGTTCTAATTGCAGTTAATCTGAGCTGATCTTTTGAAAGTGAAAATAATGACATGTTTTGGTGGTGCAACAATTTTTATTTAGGTTTTCTTTCTTTCTTTGTTTAGAGACGGGGTCTCATTCTGTTGCCCAGGCTGGAGTGCAGTGGCTCAATCTTGTCTCACTGCAACCTCTGCCTCCGAGGCTCAAGGGATCTTCCCATCTCAGCCTCCTGAATAGCTGTGACTACAGACGTGCAACACTACACCTGGCTAATTTTTGTATTTTTTGTAGAGATGGGGTTTCAACATGTTGCCCAGGCTGGTCTCGAACTCCTAAGCTCAAGTGATCCACCTGCCTCAGTCTCCCAAATTGCTGGGATTTACAGGGATGAGGCACCATGCCTGGCCTATTTTGTAGTTTAAACCAAGAAAATTTGGATTTGCATTTTTGCTCCATAACTTATTAGGAGGTCCTTCTATTTTTTTGAAGATCAGTTTCTTAATAGAAAGGGTAATGGTACATATTTGAAGGACTTTTGTAAGTATTAGAAATAATTATATAGAGTATTTGTCGGTTACTGGGTACTCTATGTATGGTAAATACTTGATTTATAATTTTAAGATTTAAAAATGTCTATTATTGGCCGGGAGCGGTGGCCCACGCCTGTAATCCCAGCACTTTGGGAGGCTGAGGCGGGCAGATCGTGAGGTCAGGAGTTCAAAACCAGCTGGCCAACATGGTGAAACCCCATGTACTAAAATTATACAAGAAATGAGCTGGGCGTGGTGGCGCGTGCGTGTAATCCTAGCTACTTGGGAGGCTGAGGCAGGAGAATTGCTTGAACCTGGGAGGCGGAGCTTGCAGTGAGCCGAGATCGCATCATTGCACTCCAGCCTAGGTGACAAAGCAAGACTCCATCTTGGGGAAAAAGAAAAAAAGTCTATTATTAGCTTTAATGATTTGTCACTACATGCCAATAGCATTTTCCTGTTTAAAATAAGTTAACATTTACATATATTAAAATTTACCCTTTAGAGTGTATATTTCTGTGAATGTTGACAAATATATAGATATGTGGCTACTATTGTAATCAAGATATGAAACAGTTTCATCACCCCCCAAAATTCTCCTATGCCCCCTTTTAGTCAATCCCTCCCTCTAACCTGGACTCTTGACAACCACTAACATGTTTTCTGTCCTTAGAACGTTGCCTTTCTAAGAATATTAAATAAATGGAACCATACAATGTTAACATTTTAGATCTGGCTTATTTCACTTAGCATAATGCAGGGGTCGCCAGCCCTGGGCCACGGACTGGCACCAGTCTGTGACCTGTTAGGAAGCAGGCTGCACAGCAGGAGGTGAGCGAGTGAAGCTTCATCTCTATTTACATCTGCTCTCCATAGCTCACATTATTGCCTGAGCTCCGTCTTCTGTCAGATCAGCTGTGCCATTAGATTCTCATAGGAGCATGCAGTTCCTATTGTAAATTGCACATGCGAGGGATCTAGGTTGCGTGCTTTTTATGAGAATCTAATGCTTGATGATCTGTCACTGTCTCCCATCACCCCCAGATGGGACTGTCTAGTTGCAAGAAAGCAAGCTCAGGGCTCCCGCTAATTCTACATTATGGTGACTTGCATAATTATTTCATTATATATTACAGTGTAATAACAATAGAAATAAAGTACACAATAATGCGCTTGAATCATCCCAAAACCATCCCCCTGCCCCTCACCCCCAACTCCTCGTCTGTGGAAAAATTGTCTTCCACGAAACCGGTCCCTGGTGCCAAAAAGAGTGGGGACTGCTGGCATAATGCATTTGAGATTCGTTTGTGTTATTTTTTGGCTCACTGCATCCTCTGCCTCCTGGGTTCAAGTGATTCTCCTGTTTCAGCCTCCTGAGTAGCTGGGACTACAGGTGCCCGCCACAACACCTGGCTAATTTTTGTGTTTTTAGTAGAGATGGGGTTTCACCATGTTGGCAAGGCTGGTCTCAAACTCCTGACCTCAAGTGATCCACCTGCCTCAGCCTCCCAAAGTACTGGGATTACAGGCGTGAGCCACCATGCCCGGCCTCATTTATGTTATTGTGTATATCAGTTCTTTTTAAAATTGCTGGGCAGTATATCATTGTATGGCTGTACCACAGTTTGTCCATTTCCCAGTTGAAGAACATTTGAGTTGCTTCCGGTTTTTGGCAAAGACGATGGAAACTGCTGTAAATATTTGCATACAGGTTTTTGTGTGAACATAGGTTTTCATTTCACTTGGGTAAAAACGTATACGTGGGATTGTTATGTTGTCTGAAAGCATATGTTTGACTTTATAAGAAACGGCTCTACTATTTTTCAAAGTGTCAGTATCATTTTGCATTCCCACCAGCAATGTAGGAGAATTCTGGCTGCTGTGCGTTCTCACTGACTCTTGGTATTGTTGGTTTTTCTTTCTTTTTTAGTCATTCCAATAGGGGTACAGTAGTATCACGTGGTTTTGATTTGCATTTACTTAATGATCAATAATGCTGAGAATCTTTACATGTGATTTTCATTCAGTTTGCATCTCTTCTTTGGTGAAGTGTCTGCTCAGATATTTTGTCCACTTCTTTTATTTTGTTGTGTCTTCATCCTTTCAGGCTGCTATAACAGAATACCATAGCCTGGGCAGCTTCTAAATAGCGGCAGATTCAGTGTCTGCTGAGGGCTAATTTCTGGCTCATAGATGGCACCTTCTAGCTGTGTCCTCATATGGTGGAAGGGGCAGGGCAGCTCTCTGGAGTCTTTTATAAGGGCACTAATCCCATTCATGAGGGCTCTGCTGCTGTGCCTTCTGACCTCATCACCTCCTCAAAGGTCCCACCTCTTAAGGGGATTAGGATTTCAATACAGGAATTTTTCAGGGAGGGGACATGCATATTCAGGCATCGCATGTAGTTTGTTTTCTTATTTCAAGAGTTATATATGCATTCCGAATACAGTTTTTCTGTCAGATATCGGATTTGCAAGTATTTTCCTTCATGGAATGTTGAATTGCAGTGATAAGAGTGTAATTTTTGGCCTGGCACGGTGGCTCAAGCCTGTAATCTCAGCACTTTGGGAGGCTGAGGTCAGGAGTTCGAGACCAGCCTGGCCGACATGGTGAAACCCCCTCTCTATTAAAAATACAAAAATTAGCTGGGCATGGTGGCCCATGCCTGTAATCCCAGCTACTCAGGAGGCTGAGGCAGCTGAATCGCTTGAACCCAGAAGGCGGAGTTTGCAGTGAGCCAAAATCGCGCCACTGCTCTCCAGCCTGGGTGGCAGAGCGAGACTCCGTCTCAAAAAGAAAAAAAAGAAAAAAGAAAAAAAAAAAAGAGTGTAGTTCTTGCCTTGCTCCCAGTCTGGAAGGCATTTCTCCTTTCACCATTAGACATTACCTGTTACCAGGTGAAGGAAGTTCCCTTCTATTCCTAGTTTCCTGAGAGCTTGTATCATGAGTGGTTTTGAATTTTGCCAAAGGCTTTTTCTGCATCTATCAAGATGATTGTATTGTTCTTCTTTAGTCTGTTGTTATGGTGAATTACACTGATTTTCAAATATTAAATCAGTTCTGTGTTCAAGAGATAAATTCCTGTTGGTCATAATCGATTATACTTTTGGTTTATTGTTGATTTTATTCACTAATATTTTGGTGATAATTTTCGTGTCTGTATTCATAGGGTGTATTATTCAGTAGTTTTCTTGGATCCTTTATCAGAGTATCAGGGTAATGCTGGACTCATAGAATGAGTTGAGAAGTGTTCTATCTTCTTCAATTTTCTGGAAAAGTTTGTGTAAAGTGGTATTATTTCTTCCTTAAATGCTTGGTAGAATTCACCAGTGAAGCCGTCTGAGCCTGGAGTTTTCCTTGTGGGAAGGCTTTTTAACTGCCAATTAATTTCTTTAATAGGCACAGGGCTATTCAGGTTATGTATGTTTCCTTCAGTGAGCTTTGTTAGTTTGTGTCTTCCAAGGAATTTGTCCATTTCCTTTAAGTTGTCAACTTTATTGGCATAAAGCTGTTTATTTATTTATTTATTTGAGGTGGGGTCTCACTCTGTCACCCAAGCTGGAGTGCAGAGGTGCAATCTTGACTCTCTATATCCTCCACCTCCTGGGCTCAAGTGATCCTCCCACCTCAGCCTCCTGAGTAGCTGAGACTACAGGCCTGAGCCACCATGTCCAGCTAATTTTTGTAGTTTTTGTAGAGACAGGATTTTTCCGTGTTATTCAGGATGATCTCAAACTCCTGAGCTCAAGTTATCCACTTGCCTTGGCCTCCCAAGATGCTGAGATTACAGGTGTGAGCCACTGCACCCAGCCTACATTGTTTATTTTTATCTATCTATCTACCATTTAATCTATTTGAGACAGAGTCTTGCTCTGTCACCCAGGCTAGAGTGCAGAAGTGCAATCACAGCTCACTGCAGTCTTGACCTCCTGGGCTCAAGTGATCCTCCCATTTCAACCTCCTGAGTAGCTGGGACTACAGGTGCACATCACGCCACCCAGATAATTTTTGCATTATGTGTAGAGACAGGGTTTAACCATGTTTCCAGCCTTGGTCTTGAATCCTGGGCTCAAGCTATCCTCCTGCCTCAGACTTCCAAAGTGCTAGGATTACAGGTGTGAGCCACTGTGCCTGGCCAAGTTGTTGATAACATACCCTTATTTTCCTTTTAATATCTATAGAATTTATTGTGTTCTCACTTCTCTTATCTGGTATTGGTAATTTTTTTTTCCTGATCAATTTGGCAGGTGGTTTGTCAATTTTATTGACCTTCTTTAAGAACAAGCTTTTGTTTTCATTATTTCTCTATTAAATTTTTTAAAATTGATTTTTGATCTAGTCTTTATTATTTTCTTTCTTCTTTTGGTTGGGATTGAATTTTCTCTTACTTTTTTAGTTTCTTAAGGTAGAAGGGGAGGTTATTGATTTGAGAATTTTTTTTTTGTAATGTGGATGTTCAGTGCTACAGATTTCCCTCTGAATACTTCTTTAGCTGCATCCTGCAAATCTTGGTATTGTGTTTTCATTTTAATTCAGCTCAAAATACATTCCAATTTCCCTTGTGATTTTTTCTTTGTCCCATGAGTTATTTAGAAGTGCATTATTTATTTTGCAAACATTGGGAGGTTTCTCAAATATCTTTCTGGTGTTTACTTATATTTCGATTATGTTTACAGAGAATACTTTATATAATTTCAGTTCTTTAAAATTTGTTAACATTTCTTTTTTTGGCCCGGAATATGATCTGTCTTGGATAATGTGTATATAAAGAGACTGTATATTTTACTGTTGTGGGTGAAGCATTTTATGTGTCAGTTTAATCATATTGGTTGATAGTGTCCTGCAAATCTTGTCTATCTTTACAATTTTCTGTCTACTTGTTCTATCAGTTACTAAGAGGGAAGTGTTGAAGTTCACAACTATAAACTGTAGAGTTTTTTTCCTTTTCTCTTCGAGTGCTATCAGTTTTTTCTTCATACATTTTGAAGCTCTGTTGTTAACTACATACACTTTCAGCATTGTGATGTCTTTTTGAAGAGTTGATCCCTTTGTCATTATGTGGTACCCTCTTTATCTCCAGAAATATTCCTTATTCTGAAGTCTGTTTTGTATATTTGTAAAACAACTCAAGCTCTCTTTTGATGATTGTTTTCATGATTCATCTTTATTCCTTTCCTTTAAATTTAATCTATGGCTTCATATATGAAGTTGGTTTCACATATCATTGGGTTCTGCTTTTTAATCCCATGTTACAATCTCTGTTTTATAATTGGTGTATTTAGACTGTTTGCTTTAATGTAATTATTGATATGGTTAGATGAAAATCTCCCATATTGCTAGTTTTCTATTCTGTTGTTTGTTTCATTTTTTTTTCTTTTTCTGGCTTCTTTTGAACTGAATATTTTTGTTTCCGATTTTCTGCACTATTAGCATATTATACATTTTTGAAATCATTTTTAAGTGATTGCCCTAGGGTCAGCAATATACATCTATTATGGACCCAAATATTTGCGTCCCTACAAATTTCATATGTTGAAACCCTAACCCTCACCATGATTATATTCAGAGATAGGGCCTTTGGGAGGTAATTAGTGTTAGAGGAGATCAATGAGGGTAGGGCCCTAGTCTGATTGGATTAGTGTCCTTATAGGAAAAGACACCAGAGAGCTTGTTCTTTCTCTCCCAACCATGCGAAGACAGCAAGAAGGTGGCTGTCTCCAAGTCAGGAAGAGAGCCCTCGCTAGAAACTTAATCAGCTGTCACAGTGAACTTGGACTTCCTTATCTCTAGAACTATGGGAAATAAATTTCTGTTCTTTAGGCCGCCAGTCTATGGTATTTTGTTATGGCAGCCTGAACGGACTGATACATTTTAAATTAATCAGAATCTACTTTAAAATAATACAATACTGCTTTACGTGTAGCGTAAAGATCTTACAGCACTATACTCCTAATACTTTCTTCTAAGTACTTTGGGAGGCCAAAGTCCTGGATTCCCAATACATTATGTTACTTTGACATATGCTGTTTTACATTGTTATTATTTTTGCTTTGGGCAGTCAGTTTTCATTTAGACATAGAAGTAAAGAAACTAATTTTATATTTACTTTTATTCATTCCATTTCAGAGACTGTTTCTTTGTGTAGATCCAAGTTTCTTTTTGATGTCATATTCCTTCTGCCTGAAAAGTTTCCTTTAAAATTTTTATACTGGTAAGAAATTCTCTTTTTTTTTTTGTCTGAGAAAACCTTTATTTCTCCTTTATTTTTTGAAGATTTTTTCACTGGGTATCGAATTCTGGGTTGACCACTCCTCCCATTTAGCCCTTTAAAAAGTGTTATTCCATTATCTTCAGGCTTGCATAGTTTCTGACAAGAAGTTTGCTGTAATTCTCATTTTTGTTTCTCTTCATGCAATGTGTCTTTCCCCCTCTAACTGCTTTTTAATATTTTCTCTTTGTCTTTCCTTTTTAGCAGTTTTATTAGGATGTGCATAGGTATGTTTGCTTGGTATCATCCTGCCAAACCACAGGTGTTGTCATTAATTTTGAAATATTCTTCATCATTATTTTTTTGGATATTTTTCTACCTTGCTCTTCTTCTTTTCCTGGAAAATAAATGGGATTCTTTTTCTAGGATTCCAGTTACATGAATAATCAACTATTTGATATTTTCCTACAGCTCTTGGATGCTACATTCTATTTTTTTCTCTCTCATTTTCCTCTTCAAGTTTTAGTTTGGGTAATTTCTATTGATGTATAGTCAAGTTCACTAATTTTTTTTCAGCTGTGTCAAGTCTATTGATTAGCCTGTTGAAGGCATTCTTCACCCCTGTTGCTGTGTTTTTTCTTTCTAGCACTTCTTTCTTTCTTTCTTTCTTTTTTGAGATAGGGTCTCACTCTGTTGGCCAGGCTGGAGTGCAGTGGCATGATCTCACCTCAGTGAAGTCTCAACCTCCTAGGCTCAAGCAATCCTGCTTTGGCCCCCTGAGTAGCTGAAATCACAGGTGCACACCACCATGCCTGGCTAATTTTTAAATTTTTTGTAGAGATGGGGTCTTGCTGTGTTGCCCAGGCTGGTCTCAAACCTTTGGGCTTAAGTGATCTTCCCACTTTGACCTCCTGAAGTACTGGGATTACAGGCATGAGCCACTGCACCTGGCCTTAATTATTTCTTATAACTTCCATCTGTCTGCTGAAATAATAATTCGTCTGATTTTGCATGCTGTCCATCTTTCTGCTATAGCCATTAACACAATTATTTAAAATTCCCTGTCAGTTTCAGCATGTGTCATATATGAGTCTGAATCTGTTGATTACCTTGTCTCTTGACAGTATTTTTTTTGCTTGTCTTTTTTGTATGCCTAGTAGTTTTGATTGAAAGCCAGATAGCATTAGTATTGTAGAGACTGAAGCAAATAGTTTTTATCATGGAAATGTGCATGCCTTTCCTTCTGCTAGGCCTTTAGTATAGTGGTTGAGTCAACCTAGCCATGAGCTGAGTTGGGTTTGGAATTAATTTTTTTCTGTGGTTATCATCTCTCTTAATTTGCTAGGGTTGCTGTAACAAAGTAACAAATGGAATGGCTTAAACCAGGCTTCCCCAACCCCCAGGCCTCAGCCCAGTACTGGCCAGTGGTCTGTTAGGAACTGGGCTGAGCAGCAGGAGGTGAGCAGTGGGTGAGTGAGCATTACCACTTGAGCTCTGCCTCCTGTCAGATCAGTGGTGGCATTAGGTTCTCATAGGAGCGTGAACCCTATTGTGAACTGTGCATGCCCTCGAGGGATCTAGGCTGTGCACATCTTATGAAAATCTAACTAATGCCTGATGATCTGAGGTGGAACAGTTTCATCCTGAAACCTCCCTTCCCCATCCATGGAAATATTATCTTCCATGAAACCAGTCCCTGTTTTCAAAAAGGAAAGGCTGGGGACTGCTGGCTTAAACAACAGAAATTTATTGTTTCACAATTCTGGATGATAGAAGTCTTAAATCAAGGTGTTGGCAGGGCTGGTTCCTTTTGAGGGTTGTGAGGGAAGGATTTGTTCTAGTTTCTCTGCTTGGCTTGTAGACAGCCACCTTCTTCCTGTGTCTCTTCATATCACTTTCTGTTTGTCTGTTTCTGTGTCCAGATTTCTCTTTTTTTATAAGGACACCAGTCATATTGAATTAGGGCCCACTCTAATGACCTCATTTTAACTTGCCTACCTCTGTAAAGATTCTGTCTCCAAGTAAGGTCACAGGCTGAGGTCCTTGGAGTTAGGACTCCACCATATCTCTCTTTTAGTTCTGCGTATTGAAGATGGATGCCTTACAGAGAGGTAAGAGACTCAAGTTCCCTTCCTGGCTTAAGTCCTGGAAGCCGTCTAAGAAAGATTACCCATGCCCTTTGTTCTGAAGAGAAAAAGCATAGACATCTTTTGCTATGGTTTGTTTGTTAATTAGGATAGTTGGTAAGAGTTTATACTCACCTGTACCCAAAAGAGAAAGGACTGAGGAGGGAAGTGTTGACTGGTTAGCTCTATTACCTTTTGAAATTAAAACCTATCCCTCTACTTACCCCTGTCCTCAGGCTAGGCTCAGTAGGTGGTCTCCTAGCCATCTGTCTCATATTACCTCTTGTGCCAAATAAATACTTAAAAAATTTATGATAAGAAACACTTGAAATTTACCAACATATCTTTTTTTGGGGGAAACAATTCAAACATCCTCGATATACCGTAGGCTTCAAATTCCTCTGGTTTTTCTTTTTATTTAAGATAGGGCTGGTTTGCCAGAGGTTTGGTGTTTTTTTTTTTTTTTTTTTTTTTTTTTTTGGTGGAGTCTAGCTCTGTCGCCCAGGCTAGAGTGCAGTGATGTGATCTTGGCTCACTGCAACCTCTGCCTCCCAGGTTCAAGTGATTCTCCTGTCTCAGCCTCCCGTGTAGCTGGGATTACAGGTGTGCACCACTGTGCTCAGCTAATTTTTATATTTTTAGTAGAGATGGGGTTTCACCATGTTGACCAGGCTGGTCTCGAACTCCTGACCTCAGATGATGCACCTGCCTTGGCCTCTCAAAGTGCTGGGATTACAGGCGTGAGCCACCGTGCCCAGCCTCTACCACCAGCTTTAGATCTTCCCTGTTGCCTCTCTCCAGCAATAGGCCACTGGTGGGGTGGGAGCAGCAGAGGGCTCATGTTTTCTGTTGTTCTGACGAAGCCTCCATATCAGACAGGCACTCTGCTGTGGGTCTTGAGGATGAGCTCCTGTAGGGGTCCTGCTCCCCTCCCCCTC